>NC_000008.11:27132829-27435860 GCF_000001405.40 Homo sapiens | reverse complement strand
CAGAGTCCTTGCCATGTCATTTCACAGGGCCTTGACTACGGTCGCTGTGGCGGGGTCGAGAACCTACCTCCGGGCCTTCGCAGGGTTTCGTCGGGAATCTCTGCGTAGATGTCTGACTCTGGAACAACAGGAAGAGGCTCAGCCGTGGACAAGATGCCCTTGGTGGGCACCGCCAGGAATCAGGTGTGGGGCTCCCTGCTGGAGGCCAGTGGAGCCCAAGGGGGTAGGAGGAGAAGCCAGGCATGTCCCGGGCTCCCAGCCCAGGTTTTAGAGTGGCCACAGAGCCCAGGGCACCTTGGCTGAACTCCCTGCTCTCTGCTTCCCGATTTGCATTATTTAGGGCAAGTTGGTTAATCTCCCTTAATCTCAGTTTTCCCTTTTATGAAATGAGTATTGGGGGATGCTATAAAGATTGAATCAAATAATACCTGTTGCATGTTTAATACCATTAAGGACTGGATGTTTGTGTACCTCCCAAATTCCTTTGTTGAAGCCCTAATTCCCAATGCGATGGGATTAGGAGGTGGGGCCTTTGGGAGGTGGTGCAGTCCTGAGCGTGGAGCCCCCATAATGGGATCTGTGCTCATGTACACAGAAGAAGAGAGGCCAGAACTCTCTGTTCATCACGTGAGCCCACAGTGAAAGGATAGCTATCTGCAAATGAGGATGAAAGCCCTCACCAGATGCAGACTCAGCCAGCACCTTGATCTTGGACTTCCAGCCTCTAGAACTGTGAGCAATAAAGTATCTGGTTTTAAGCCACCCAGTCTATAGTATTTTGTTATGGCAGCCCAAGCTGCTTAAGCCATGTACTAAGTACTCAATACACACTAGCGATTACTACTCATGATTTTTTTTTTTTGAGATGGAGTCTTGCTGGGTTGACAGGCTGGAGTGCAGTGGTGCCATCTCAGCTCACTGCAACCTCCGCCTTCCAGGTTCAAGCTATTTTCCTGCCTCAGCCTCCCAAGTAGCTGGGACTACAGGCACATGCCACCATGCCCATCCAATTTTTGTATTTTTAGTAGAAATGGGGTGTCACCATGTTGGTCAGGATGGTCTTGATTTCTTGACCTCATGATCCATCCACTTTGGCCTCCCAAAGTGCTGGGATTACAGGCATGAGCCACTGCACCCAGCCATAATTCACGATATTTTAAAGCCATCACTGAGAAGTTATGGGAGAGGATCATTTTTCTGTCACTTGGAGGAAACCCTCGGCAATGTCACGAGAGCAAGCAGTGGGGAGCAAGCAGACGGGAGGCAACTGGAGCAGGTGGAGGATGCAGCGGGCAGCTCACCTATGCTGCAGCTCTCTGAGAGGTGGGACCGCCGGGCCTCCAGGTTTCTGTAGGAGGTGAGAGAGCAGAAGCCAGGTGAGCTCAGAGGCCGGTAATGTTCCCCTGGGCAGCCTCGGCCCGCCCTCTCCTCCTGCCCCCTGTGGAGAAGTAGTCTGTCCAAATTAGCAATGACCTGGGAGCACAGCCCAGGCTGCTGGGGGCTGGAGTTGGGGGACAGCAGCAACCCCCCAGGATAACACCAGGTGGCATGAAGGCATAGGAATATTCCTGCAGGTATTTATTGGGAGGGAAAGATCATCTTTTTTCAGGGTTCTCCTGGGCCTGAAAGCCAGAAACTATGGAGGTGGGGACTCCCAGTTTATTCTTATTCCTCTCAGCAGCACAGGCTGAGCTCAGGGCCCTGTCCTCTGCACCCCATTGTACTCACAGCATGGGGATCTGGGGCAGGCTGTTCCGCTTCTCACCATCTAGGAAGAGAGGAGGAAGGAGGAGGTTGGAGCTGGGGACACAGGGACCTGGATGGGTGACTGACCTCCTCACTATTCCTACAAGGGACTCTCCTCCCATCCCAGCCCCTAATTCCATTCTCTCCTAGCCTGGGAGCTAGTGAGGCCTTGGGCCAGAAGTGGAATCCTCCTTGGAGGCTGCCTCAGGCCAGATTTCACGTGCTCCAGCTGTGACCCCTGCTTCCTGAATCTGACCCAAGATGGAGACACACACAGGCGGGACCAGCCTTCTACTAGCAATGGCTTTGAGCTTGCTGGGGCTAAAACGCCTCTCCTCCAGAAGCTGCCTCTATGTGGACCTTGATTAGCAGGGCTGTGGGTAGGTGGACCGGCCAGGGCTTAAAGCCTAAGATGGGCCCACTGGAAGCTTCCCGCTGGGCTGTGGGGGAAGAATCCTCATTCACTTATCCATCAGTGGCTTAGCTTCTGCCACTCCGCCTCTGGGGACTCGGGTGTGCTGCCACCCGTGGTCCAGCCACTTTACCTTTAAATGGAACCCACCTTTCCTAGGATGGATGATGAGAGAGCCTTGGTGCTCACCCTGCAGCCGGCAGTAGCCGTCTATGAGGTCAGCCATGTTCTCAGCCTCTGCTAGGGATGAGGTTTTGATGGACAAGGCCTGCGGAGCAGAGACCAGCCAAGGGTGAGACCCCAGAGCCTTGGCTAGAGACCACCCCCAGGGCTGGAGAAGAGATGGCAGGACCCCTGCCACAACCCTTGCCTGGATGCCAATGCTGTCTGCACCTCTCCTGGGGCCCTGCCCTGGAGTCCAGACTGCACTCTGTCACCCCTTTCACCTGTACGCCCATGCTCTCCAAAGGCCAGTCCCAGGCCTCACTTATTTTGGCCTCTGAGCACATAGCACGATGCCTGGTACCTAGTAGGTGCTCAATAAATAGAAGCAGAAACTGAGAAAATGGAAGAGGGGGCTGGGCACAGTGGCTCATGCCTATAATCCCAGCACTTTAGGAGGCCGAGGCAGGCAGATCACCTGAGGTCAGGAGTTTGAGACCAGCCTGGCCAACATGGTGAAACCCTGTGTCTACTAAAAGTACAAAAATTAGTTGGGCCTTGTGGCATGCACCTGTAGTCCCAGCTACTCAGGAGGCTGAGGCAGGAGAATCTCTTGAACTGTGGAGGTGGAGGTTACAGTGAGCTGAGATTGCACCACTGCACTGTAGCCTGGGTGACAGAGTGAGACTTTGTCTAAAAAAAAGAAAGAAAGAAAGAAAGAGGAAGGGGAGGCAATGGGGCAGGGCACAGATGGGTGAAAGGAGAGAGAGATGCAGCCTGAGGTCTCTCTGGGTGTTTTACTGTAAAAAACAAACAAACAAACAAACAAAAAAACCCATGTTTTTGAGGTCTTGATGTCCGCATCCTTGTTCTCTTGGTATAACTTAGGCCTGTGATTTATACCTGATTTCTGGTCACCTTGAACATTCCACTACCTGAAAACCTTCCCAATTTCTTCTCCTGACATTAAAAAAATTGTTTCCCGAATTTTCCTACAATTTATCATCATCCTGGTACCTTTTGTCTAAGAACTTGGTGCAGTTTTCTTAACACGATCCCCAAAGCCAGGAAGCTCCTGGCTTCCTGTGTGTCACAGACTTTTGGTCTGAGCAAGAGCTCCCAATCTGCCATTATACCCCCTGCAGAGCTGCCAGGTGCCCAGTGCCCAGAGACACTCACCTGGGGGGCACCTTCAATGCCCAGCTGAAGTACTGCCTGGCCCTCCTCCAGCGGGAGGCACCTGATGGACCTGATCTGCTTGAACTCGGCCAGGCAGGTGGGCTGTGGGAAAAGAAGGGGGAGCTTCAGACCATCCCACTACCAGGACTAGGCCATGCAGATTGGTCAGTATGGGGGAGCCGGGGTGAGGAGGAACTGGGAGTTTCTCTGGGAGATGAAGAGAGAATCAAACACTATTAAGGCTAGAAGGATCCTCTAGTTCAGGGGTGTCCAATCTTTTGGCTTCCCTGGGCCACATTGGAAGAAGAATTGTCTTGGACCACACATAAAATACACTAACACTACTTGATGAAGGTAAAAAAAAAAATCGCACAAAAAAATCTCAACATGTTTTAAGAAAGTTTACGAATTTGTGGTGGGCTGCATTCAAAGCCATCCTGGGACCACAGGCTTGATCTAGACCAAGCCCCTCCCTATGCCAAGGAGAAAATGAGGTCTAGAGAAAGCCAGGACTTGCTCAACATCATGTGCCAAGCTGGCAGTGGAGCCAGGACTGGACCCAGGTCCCCTGACTTCCAAGGGAATCATGCCTTATATTGTCACTGAAAGAGCAACACTGCTGAGCTCTGCGAGTAATCATTGAGGCCTTGTCTCCCCCTCCCACCACCTCTGTGCAGATGACAGTCACAGGGATGTAAAGGGCCATCTGTCCCATGCTGCCATCTCTAAATGCTCTCCACTGCTGCTCACGCCAGGGCATGGCCTTAGAAGAACTCTGCTTTCAGCAACAGGGGCAAGAAGAACTGAAGGGGCAGACAGGGCGGGAGGCAGCAGAGAGGGGACGACCTCCCCGCCTGGGGCTGGGTGGGGCTGCCCCGGGTCTCTCTACCTTTGCGTCCTGACTAGTCAGCTGGCGGATCCCTTTAGGGCCAATGACCAGGTCCACAGTAATGTTCCATCCTTGCTGGAATAAAAGGAGAGTGGACTGTTGTTCCAGAGCTGTCCTCCCCATTCTTCAGAAACTTGAAGAAAAGCTCCCTAAGCTAGACACAAGCCACTGTTTCCTGGGTCTCCAGCTCCTTCTCACCGAAACCCTGGCCATATGGATCTTCCCCTCCTGACACCTTGCCTGTCCTGCCCACCTCCCAGAGCTGGAGGCCAACATTTCAGTGCCTGCTTCAGGCAAGGGGATGCTTTTGACTTCCACCGACGGCAGGTCAGCGAGGTCCTGCTGCCTGAGTGAGAATCTGCAGCGATTGCAGCCTCTCCCTGCCCCCTCCTGGCCCCCTTTTCCGAGAGGCCTGGAATCCAGGTCAGGGAGAGGATCAAGAGAGCCCGCCATTACAATGAGTTCACAGCGGTAGGTCTCCTGGTCGATGTTGGCGAAGCCGGCGAGAGTGTTGAAGAACTTCATGACGCACTCCTCCTCCCTGAGCGAGGCGTACTGCTGGAAGGTCTGCTGGATCATCTTCCGGAACTGTTTGGGCTGGGGGAGGGGATGGGCCGTGTGAGCAATGCCTGCTCCTCCCAGGTCTCACTCCTTCCCTTAGGGTCTCGCTGAGAGACTGCCCACTGCTCGAAAATGATCCCCAGGGCCTTTGCCCCAAAAGCAGCTGTGATCTATGACCTAAAACCCATACCCATTGTCTCAAGGGAGACTCCCCGTAACCCTACGAAGGAGGTTGAGGGGGCGAGGGGTAGCTTCCCAGTACTGGGGCCGCAGAGCTGATACGGCCTCGATACGGAGCCGGAGCCCAGGCATGTAACAGTTGGATCCCCAGCCCCAGAGAGGACCCCTGGGTACATTTAGTGGTCCTGTGTCCAAATGCCCGAGGCCGCGCAGATACCCTGGCTTCTCTGAGTATCCCCAGCCCCAGCCTCATCCCTTACACTCTAGTCTCGGGAATCAGCACGAAGAGGTCCTCGCCCATTGGTTTCCTCACCTTTAAGTTCTCCTGCATCTGCTTTGGGAAAAACAAGTCCAGCCCCACTTCCTTTCTGCAAGAAGGAAGAAAAAGGCAGCATGTGACTCCCCCTCACCCCCACCACAGGACTGCGGGCCAATCAGGAAGAGGTGAGAGGGCTTTGGGACCTAGAGACGGCCCTATGTGGCTCTGGTCTGGGGAGGGGTGGAGGAGAGGGTGAGGAGGAAAAGTACACATGGAAGGACAGGAAGGGAGGGGAGATGGGTGATCCCAGAACTTACTCTAGGAGCTCGAAGTTGGACTTCTTGTCAAGTGCATTGTGGGGCATATCCTTGAAGAACCGCCTGGAGAAATAGGTGGTGGAGAGGGAGGCTGAAGGCTGGAGAATGAGGCAGTCAGACCCAGGGCACCTCATGCCACCAGAAGCCCCCTTCCCCTGCCATACGTGGGAATCATCAGGAGAAAGGAAGTTAGGAGAGTCATAAAATTTAGTATTTTGACCTGTGAGGAAAAGGAAACCCCACAAATGTCATTCCAAGAAAAGACTCCAGCCTTGCATCCTAGGAAACTCACTTTAGGAATGGGCAGATACTGGGCTGAGGAGGAAGATGGTGGCTCCATCTGTGGCCTCTAAGAACAAAGGCCCAAGGCAGCCAATGCTTGAATGATCAGCCTAGGAACACTGACCTTCACCTGCAGGTCCTGGGGGGCTCTTGTGATTTCCTTTTCACTTATTTGCTATCTCTGAGATATTATATGTGTGTATGTTTGTGTGTTCATTTAGACACTTGTTAAAGGTACCACTGTACATATACAAACTTTAGGACTTACAGAAGAAAATAAAATTATTCATAGTCTTACCAGAGGAGGCAGCTATTAATATTTTACTCATATTATTTAAGTCTCATTTCCCCTAAAAATGTATGCCTTGATAAATACTTTTATGCAATTGTGGCTTAAGCTGAGACCAAATAGCTAATGTTCTCACATGTGCCAGCCTCCCTTCCCTGTCTGGGCCACTGTGACTAGTAATTTCATTGACTGTTGCAGACATTATCCTACTCCTGATCTTATATTAAAGTCATTCAGTGTTCCTTTAATTCGGGCATCCTTATAAATATCTGGTAAAAGTTTTGTGCAACTAATAATATAAGCAGAGTGAGGGAAGTAACTTATGATTCAAAAGCAATGACTTTTAGACAGTTCATTGTCTTTAGAAAATAGGAAGGTTAGGCCGAATGTGTTGGCTCATGACTGTAATCCCAGCACTTAGGGAGGCCGAGGTGGGCAAATCACAACGTCAAGAGATTGAGACCATCCTGGCCAACATGGTGAAACCTTGTCTCTACTAAAAACACAAAAATTAGCCAGGCATGGTGGCACGTACTACTCGGGAGGCTGAGGCAGGAGAATCACTTGAACCCAGGAGGCGGAGGTTGCAGTGAGCCGAGATTGCACCATTGCACTCCAGCATGGGTGACAAGAGTGAAACTCCGTCTCAAAAGAATTAAAAAGAAGACACTCAAGGCATGAAATCATAGAGGAAATATCTAATAAAAATATAAAATGTAAAACGCTATATCCTTAATAATTTTTAATAAATGGTATCTTTGAATATACTGTCAAGCAAAATAAGTAATTACCTCTTAAGAAATATGGTCCCAATTTTGCACTCTGTGCCCCAGCCTGAAACACTGGGCAATGTCTGGAGATAGTTTTGGTTATCACAGCTAGTTGGAGTAGGGGGTTGGTGGTGCTACCAGCATCAAGTGGGTAGAGACCAGGGATACTGCTAAACATCCTTCAATGCACAGGAAGTCCACCCCCAATCCTCCCTAACAAAGAAGTATCCAGCCCCAAATGTCAGCAGTAGTGAGGCTAGAAAACCCTGGGAATTTGATCCAAGAAGAGAACTTAGAACACTAAGAAGATGGGTTCTTCCCTACCCTTACTTCTCTGTACTGAGTGTCTGACAGAGGGAGGTAAGCAATGGTGCCTGAGATGGGATGTTCTTGCTAAGGGCAGATGTGCGGTATTGGAAACCAGAAGACTGGCAGATAGGAATGATATTCAGGTGTAGCAAAGGTCCCCAACCCCTGGACCATGGACCGGTCCTGGCCTGTTAGGAAGCTGGCCACAGAGCAGGATGTGAGCAGTGGGTGAGTGACTGAAGTTTCATCTGTATTTACAGCTGTCTCCCATCACTTGCTATATTGCCTGAGCTCCATCTCCTGTCAGATCAGTGGTGACATTAGATTCTCATAGGAGTGTGAACCATGTATGTGAGGGATCTAGGTTTCACGCTCCTTATGAGAATCTAATGCTTGATGATCAGTCACTGTCTCCTATCACATCCAGATGGACTGTCTAGTTGCAGGAAAACAAGCTTAGGGCTTCCACTGATTCTACATTATGGTGAGTTGTATATTTATTTTATTATATATTATAATGTAATAATAATAGAAATAAAGTACACAATAAATGTAATGTGCTTGAATCATCCTGAAACCATCCCCCACCCCAACCAGGGTGCATGGAAAAATTGTCTTCCACGAAACTGGTCCCTGGTGCCCAAAAGGTTGGGGGCCTCTGAGGTATAGGACATGAGAAGCCTACCCAGGATTCTCCCCTGGATGGAAGCTCCTCCTCCTCTTCCTCCTCCCACCTGAAGAGTGCCTGCAGTTAAGATCCCAAAATTCCATGCGACTGACCACGGCAGCTTCAGAAAACATGTCAAGCCAGTGTTACCTGCTCAGCCTCCACATTAATAAGACACCTCTGGGTGATTATAGGCAGCTTGGTCATCTACAGTTCCCCTGGGTTGAGTGAGCCATAAAATATACTCCTAGGTAACTGAACACATTGGCTTGCTGTACACAACTATTTAATTCTAACAGAATAAATGTTGGCAAAGGTCCACTGAGGAAGAAGATTTCAGTTCTTTCAGTTATCCATTTATTCAACTGTGTATTGAGCTCTGATGTGCCAGGCAAAGGCAGCACCCATTCTGACTCTAAGGATTTGACAGATTTTCACAATCTGGTGCACGGGGACATGTCCTTGCCTCACAGAGCTGTGTGCAAGTACAGTGGTTTTGCAAAGGGGGCTGGAGGGATTCAGGATGGGGCAGAAAAGGCTTCAAGATGAAGAGACCCTTAGGCTGGCTTGATGGGAAGAGCAGATGGTCACACTGCTTGTAATTGACACCTCATAGGCTCACGCTGAGGTTTCCTATGTATGTAGAGGACAAGCAGGTAACACGGGCTCAGTATGTTTTCTAAAGGTGCCAGAAGATAGAAGAGTTTACTACGCTGAAAAGGGAAATGAGAAGACTGTGCCAAGCAGGAGGATGCATCACCCACCCACGGGGTGAGATCTGCTTCCCAGCCACGACGGAGAGTGGTCTCCTAAAGCCACTCCAGGCTTATGATCTGTTGTTGAATGAATAAATGAACTTCGAGACTTGTGAAGAAAGAATTTGGAAGACTGGGATATTTAAATATTAAATTTTTTAAAACAGGGTTAGCTAAATGAAAGGGTAAACACATTTTGAAATTAACACTGAACAATTAAGTCACATAAAAAATAAGAGCATTTTAGCATGATCAAGGTGGTAGTGAATGGAAAAATGTTTTATTAGGGTAAAGGAAGCTCAGCTAGCACATCAAGGTCACCCCAATCTCCTGAATCCAGCTTGCTTAGGCCACTCCCTGTGTCCCAAATGGCCCTTCTCTCAGGCATCGAAGATCATTTATATAGTCACCATTGACAAAACTGTCCAATCACTCAGATGTGCCACAATCTGGGTGTTTCTAACATTTGGAGCAACTGAACATCTTGGGAATGTCTTGGAGCAACTGAACATCTTGGGAATGTCTGGGAGAACTAGTAACCATCACTCAAGGGAGACGCTGCTCTCCCCAGTAAGGTAGCTTCCCAATTTTCTGTGTTGAGTCCCATCTCAGCTGCTCTCCAGGGGCACCCACGTCTCCCAAATATGCCTGGACCGCCAACACTGAGTGAGGCTGTGCCTACCTGGAGTGCCCTCTAGTGCCTGACTGGTCCTTCCAGCTCAAGCCTGCAATTTTGAGTAGCTAACACCAGGTGGACAGCGGTGGAGTCTATAATCAGATACAAGCCTATGACTGATACCCAGGTAAGGACAGCAGAAAATAAGGAAATAACTAAACCAAATCCAGTTGGTTACTTTTTTCTTCTAAACATCAATAGAAATTAACTACAAACCAAGATGCCTTTTGAAGCAAAGCAAGCTGTGTGTCGTTTCTCTAATCTTTATTTATTAACAGTTACTTAGCTAATCTGGGGTTACGTATTCTCTGTTTTGTTGTAGTTGTTGTTGCTGTTGTTTTAGGGCTCTGCTGGGGGTGGACAATGGTCCTAGGTGTCTCAGATCAAGGGGGAGAAGTTATTTGGTTCCTCAAACTGGGCAGGTACTGATTTCTAGCATAGAGGCCCTGAATTTCAAACTTTCATTTAGAGGCATTATTTAGATCAAACATTTGGCATTTATAAAGCACCTCCAATAAATGAATAAAATTAACTAGGTATCATTCCAACTATATGAGATTCTGGAAAAGGCAAAACTATGGCAACAATAAAGTGATCAATGGTTGCCAGGGTTAGAGGGAAGGAGGGATGGATAGGTGGAGTATGGACAAATTTTAGGGCAGTGAAACTACTCTGCGTAATGCTATAATGGTAGATATAGGTCATTATTCATTTAGCCAAACCCATAGAACATACAATACCAAGAGTGAACCCTAATGTAAACTACAGGTTTTAGGTAATAATGATGTGTCAATGTAGGCTCATCAATTGTAACAAATGCACCACTTTGGTGGGGAATTCTGGTGGAGAATGTTGATAGTGGGGGAGGCTGTGCATGTGTGGGGAAGGGGGTATATAGGAACTCTGTACCTTCTGCTCAATTTTGCTGAGAATCTAAAACTTCTCTAAAAAATAAAGTCTATTCAAAATAAACAAACAAAAGAAGGGTAAAGAGAAAAAAGTAAGTAAAATATAATAAATAATTATTGAATACTTTGGTCCCTGTCGTTGCTCTAAGTACTTTAAATATATTAACTCATTTATTCTTTGTAACAACCCTGCAAGGTTTGTTACGTTACTATTGTATAGCATGCAATACCATATAATACTATACAATAGTATACTATAGTATACTATGCAATACTATACAATAGTAACATAACATACATATTATATACTAGCATATATATGTTATATAGTAGCATATGTTATATAGTAGCATATATATGTTATATACTAACAGATATATGTTATATAGTATAACAAATGTTATATAGAAACATAACGTGTTTTATAGTAACACAACGTGACTATAATGTTACTATTATCATTCCTATTTTACAGATGAAGGAATCTGGGCAGAGAGCGGGTAATCGACTTGCCCAGAGTAACACAGGAAACACATGACTCCATGGAGGATTCATTTCACTAATCTCATATCTCAGGCATACATCATACCTCTTTTTTAAGCTAGGAAATGATACAATTTTTTTTTTTCCTGGAGATGTTGTATATCTATAGGCAGGTGACCTAATCAATGATGTTAATAGGACAAGGGGTTATTGCCCATGATTTGTAGGTAGCCCCACACTCTGGGACATTTTTAGGCAAGAGCCACAGCCCTAGAAAATTCTGCCTTATGGCCTAATTTTCCGAAGTGTGTCCAATTCTCTTTGGGTGAGAAATAGTTGTAACTTGACTTTAAAATGGCTCATCATAACAAATAACTGCATTCAACTTTAAAAATTATTAGACCTGCAAATCTTCTATTTGGTTTACAAAATAGGTGTTTTCCATATCCTCTCCCTGATATCATACACCCGGCATTTCAGTGGTCAACCAGTAAGAATAGGAACATCTCTCTGACTCTGTTCCTCACACTCAGGAGATGTGAAACAATACATCTCTTGCACAAAACAAGTGTGGCTTTTAGAATATCATCCTGCATTGGTTATAGCAGATATCAGCAGTTACACTCTTGACAAGACTACCTACAGGAGTCATGTCGGATGCCTTGCCCTGTCCTCCAATACATTAGTGCAGTGCCTGGAGCTTAGGCCACCACCAGTAATAGTTTGGGGATGATTGGAGGATATAATAAAATAAAATAGAATGTTAATGGGTCTTTGTGGTGCTGTTTTACAACTAAGTGATGACTGCTTGACAGGTGACAAGTGATAGGTGTCTCAAAGTGATGCTAGCATCCCAGGTATGAGATCCATAAATAAAAAGGTAAAGATAAGCTTTTTCGACTTGTCTAATTTTAGAGGGGAAGATGAGACAGTACAGGATGTAATGCAAGTCATAGGAGCCGAGCAGTCTGAGAAGGGATGAAAGGCACAGATAATAAAATAAACTTTGCAGACTGCCCCTGGTCTGCCAGCACTGAGCTATCATGATTATTACTAATGGCAGTGAGCTGGGCTGCCTTCTAAGCAGCTGCAGGGACCACAGGCCTCCTCTGTACAGAGGACTCGAATGCTCCCTTGCTTCTTGAGACAAAGTCACGAAATGTGAAGCCCTCGAAGCTGCCCTTGACCTATTCTGTCGCTAATACCAAAAGCCTCAGATGCTGAAATCAAAGTGGGACTCTCCCTTTCCCATCCTACTGGCCCCACCGGAGGACTCCCCAGCATTCTCTCTGACTGAGAATCACAATGGGGCCAGAATTCCCCAGTGCCCCTCAGCTGGCTCCGTAGAAGCAGCAGCAGAGTTCTACTCTCTATTAACCATGAGGTCACAGATAAGGCTCCGGAAATGCAGTTCTAGAAAACAGGAAGTAATCCTTGGCCAACGATTTCCTTGGCAGTCATCCTGAAAGTCATCCCATCAACCCATATATCTAATGGCATTCAAGTCACCTGGGGGGCTGGTCAAAAACGCCTAGGATAAGGTCCCACCCAGGCCTGCCAAATCAAATCTCCCAAGGGTAGGGCCAGGACGTCTCCAGTTTATTAAGCTCCCAGGTGATTATGATTTGCAAGCAGATGTTAAAACCACTGCTCTAAGACAGAGAAGGGGTAGAGAGAAGGGAAGGAGAGGGTGAAAAGGCAGGGGATGGTGAAACTCAATGGTGCTGCCCTGGTCAAGACAGGGCTAGAACACAGGTCAGCCATATCACCCTCCTCAGTCCTGAATGGCAATGACCCCCTGGCAGCTAAGAATAAGGCCTATTTTTTTAGACTGTCATTCTAATTATGTCATTCTAACAATGTCATTCTAATGATATCATTGGACTGCCATTGTCTCAATGGTGTCTTCCACCATCAGCCCCAACTTATCCCTCCAAGCTCACGATTCTCCAGTCTATGCTTTTCCTTCCACTGATCCCTGAGCCTGGAGTGTATCTCCCCTGACCCCTGTTCTCTGCTGATTGAAATCTTTCTCCTCCTTCCAGTGGCAATTCAGATACCCTCTTGCTGATGCTCTCAGGCAGGATGAATGGCTCCTACATGGAAGTTGGTGCCATCCTCATTCTGCCTCGTATTATGATTAATTGTATACACATCTGTCACCTCCCCAACATGGAAGTGTGAGGGCCTCTCTGGATGATGTACTAATATCACACATATTGATCAAGTGCCTACTGGAGATGGGGATACAGCAATGGGCAACACAGATAGACATCTCTAGGCTCGAATGTCCCCCAGATTCTAGTCTGGTGCTCAAGAAACATCTGATGAATCGCTTGAACAGCAGCAAAGGTGGTTGACAGATGGAAGAAGCCAGCAGCCTGCAGGCAAGAGCAGTGGCAGCAATGGAAGCCAGGAGAGTGAGACTAGGGAGGGGGCTGGCCCATCTACCCCTGCCATCCTGAAGACCCAACACCCAGCCCCTCAGAGCCTCACCTGCTGCCGGTCACCACCTCTCCCCTTCCTGGCTCCCACACACTCATTCCTGCTTCCCATCTTGGACATGGGGAAAGGTCGGGCCTGCCCAGAGCTCAGCACAGCGCCCTCCCAGCAGAGGCCTCAGGGCCACATACCTGAGCTCCAGGCAGCCCAGCTGCAGGGCCATGCCCTCGCTGACCTTGCTGGCGTAGCGCTGCATGTAGTCGTTCCGGAGCTGGTGGGGAGAAAGGTCAAGCATCAGGCTTGCACCCTCACCTCCCACTTCCCTGCACAGAGGCCTCAGAAGATTAAGGGCCTCATTCTGCCTCCCTGAGTGACAGCCACCCACCCCACCACAAACAAGCATGGAGCAGGGATGGAGAGCACGAGGGGAAAGGGTGCTTGTGCCTCCACAGGCCGAGCCTGTGAGGTTTTCGAGGTGCTTTTACAGGCATTCTCTCCCTGCTCCACAGGCAGGAAGTTCAGATTCCCCTCCCCTGCCCCCCATTTTGGATAGAAGAAAACTGAGATTTTGCAAGAAGTCAGTAATTTATCCAAAGCTCTGTTGGTAAGTAGTGATAAATGTCATTCACAGGCCAAGAAAAGTCTAGCTCAGTCTCTGGCAAACCAGGAGGGAGATCTTGGAAGGAACTAATATCAGACAGAAAACAGCAATGGCCACTCCTGCTGATGCTGCGCTTTGCTCTGCACCTGGTGCTGGGCTTGGCACTCCATACGCATTCTGTCCAGGAAGTTTGAGATGCTCAAAATAGCTGCTGAGAGCTGGTTATTAAGTTTTCAGAAGTTTTGTAAGCCAAGTAGGTATCCTATTAGTAGCTTGAAATAGGCTGAGGAGGGGGGTGGTATTTACACCATAGAAATTGGCAAGGGCCATAAAAATGAATGAAATAATGGCATTTACAGCAACCTGGATGGAGTTGGAGACCATTATTCTAAGTGAATTAACTCCAGAATGGAAAACCAACATTGTATGTTCTCACTCATAAGGGGGAGCTAACCATGATGATGCAAAGGCATAAGAATGACTTTGGAGACTCTGGGGAAAGAGTGGGAAGGGGTGAGTGATAAAAGACTACACATTGGGTACAGTGCACACTGCTTGGGTGATGGGTGCACCAACATCTCAGAAATCACCATTAAAGAAATTATTCATGTAACCAACACCACCTGTTCCCCCAAAAAACCCATTGAAATAAATAAATAAATAAATAAATAAATAAATAAATAAATAAATAAATAGGTAAGTGCTACGTGTAAGGGAATTTTTCTTTGGAGAGTCAATTTAGCAGCCAATGATATCATCTGGTCCCTACAACAACCCTATAAAGTAGGTATTATTATTATGATTCCCATAATAATTTTACAGCAGAGGAAACAGCTTCATGCAAGTAAATGAGGTCCCCCAGGCTATCAGATTAGTGAATGGCAGAGCTAGATTAGTGGACAACAGTCTGCAGAGCTGTGTAGTAAGCACTGCAGGATTCATCTTGGACCTGCTCTTGCTGTTTCACTAGCCAGGTCTCCTGGGCCACCAGAAAAGTCCAAGAGGAGCTGGGAGCACATGGGGCAGTTTAGCCAGTGCTTAAATACTGAGAGAAAAGCAGGGTTGGAGCCGCGGACCATAGACCAAGGACCTTCTTCAAGAGAAGCTTCCTAGCCTGGGCCCTCCATAATCTGGGCTTTGTCTTTCCATCTCCCTAGGAGAGAACGGTTCATGCTTGGCATTTGAGGTGTAATGGGAGCCTCGGGGCAAGAAGATAAAGTACTTTTTACCTGTTGGTAAAAATAGAGCAGCGTGGTCCTGTCCTCCTTCAGGCTCTCCATGAAGTCTTCTGGCAAGTAGCGGATTTGAAGGTCATACCTGCAACAAGACATTCAGGCTCTGGTTGACACAGAGAAGCTGGTGCCTGAAGAAAGGAGTAGGACCCCAAGGGCAGAAGCAAGCCCATCCCCTAGTGCAAAGGGAAGGGCTGCCCATGAGTCTCGTGGCCACTCATTCAGGGCTGGTTTTTCTCTTTCCCTCCTCTGCGGTTGGGCTGGAGACCATCAACAGGGAGGTGGCTGGCAGGTGGTGGTCTGAGCTATCCCTGACTCTCCACCTTTCTCCCTCATGGCAGCTGTTTCTCTTAGGTTCACAGGCTAGCCCTGGACCTGGGCTTTCCATCCTCCCCACCCTTCTGTCTCTCTTTTCCCCTAGCACTGTCAGCATCCCGTTTAGGGTTACCTTTAGGTGTTGGCTCTGGGATGGGGATAGTCTATGAAGCCCAGGTTAGGTCCTGGAAAATACATGCATTGGATACTGGAGGAAGACTAAGCCTAGAATGCCACTCAGGTTTGCTAGAAGTTTCTGAGGCAGGGGAGTGCTCTAAGGGAGAAACTCCCAGGGCCTCCCCACCCTAAATTCCTCTCCTTCCCACTTCCAGAGCCCAGGAATCCACTCCTACCTCCACTCGGCTTCCACGTGCAGACACTCATACTTGTCCTGCACCTCACCCACCGTCATCTGTGGGTGCAGCCAGTGGATCTCATCGGACTTCATGTGCTTCAGCCTCAGCCCATAGCACTCAGCCAACCGGATGTTGGGCCCGATCCGCCCGCTCAGCAGGATGGAGGTGATGATCTCCTGCAGAGGAGAAGAGAGAGGCATGACTCAGGGGTGCCCACCTTTGGGCTCCCATAATTCTCACACAGACCTGAAAAGTGGGATTCTCTAGGGTGGGATTCTGTCTTCATGTTCGATTTGTCTCTGATTCTCTAGCATTTAGGGGAAGATTTGTACACAATGGGCTCTATCTGATAAATTGACAAATGGGTGAAATGAGGCAGAGACAGAGGAACTGAGAGAGCAGAAGTGAAGGAGAAAATGCAAAGAGGCAGAGAATAACAAAAATTTGCTTCTGCACCTCATTACAATCTAACCAATTAATAATTACGGAACATCCACTATGTGAACAGCAGACCTTCTGAGTGGTTTGCAATTTAGCCAGCATCACTGAGCTCCTGCACCAGGCACTGCTAGGCCCTTTGCAGACATGATTTCATTGAATCCACACAACACAGGGAAGCAGGTGTTACCATCCCGTGTGGCTGATGGAGAAACTAATATATGTCCCACAACCCACGGAATGGAACTGGGATTTGGAATCTTGGGACACTAGACTGAGGATTTCTACTAGGCCAAGCTGATTCATGGAGTGGTGGGGCTGGAAAAGATAAGGACAAGATTCACTTGGAAGGATTAAGTGCCACAATCCCCACATGAGCAAGGACACAAGAAATGAGTGCTGGCAAGAAACCACGTGCCCTCTTGTTCCTGCTTTCTTGTTAACCGGAGGTTAATAGACTGCCTGTCTCCCAGCCTGATGCCACAGCTTCCTGGCCTAGAGCCAGAGATGGATTAACAGGTGGGCCAACCGGGCAGCTGCCTAGAAGTCCATCTGTAAGGCCCTGCCTAGTTCTGAAATCACTTTGGTGCCATTTTTTTTTTCTTGAGATGGAGTCTCGCTCTGTCACCCAGGCTGGAGTGCAGTGATGTGATCTCGGCTCACTGCAACCTCCGCCTCCCAGGTTCAAGCCATTCTCCTGCCTCATCCTCCTGAGTAGCTGGGACTACAGGTAGGCACCACCACGCCTGGATAATTTTTGTATTTTTAGTAGAGATGGGGTTTTATCATGTTGGCCAGGCTGGTCTCAAACTCCTGACCTCAAGTGATCTGCCTGCCTCGGCCTCCCAAAGTGCTGGGATTACAGGCGTGAGCCACCGCGCCCGGACTTTGGTGCCATTTTAACTTAGGTTTCTCATGTAGTTCCACATATTGTTGGTGAATTGAGCTCACTCCTGACAGAGCAGAGTGTCCTCTGGGATATAAATTTAAAAACCCGAAGGCACCGACGTATCTCTGTTGGATATGTCTGCAATGTGCGTGCCATCAAGCCTACATCAGCCTAAAGACCAAATAATGCATAATAGGTTGCTGTCAAACCAAAAAGAGGAGGGGCATTTGATTATTTAGATTTTACATTTTCTTAACATGCCTCCCAAGACAGTTTCTAATTTAGTCAATCAACTGTAATCAGTTCCTTAATTGGAATGAAAAGAAGGAGGCATATTATTTTTCTCAGAAGTAAATAAATTTCTTTCTCTCTCCACTAGGAAAATGTCATGCTAATATTTAGATAATCCTGGTTTGAAGGAATGCCCAGTTATTTGCTTGCCTGGGCACCCATCTGTCTCGGGCTAACTGCCTCTTGCTAGCCCTTCTGGACTCCAGGGAGTTGTGAAACTAGAAGACCCTCAGCCTGAAAAATCCCTTCCCCATTAGGAAAGAAAATGCCCGTCACAGAGGGTGACGACTGCTCTGTGAGATAGATGGGGAAACAGAGGCACAGAATGCACTTGTGAGCAGTTGTAACAACCAGTGCAGGAATCAGAACTGAGGCCCTGGAGGGGATGAAGACTGGGATCAGTGGCACTCCTACAGTGAGAGGGACATCTGGTTGGGGGAGGAGTGCAAGCCCGTGAAGTTAACCATTTTGTCATCCTCTCTACCCATTTCTCCTGTCCCTGACCTTCTGCCCTGCTCTGTCCACTGTCATCCGGAATAATGCATTACTCAGAGCCCCCACGTCACTCCCAAGTCCCTCCTGGAGCCCCCACCACTGGTGCTTTTGAACTTACAGTCCTCTCCTGCTCCAGCTGAAACCTACTTGGCTAATATCTAATTTCCTCAGGGCTAGAACTCCTGTGCTGTTGATTATCAAAAATCTCAAACATATACAAAGTAAACAGAAGAGTATAATAAACCCCCATGTACGCATCACCCAGCCTCAACAATTACCAACCTTCTGCCTTCTTGCTTCATCAATATCACCACCCACTCCCCAGCTGTGACTCAACTATTATTTTTTTACAGTTCTTCTTTAAATGTAAAATTTCTATACATTAAAATGCATAAATTGAAGCTATACAATTTTGACACATGAATACAACTGTGTAACCCACATACCAATTAAGGTATAGAACTTTCCAGATCCCCAGAAAACTCCCCCATATCCCTTCTCAGTCCACCCTCATGGCCCCACTACCTCCCGCCTCTCCAGTCAACCTTACCCTACCCCCACCACTTTCAATTGGTTTTGCCTGTTCTAGAACTTCGTATAAATGGAATCATTTAGCATACACTTTTTTGGTGTCTTTTTTCACTCAGCATAATGTCTGAGATCCATCATGTTGTTGCATATATCAGAAATTCATTCCTACTTATCAATCGGTAATGTTCTGCTTTGTAAATGAATCACAATATGTTGATTTGGTCTTCTGCTTCCGAACACCTGGACTATTTCTAATTTTTGGCTATTGTGAATTGAACTACTATGAACATCAATGTGCAAGTATTTTTGTGACTATACATTGTGATTTCCTGTGGATAAATGCTGAGAAGAGGAATTACTGGATCAAAGATAGATGTATGTCTGACTTTATGAGCAACTGTCAGGATTATTCCATTTTATATTTCTCCTGTGACATGAGACTTTTGTTACACCACATCTTCACTAACATTTGGTGTTGTCAGTCTTTTTAATATTAGCCATCTCAGTGGGTGCGTAGTGTCTCATTGTGCTTGTAATTTGCATCTCTCTGATGACTAATGATATTGAACATGTTTTCATGTGTTTATAGGCCATTCATATACCTTCCTCTGTAAAGTGGTTGTTTGAATCTTTTCCCCATTTTTTCTGTTGTGTTTTCATTTGCAGGAGAGTTGTAGGAGGCTTTTATACATTCTAGGTAAAAGTATTTTGTATGATGTATTTTATGAATATTTTCTCCAGGTCTGTAGTGTGCCCATTCTGCATTGCCTAATCAATGTCTTCTGACAGAGTCTAACTTGTCAACATTTTCTTTCATGGTTAGCGTTTTCTGTATCCTAAGAAATCTTTGCCTGCCTCCAGGTCATGAAGATATTCTATGTTTTCTTTTATAAACTTCACAGTTTTAATTTTTAGTTTTGTGATCTATTGTGAATTAATTTTTGTATATGGTATTCATTTTCAAAAATATAGATCTACGGTTGTTCAGCATTGGTTGTTGACTTTCCCTTCCCAAATGAATTGCTTTTCTTTGTCAAAAATCATTTGGCCATCTAGGTTTATTTCTGAACTCTCATTTCTTTTCTATTGATCTTTGTCTATACTGTACCAATGTCAACCACACTGTCTGCATTACTGTAGCTTTACATGAGATCTTGAAGTCAAATAGGGTTAAGTCTTCCGCTGTTCCCCATCCCCTAGATTATTGGGCTAGGTCTTTGCATGTCCACATAAATGTTAGAATCAGCTGGCCACTTTCTTTTTAAAAAGTCTGCTGCATTATGAGTGGGACTGTGTTAAATCTATAGCTTAATTGGAGAGAACTGGCATTTTTTTTTAATGTTTAAATTTTTATAGAGTTTGGGTCATGCTATGTTGACCAGGCTGGACTTGAACTCTTGGGCCTCAAGTGATCCTCCTACCTTGGCTTTGCAAAGTGTTGGGATTATAGGCATGAACCACTGCACCTGGCCAGAATTGGCATCTTAACAGCATTGATGCCTGTAATACATGAACATGGCATATCTCTCTATTTATTTAGGTCTTCTTTATTTTCTTTTAGTAATGTTTTATCATTTTCAACATATATATTGTATAGGTCTTTTGTTAAATTTATTTCTAAGTAGTTTATAAATTTGCTTCTATAAATTATTTTTAAAAATTAATGTTTTATTTTGGGGCTTACTCTCTCCATGATTTTCTGCTAATCTTCTTGCTGCTCTGCCAATCTCATATTGTATCCTCTGACACTTTAAGCTAGTAAGGCTGCAGATTTTTGCCCCTGGAGCCCATTCCAGACTGGAAAGTTCTCTCAGGCAAAAAGCCACAAACTTGCAGATCTCATTCATCACAGTTTAGCTCTCAAGAGCAGGTTTCCTTTTAGTTTGTGCTTGCTATGGGCACTCACCAGTGCTTGCAGAGAGTTCCCTTTTATATTTTGTCCAGATTTTATCATTGTTATCTGGAGAAAGATTAGTCTAGCCAAGCTATCCCATCATTTTTGAAATATTTGTGCTATTTTATTAACAAATCTGTGTTCTCTGCAAATGGGAGAGGGTTGGGGAGCAGAGAATACCTTTTAAGTCATGGATAACTGAAATGCAGACTAGCAATAGCCAGGAGTACAAGCCCTGGTGCCAGGCTGCAGCAGTGCCCCATCCACCCACCACCACCACCCAGCTGGATATGCTTGGGTACATACTAAACTTCTCTGGATTTGGTTTTCTCATCTAGAATATGGACAAAATAATAGTACCAATTTGGAATGCTTTTATGAGGATTAAATTAGATAAAACTCCATAGAACGGTGCTTGGCCCAAGGTAAATACTAAAAAACAAACAAACAAAAAAACAGCCCCCCAAACAACAAAATATTAGCCTTATTTTGACACAGCAATCTCCTTCGCAGACTGGTGCTCTGTAAACCAGACTGGGAAAACAAAGCAAAATTCATTCTATTTTTCTCTTTCTCTACCTTTCTATCTTCTTTTCTTTTTCCTTCCTTTGGAGGTGGTGGCAAGGTCAGGGGTCAAAGGAGTTGGGCCAAGAGAGATGGTTGGAGTGATTAGGAGATTGTAACCAAACAGGGAGTGAGCAAAGAACCAAACAGGGGGAGTGAGCAAAGAAGTAACCAAAGGGGGGAGTGAGCAAAGAAGTAAATGTATTGAGGATAATGGGAAACTCTTATGGAGATGGGGAGCCTAGAGAGTCTAGCCAACCTATCTCATCATTTTTGAAATCTTTGGAGGTGAAGGATTGGAATTGGAAGTGCAGGTGTGACTCATGGTTTTATAGATAGAAAGAGATACACACACACACACAGAGAGAGAGAGAGAGAAACTGAGCTTCATTTATGGAAAGGACTTAGAAGCAGTGACAGCCCGGCCAGGCGCGGTGGCTCATGCCTGTAATCCCAACACTTTGGGAGGCTGAGGCGGGCGGATCACGAGGTCAGAAGATCAAGACCATCCTGATTAACATGGTGAAACCCCGTCTCTACTAAAAAATACAAAAAAATTAGCCGGGTGTGGTGGTGGATGCCTGTAGTCCCAGCTACTTGGGAGGCTGAGGCAGGAGAATGGTGTGAACCCAGGAGGTGGAGCTTGCAGTGAGCAGAGATTGCGCCACTGAACTCCAGCCTGGGCAACAGAGTGAGACTGTCTCAAAAAAAAAAAGAAGAAGCAGTGACAGCCGATAGTGATTGCACACCCCAGCACCAAGTTGCAGTTTTCAAATATCCTTCTCCACTTAAAGAATCCAAAGCTCCTTGCAGAAATGGCTGATTCCAGGGCTAGGGGGAAAAGTACAAGATGTGCCTGGAACGTTATTTTGTGCCATATAAAAACAAAGTGTTGAGAGAACATTGGGGACACATAACCACAAATCAGGATTAGCCTGAAGGAACTCACATCGGCCACATCTAGGATTACTTAAGTATTAAAATATATGATAGGAATGAGTTACATCCTGCCAAATAAAATAGAATCTAAGACAGATAAATAATTGGGGAAGAAGAAAATACTCTTCCTTGTGTAGAATGCCAAGAAATAAATGTAGAAGAAAGGATGGAAATAGAAAGTCACCATTTGGCAACAAACTCAGTGTTGGTTGATTCAGGCAGGATTCATCAATGGGTGATGAAGCTAGAGGGTGGAGGTTTGATGATGAATAGGATATTGACATGGTCTCAGGGCATTCAGCCTCAGAATGTACTAAACAAATGCACAAAAAAATCTGGCAGACACAAACAACCGATCATCATGGTTTACGTCCCTAGTGGTGCAGCAGGTAAGCACAGCGGGCTTCCTGTCTCGATGCACCAAGAAGAGAGCAGCAAGGTTGCTGAGATCTTCCTGCCATGAGTCTGTGGCCTGATCTAGTCATGAGACCAGAGACCCAGGATGAAGAGCCTCCTCAGGGACCTATAGAACAAAAGGCCTGTACTCTTTTGGATTTAGGAACTCTCCCAGATTGGAGGAGACTAAAGGGATATGACAGCTAAGTGCAATGTGTGCTCCTGGATCAGACAGGAAAAACAGACACTGCTGGGACAGTTGGTAAAATCTGGATGGCGTCTATGGTGTGGAAGGTAGTGTTATAGCAACGCTGACTTCCTGATTTAGATGCATGCAGCACATCTTCTGTAGGAGAATGTCCCTGTTTGGGGAGATAAACCCTGGAGCATTCCGGTGATGGGGCAGCAATACTACAACTTGCTCTCAAATAGTTCAGAAAAAAGAATAACGATAATGGGCATATTTGTGTATGTGTATGCATGTATGCCTGCTTATGAAGAGACTGAGCTGGCAATACAGAAAACAATAAATTTAAACCATTGAGGATCTGGGAGAAAGCTATATGGGAGTCCTTAGCCTTGTTTTTTTTTTTTCCAACTTTTTAAAAAGTATGAAATAATTTCAAAATAAAAAGAAGAGACTCTGGTGAGGGAGATTCCCAGCCACTTGAGAAGTAAAGGCACCATATCAAGGGGTTGAATAAGATTTGTATCAGGCCAGACACGGCCGTGCACCTTCTCCCCTACCCATAGTCTCTGAGAGGGGTCAGACTAAATCCAGCTAATGATTCTAGTTGGTGAAACTCTCCAGGACTCTGCTTGCACAAAATTTTTTTTTCAGATTTCCTTCTAAGAAGCAACCAATTTCTGTTGTAGACATGGTGGAGGAAAATTTAACTCGAGGTCCTTGGGGTTGAAATTCATTAAGAGACTCTTCACCCAACATATCTTCATAGGAAGATAGATTTCAGCTTCAGGTAAGGAAGACCTTGGGAGCTTTCTAAGCATGAAATGTGCTATTTGGGAGGTGCCTGGTGCTGGGCAGATTCTTACCAGTGGTGCATTCTTTCCTGGGGGGCAAACCTGAAGTTCTTGGGGGACAGGGAGCACCTGCCACCAATGTCACCACTGCTGGTTACTGATGGTGTATCATAAAGAATTTGATGAGTTTTTGTCCTTGGTTCTGCAGAGGGGGTGTTTAAACCCTTGGAATTTCCCAAGAGTTAGGATGGCCTTTGTCCTTCACTGTGGGTTCCTCAGACTACACCTGAATCTATACTAATGAGGTGATTCATGGTGGGTCCCTGCTAGCCTCAGGATGGGGGCTGCAATGCTGGAAAGACCAACCGGGTAATCAGAGAGTTGAAGCTTTGAGCCACATGGTATCAGCCTGACCTCCAGGGAGGGAAGGGGAGCTGGAGATTGAGTCCAATTATGTGGCCAGTGATTCCATCAATCAATCAATCAATCAACGATGCCTGTATAATAAGGCCTAATAAATTCCTGGGCACCAAAGCTCAGGTGAACTTCCTGGTTGGTGATGCACATCTTGTTGGTGTGTCTGGAGGGCAAAGCCTTGTGAGGATATGAAACCTTCCTGTTTGGGGTCCCTCAGACCTGTCCTCTATGTTTCTTCATTTGGCTGGCTCTCATTTATATGATAAAACTGTAAGGATAGCACTTTCCTGCATTCTGTGAGTTGTTTTAGGAAACTGTTGAACCTGCTGGGATAGCAGAAACCCCCAAACTTGTAGCCAATTGGTCAGAAGTGTGAATGGCCTAGGAATCCTGGAGCTTGCAATTGGGGTGTAAGGGGAGGGAGTCTTGTGGAGGATGCACCCTCAGCCTGTGAAGTCTGAGCTAACTCTAGAAGTGCACTGTGACAGGACTGCCTTGCAAAGTGTGCCAATCCTTTAGGCACACAGAAGGTGGGGGAAACAAGGTTTTTGACCATGAGTGACACAGATAGAGCTCTAACTTTGGAGTCATACAAACGAGGGTGAGAACCCAATTTTGACATGTACTTCCAATAGGATGACAAGCTCCCTGAGCCACAGTCCCCTCTCTGCAGCCCTCCAGCCTCATCATGTTAAGCTGCAGAATGGCTTCTTCATTCAAACCATCAGCAACTGTCTATGACATACTCACTATGCAAAACAGAGATAGGGGCTCTCGTGCACACACATAGGCCCTTGCCTCAAGGAGCTCCTTACATTTCATAGGTAGGAGGAAAGGTATGGTGTGAATTCAGGGGGGTGGCCAGATTGGGGTAACAGAAAGGTAAGTGCTGAGATTTGACATGCTCTCACCTGCATTGGCTCTTGCACGAGCCCTGCCTTCCTCAGCCTGAATCCTCTTCTTTATCATTCTAATATGTAAACAGCTTCTCAAGCAAACAGTAGGGGCAGCAAGATCAGCACTCCACCCAGAGCTCCCTGACCGCTACCACTGAGTCAATATTTCTTTCTCTATTAATAAATCACTTTTAAAAAATGACAGTATATAATGATTATCTATTCACTAGATTGCCATATGTGCCATGATTTTTAAAAACTGTCTTAATTTTATCAGTTGCTATTTGGGTAAGCCCAGGACTGTTTTTTGCTACAGGAAGACCTTTGCTTCTTCCCACAGGAGGGCTTCCAGGCTCTCCGACTGCCCATGGCTCACAGCCTGGTTATTAAGAACCTTTGAATGCTTTCTTGCAAACATTAAAATGTCTATAGCTTTTCCTCCTGCTTGGCTAACACTGATTTAGTTGCTTTATCAAATAGCGTAAAGACTTCAAACTACCTTTGCCTCTCTCCCTATTCTCTGGCCTTTCTTCCTATAGGTCAGAAACAAAGAAGCAACAGGACCGGATGGCTTGTCTCTGTGCTCTGGATAATCTACTTCCAAAAAGGAAAAGGTGGTTGAATGAATTAATTACTCAGCTCACTTTCCTTCTCTTTTGTCAGTGCTCATCCATTTATAACTTTCTTCAGTGATCTCTATTGTCTCACTATTTTCTCAGGCTCACCTATTTCTAATAAAATACCTAATCTTTTTGGCTTTTTTCTTAATAAGCTTATTAAACATGTTTGATGTTAGTGGCTGGGTTTTTGAAAACAACATGACAGCTGAGTCCCCCACTGTCCTCCACCAGGATTGCTCTCACTCAAAGAGTGGCCCTTGCCTAAGGTCACACCTTTCCTAGGGGCCATCCATATTGAGTGACTGGTGAACACACATAATACCTATGTCCTTTCATCCTGATTTGGGACAGCTCTTCTGGCTCTAAGGCTCCAGTGGAATGGGCTGAGGCCTTTGCTGTGGCTGCATCGCAGCCCAACTTTTTCCTCTGCCCCATCCTGCTTTCTTCCCTCCCACTAGCTGTGTGCCTTGGGAGCTCCCATCAACACGCTTCCTCCAATGCAAGCCTCCCACCCAGGTCTGCTTCCCAGGAACCCCACCTGGGACAGTGGCTTGCAAACTGCTTCCCAGGCTTAATTCAATTCACCCTCCTTACTCTTTTCAAAGTATTCTTTTTTGTTTGTTTGTTTTAGTAAGATGACTATACTTAACATTTTAATAAATAAACTACACTTAAGCTTTTGTTGAAAAAAAGTCTTAGGCCAGGCATGGTGGCTCACACTTGTAATCCCAGCCCTTTGGGAGGCCGAGGCAGGAGGATCACCTGAGGTCAGGAGTTCGAGACTAGCCTGGCCAACATGGTGAAACCCTGCCTCTACTAAAAATACAAAAATTAGCCTGGCATGGTGGTGCATGCCTATAAAACCCAGCTACTTGGGAGGCTGAGGAAGGCCAATCACTTGAACCCGGAGGCAGAGGTTGCAGTGAGCTGATATCGCACCATTGCACTTCAGCCTGGGCCACAAGAGTAAAACTGTCTCAAAAATAAAAATAAGTCTTGCTTACATTTTATTTAAGAAGGTGTCACTCTGAGGTTGAGGACAAAATCAATGCAGGTGATTTTGGTGGAAAATCTCTCATTGGTTCCTCATTTTCTGTACAATCAGATAAGACCCAAACTAATGAACACAAGGCGTAAATCTCCCTTTGGGTTTTTTTCCCACATGTTCTTTCCAGTCCCATCCCCTCTGTACCCACAATGTGCTCTGTGCCTGGTCTCCAAAGTTGCTCTCTTTCTTCGCCCCCAACACAGCATGCTCTTGCTTTCCTCTGTGCTGAACACATTTAATTCTTCCTGCCTGGGGGACCCCTGGCTCCCCTCTCCCCCTTGTCCTTTCCTCCTGGTGAGCTCCCTGTTATGCTTTAAGGCCCAGAGAGCACTATGAGGGCCCCTGGGAAGCCTTCCCTGACTCCCTGTGATAAGGTTTTTGTTTCTTCCCCTGGATTCCAAAAAACTTTATACATCTATCTAGTAAGATACCATATGGGTTGAATTGTGGTTCCCCAAAAGGATATGTTGAAATCTTAACCTCTAGTGCCTTAGCGCAGGACTTTATAGAGTGTTTACAGACTAATCGAGTTAAAATGAGGTCATTCGGGTGGGCTGTCATCTAAAATGACTGGTGTCCTTAAAAAAGGGGGAAGTGTGAATGCAGAGAGAGACATGCACACGGGGAGATGGTGCAAGATTTGAGTGATGCAGCTGCAGGCCAAGGAGTGTCAAAGACCATTGGCGAATCACCAGCCAGGGAGAGGAAAGGACGGGTTCCCCTATGGACTTCAGAGGGAGCAGGGCCCTGCTGACACCTTGATCTTTAATTTCTAGCCTCCAGAACTGTGATACAATACCTTTCTGTTGTTTCACATCACTCTGTTTGTGGTGCTTTGTTAAAGCAGACCTAGGAGACTAATACAGACATTGACCAGTTAGAGCTAAAACAATGCTCCATGTCTGACCTTGGGTTAGACAGACACAGACAGTTGTTTTACTTTTAATTGGTATACGGTTATGAGAATTTTAATAAATTTTACTACCTATCTGGACAGCGATCCCCCAGTGATATCCCCTGTGGGGGCCAAGGCTTTTGGCTTCCTAAAGGTTCACTGAAAAAAATCACTGAAATGAGGCAGATTGATTAAAGGAGAAAAGGCATACAAATTTACTTAATATGCATACACAGGTACCTTCAGAATGAAGACCCAAAAATAGAGGAGAAATTGTCCATTTTTATGCTTAGGTTTAGCAAACAATGGACAGTCATGTAGAAATATGATTGGAGGAGAAGGGTCTGATCTAATGTTGACAGGCTGAGTGGGGAAACCCAGACAGGCCTGTCTGTCTAGATTCTTCTGGGCCTCTCTGAGCAGTGTTCCTTCCTGCTGGGTGCAGGGCAGGCCCTCTCTGGAATCAAGGCCTTATGACCTATAGTCCAACAATGTAGGTCAGATAATTTCTTTATGGCCTGTTTTTACATGGAATACTTTTAGGTTTTATGGCCGGATTTCTGTGGGGGAAAAGAGGTTCTGGTTTCTATGACCCACCTTGGGGAAGACAATCCTAGTTTCTATGGCACCTCGGGGGAGAGTGGGGCTGAGAGACAGGGGGCAGGAGAAAGTCAGAGAAAAACTTTTGCTTCTGAGGCTGCTGCTGAGGCCTTCATTTGGGGATATTGTTTTCTGAGCCCCAACAGTTCTCTCCCTCAAAGAGATTACAGTAAAGATTTAAATGGATTTCCAGTTATTTTTAGATGGCAGACTAATATATGTTGGAATGTGATGCTGTACTGAGACTGGCTTCAAGGTCAGAACAACTGACTGGCTTTATGTGGGTTACAGACACGTAAGAGCTTAGCACAATGGTAGGTGCAGAGCAGGTGCTCAAAAAATGGTAGCTAGCATTGTGATGGGTAAGGGGGGAAGGATGAACATGGCTCAAGGGTCAAGTCAACCTGAGGAGTTGATTAACCCAAGAAGTCTAGAATTAAGACATGAAGATGTGAGCTGGAAATGGAGTTCGGGGTCCTTGGGCCAGAGGTTCCTCTGACTCCCCTGACTGGGTGGGAACTGGCACCTGGGGAGACCCACCTCCCGGGAGCACCTGTCCAGTAGTGGCTCTAAATTCTTCCAAAGGCTGAGCCCTATAGAGGGGTACAGGTGGTTGAAGGAAGCAATCCCTGAAGAAAGGGATCTGAGGCCCTTTGTGAGCTGGAGCCAGCACCAGCAGCAGGTGGGTGAAGTGCAGTCAAGGAGCCTCATAGGATGATCAGGTCATGACCACGGCTGATCCGGCCATGCCAGTGACTGGGATGAACAATGCAAAGAAAAATGACTTCCTTCTGCTTCAAGCAAGAGAATCATGAAGGGTTTTATGTTCCCAGGGCAAAGAAAAATGACTTCCTCCTGTTTGGAGCAAGAGAATCATGAAGGGTTTTATGTTCCCAGGGCCTGGATAGCAGGCTCTTCCCTTGCACCTTCTGCTGTGTGTGAAGACGGGAAGTAGAGTTCTGAGAAGGCAGAAAAAAGGCTGAAAAGGTTAACAAAAGGCCTTTTCTTTAGAAGGCCCTTTCTTTCCGCTCACTATATTGAGCAGAATATAAGTGTCTCTGAAAAATAAAAATGTTCTGTTAAAAATGAGACCATTCTGTCAAAAATTCTGATTTACCCATAAACCGTATGAAGCGTTCTTGATGCCACGCTGAGATTGAGGAGGGATGAAGAACAATAAAGATCAGTTGGGAGAGTACCAGGTGGCCTTCACAGATTTTTCCCCCCAAAGTCCCCCTACTAAAATATCTTTTAAAGCAGTTACTATACCATTCTTTCCGGTGACATGCAGTGCCTGCCTCAGAGCAGGAGGGGCAGGTGTCGCTTCAACATGACAGGTAAAGTTTTATTTTTCACATGGGGACTGGGTTCAGAGCATTCATGGTACCATAATGCTTCCTAATTCACATCAGTGAATCTCAACAGGGTACCACTGGCACTTGGGGCAGGAGGATTCTTTGTTGTATGGGACTGTTCACCCATGGCAACAGCCCACCCACCAAATGCCAAGCCCCAGCCCCAATCATCGTGAGAACCATGACAATGTGCCAACTATAAAGGGCCCCTACACATTTCCCGCTGCCAACTTCCAGGAGGTGTGGAACGGCTCCTGGGGAGAAGAGCTGACTCACACATTCGGTGAGTCTCTATTTTCTTCTGCACATACCCCAAAATGACATAATTAAAGCTTTTAAATGGACAAAAGGCCCACTCACTGCTGTACATCTGGGTACACTGGTCTGTGTGTGCCTGAATGGAGGTACCAGTGACAGATACTATGATCTGAATTGAAGGTCATAATGGGTTGAATGGTGGCCCCCAAAAGATATGTCCATGTCCTAACCCCAGAATCTGTGAATGTGACCTCATTTGGAAAAAAAAATGGGGGGCTTTGCAAATGTAATTAAGTTAAGGATCTCAAGATGAGATCACTCTGGACTGAGTGGCCCCAAATCCAATGATAAGCATCCTTGTAAAAGATACAGAAAAGAGACACAGAGAGAGGAGAAGTCCACGTGAAGATGGAAGCAGAAGTTGGAGTGAAGTATCCATAAGCTGCGAATGCCTAGAGCTACCAGAAGCTGGGACAGGCAAGGAGAGATCCTCCCCTAGAGCCTTCAGGAGAACTGAGTCCCTGCTGACACCTTGATTTAGGACTTCTGGCCTCCAGAAATGTGAGAGAATCATTTCTATTGTAAGCCACCAGGTTTGTGATAATTTGCAGTGGCAGCCATAGAAAACTGATACACTGGTTATATACCTTCTGAGTTTGCAACACATGTAAGGGATCATTCTAAAATAAGTGATTGAAGAACAAAATAATACAAGTGAGCATAACTTAACACCCTGAAAGCATTCATTTTGACGTGATAAAAGTCTCTAACAAGGACATTCAGCAATGCAACTACCAGATTAAAAATAGAAATGAAAGCCCAGGCACCTGACTGCCAATTTGTGGATGCAATGAATGTGGGCGTGGAGATCCACAAAGGCCCGGAACCTGCGTGTCTACCTTGTGCTGGCCTCTGTAGGTGTCTGTGTGGGGGCGGGCTGGCCTGCAGAGCACACACAGGAAACAGGGAGGGGGTGCAGAAGGTCCTTGTGAATATACCTTTTTAAATACTGCGGCACTGGGTTGTGGTTTCCTGGATGAACCCTTTCCTCTTTTTCAGGGACTATTTTCATGCATGGGAGACCAGCCTTGTGTGCTTCCATTTTATTCTCTCTAGGGTAACTTTTCTTTCAAAAATGGCAACTTACCAGGACAAGTAACCTCCTCCTCCCTACCTCTTGCACTGTGACCTTGGGCCCTACTCTAGCAGCATCTGAAGGAGGGTGACAGAGATTGTTCCAGATACAGAGAACCTGAGCCAATGGCCTGTGTGCCTGAGACTGCTCTTCCAGGCACAGGGAACTGCTGGCCTGTGTCCCGGTCATCTTGAGCTGCTCTAACAAATCACCCTGACTGGGCGCCTTAAACAAGAAGCATTTATTTCTAAACAGCTCTAGAGCTGGGAGTCTAAGATCAAGGTACAGCAGATTTGGCTCCTGGTGTGAGCTTCCTCATTTACAGAAGTACACCTTCTCCTTCTGTCCTCACATGGCTAAGAGAGAGAGAGAGAGAGAGAGAGAGAGAGAGAGGAAGAGAAAGAGAGGAAGGGAGGGAGGGGGAGAGGGAGAGGAATCTAGCCTCTTCCTCTTTTATAAGGACACTAATCCCATTATAGGGCCCCCACTCTCATGACCTCACCTAAGCCCAATTACCTTTCAATACCCCTACCTTCAAACACCATTACACTGGGTGTTAGGGCATCAGCATATGGAATTGGGGGTGAGGGGACATAAATATCCAGTCCATAACACCCTGTGCACCTTGTGTCTGGTTGAGTAACAATAGATTAAACTCAAAGCTAACTGGGATGAGTGTGTGATGGGTTTAAGGAGCGAAGGGGAAAGTCAATGGGTTCTGACATCTGCAGTCTGCCTCTGGGGATTTCTGGAAGGGATTGTATGATCACTGAATGCACACGGGTGGTGGTGAGGACAGGTGTGTGTGGACCAGGCTGCATTTGGAACTGGACAGCCTTCCTCATGCACCAGGCAAGCAATGCCCAAGGCCACCCCTGCAACCTGGAGTCCCTGCTGCGGGTGGGAGGGATGCATCCAGACTGGGTGGGGAGGGCACAGGATGGCTGCAGCCTCTGCCCCTCCTGAGGATGTGAATGTGAATTCTGAGTGGGGTGATGCTTCAGGACAAAACAAGGATGAATCTTGAACCTAGGTTTCCAGCTTGGTAGAAACTGGCTGAGAGAGAGGACTCCATCGGCACCTCTGAACAACACCATACCCCAGATGAATATCTCTGCTTCTGCTCAATGTCTTCCTGGGTGAGAAAAGATGGTCTTGTGATAGGCAGAGATGAGCACATGAAAAGAGTGGGTCAACTGGAGGAAGCTGGAGGGAGAAAACACCATGAGTCAGCCGGTCAGTGTGCCAGGCAGGGAGAGGAGAGAGCAGGGCCTTAGACGAAGGTGACCATGTCATTATTGTGTCATTGTCACCCATATCATGATACATTTGAGACTGGCAGGACAGGGGCACTGTGGATAGTCATCCCTGGGCAATGTATAGAAACTGGGGATGAGACAAATCAGGACATATGGCTTGAGAAGAAGAGAAAGGAGAGGGAAAGGAAGGAGAGATAGACAGAGAGAGGAGGAGGAGAAGTAGGAGGAAGAGGAGGCAGAGAAGGAGAAGGAGAAAGAAGAGGAGGAGGAGGAAGAGAAGAAAAGGAAGAAAGAAGGGAGAAAGAAGAAGAAAAAAGAAAGAAGAGAGAAGAAAGAAGAAAAAAGAAAGAAGACAGAAGAAAGAAGAACAAAGAAAGAAGAAGAGGAGGAGGAGGAGGAGCAGCAGCAGCAGCAGCAGCAAGAGCCAAAGAGAGCCGCCCTGTGTGGGCACGTCTGGGTGCCACTCTGCCAGTTGTTTTCAGAGTGTCATCTTACCCCTTTTCCCAGACAAGCAAATTAGCACTGTAGAGAAAAATATAATGATATGAGCCTCTGCTTGCCCCAGAAATTCAGAGCTCCTAAACAAACACAATTTCCTATGAATATCAAACAAAAAGGAAATAGAAAATCCAGAAGAGCAAAATCAATTTCTCATTGTTCTCTGCAACACCTGCCTAATTTCTTTTAGGTCCTAGGCACAGGGGCCAGCGCTTATTCACAAAGCTTTTTACAACATGGAGAAATCACAATGAAGCTACTACGTCTGCAGAAAAAAAAGCAGAGAATAAAGACCAAAACATGAAATCAGCAAATATGCATGGAGTAACTATGTTTTGGAAATGTGTTGCCATGTGGACTGTTCAGGGCGATTCGCGACTGCTTCCATTTGATCAGACACTCCTATGTGGGGGTGTCAGGATCTCAGAAGTGTTCTTGGGGAAGGACATGTGCTTGGCAAATTTGAAAGGGCTGGCAGCATTCTGAGTACTGGGAAAATGAGGAAAGGAAGATACAAAGATGGAAGTAGAAAACTCCATCAAAGGATAAAGCCAAGCTAGGAAAGGAGACTGCAAAAAGAAGTCAGGAAGCAGAGAGAAGAAGGGCTGCTCCAAGAGGGTCCCAGACAAGGAAGTTGGGCTTAGACTCCCAACTGGACACTGCATCCCCACACAGGCACTACACAGCAAAGCTGCTCCTCTGCATGTAAACCCAGTCTTGCTCTCACAACCTAGGAGTGACATAAGGTTGTGCTTTTTAGAGATAACTTGGGATACACAATGGAAAATACTTTGGAGAAAGGCAAGAACGGATGTGGGAAGATGTTATGTGGCTATTACAGTGAATCAAATGAGTGATGACAGTAGCTTAAATGAAGGTTGTAGCCATGGAGATGATGATGGTGACCTGTTCTCACAAGACCTATGTTTTCCTGTAGGAGCATATGCTTCAGATTGAGAAGGTTCATTCATTAGTGTGAGTCCATGTCAGTCTCACTCTTGGCCAGGAAGCCCTACGAAAGCAGGGAGTACACCTGTGTTTTGGGATATGCTAATACCCTAGGCCATGCTACCATGATGCCAGGCACATGGAAGGATCCAACAAACATTTGTGGAGTGGATGATGGAGTAATTCAGAACCCTTTCCCAAATGATCTCATTCACAGCCATGCTTCAACCACCAGATGGTTGGACTGACCTCACTCAAGTGTCTACGACCAACCTGGCTCCCTCCTCCAGAATTATGTATCCAAGGATCTACTCAGCATTTCCATGTGAAGATGTTAATGTGTCTCAATTGTACTCCACAGGTCCAAAACTGGGCATGTGAACTCCCCACTCTGCAGTGGATTTCTCCTCCAGTGTTTCTCATCTTAGGCAATGGGACCCTGACCACCCAGACCAGGGCTGCCATTCTTCACACCTCCCTCTTCCTCATTCGTGAATCTCCTGTCATTACAAAAGCCTTTCATCTCCTCAATTCTATGGATTATAATCACTTCTCTCCATTGATCACGGTGGTTAAGAGTGCAGGCTTTGGAAGGGCATTGCCTAGGTTTAAAAATAGGCTTCCCCCCTTACTGGCAATTTGCTTAAATTCTCTGTGCTTAGTTTCCTTATATATGAAGTGGAAATAATAATAGTTTGTGCTTTATTGGGTTCTTTTGAGAAGTCAATATGATGATGCATATTATTGCTTTCCAAAGTGCTAGCTGCAATCACCACTACTGCCATCATCATCACTACCATCACCACTACTGTCATCATCACCATCATCATCACCATCACCATCACTATCCCCATGGCTATAATCTTAATTTAAGCTACTGTCATCTCTCATTTGATTCAATGTAATAGCCACATAACATTTCCCCACATCCATTCCTGCCTTCCTCCAATGCATTTTCCATTATGTAACCCAAGTGATCTTTAAAAAGCACAATCTCATGTCACTCATAGTTTTAAATTATATCAGTGGCTTCCCATAAGAGATGGAATGAAAACCAAAATGGTTAACATGGTTTAAATAGCCAAACTTTAGCAATTCTTAGTCTCAAACCCGCTATGTGCCTTCCCACTTCAGGACTTTTACACATGCTGTTCCCTCCGCAGTGAACACTGTTCCTTTAGCTTTCCCTTCTTTCTTTTCCTTCTTGGTCAAAACCTCTCTTAAATGTTACTTATACTCACTGTCTCCACTATAATTCATTGCACAATGTGTTCTGCCCCCATCTTGCCACTAAAATTGCCCAAACAAAGATGATTCCTGGCACCTGCTGCTAAAGCCATGCACTTATTTCTAACCTTATCTGGGATCCTTTCTGAGCATCTGACACTACCAGCCACTATTTCCTTAAAGCCCCCTCTGCCTTGGGCTCCTCAGATTCTGTTCTCCTGGTTCTCCTGGTTCTCTTGCTCTTGTTCTCCTGGTTCTCTTGACTGATTCTTGTTTTTCCTTCATTGGCTGCTCTTTCTGTATCAGCCTTTTAGAAGTCGATTTCCCCAGGTTTCCCACTTGGATCTCTTTGTTTTTTGAGATGGAGTCTCACACTGTCACCTGGGCTGGAGTGCAATGGCACGATCTCGGCTCACTGCAACCTCCACCTTCCAGGTTCAAGTGATTGTCTTGCCTCAGCCTCCTGAGTAGCTGGGATTACAGGTGCACACCACCATACCCAGCTAATTTTTTGGTAGAGATGGGGTTTCACTATGTTGGCCAGGCTGGTCTCGAACGCCTGACCTCGTGCTGGATCTGTTTTTCTTCTGTTCTACTCATTCCTTGTGGGTAAGCCTACCCATTTGCATGGCATCCATTGCATAATGACACCCGAATCTTGTCTCTAGATTCTTTCTCCCTCCTGAGCTCCAGACCCACGCTCCTCCGTGGGGGTGTTTCATAAACACTTTAAACACAACACATGTAAAGCTGAAATCTCAGAATGCCCTCCCTTTCTCTGTCTGGATCTCAATGAATAGTACCAACACCCATTTAGTCGCCCAAGCAAAAGCTTGAGTCATCCTTTTCTCCTTCCTTTCTTTCCCTCCCTATATCTAGTTAATCATCAAATTCTATTGACTCTGTCTCCTTAGATGTACTCAATTACGTTGATTTATCTCTATTCCCAACACCATTCTCTTAGTCCAGGTCCTCATCATTTTCCTTTTGCAGTATGACCACAGCCTCCTAACCCATCTCCCATTGGCCAGGTTTTTTTTTTTTTTTTTAATTCAATCCTTTTTTCTCTGCTGTCAGAGTTTAGGGGAAAAAGTTCCCTAAATGATTGGCCAGAGATCTAGTGGTTTAAAAGGAGGGTTTTTTAGGCAAATAAGAAATTGTTTATTTAAGAAAATATCACCTCTGTGGCCCTTCTTAGTGATTTACCAGGCATATCAGCCTATTTAAGGTTCTGAGAAGTCTTATTGCAAAAGAATCTGTTCAGAATTGTTTAACCAAACATTTCCCAATCTTTTTGACCACACATTCCCTTCCCGAGGGCACACTTCTTAACATCTTGCAGAACACCATGTTGTTGTTTTAGAACACAAATCTGATCATATTACTTCTTTATTTGAAAATAAGACAGATACCTGGATAGACACCAAAAGAAGACAATTTGCACTTTATTCTCTGGGCAATTAGAGGCCCTTGGAGATTCCTGAGCTGGGTAATAACCTAATACCCACACAGTCAATAGCCTCCAGTTATGGGCACTGCTGTGTGCTTTGTGCTTCTCCTCCACCATCTCCAATCCTTACAGCATGATCCCCGGGTGAAGAGACTGAAGCCCAGATCAGTTAATCATTAGGTCCCAGGCCACACAACCAGTAAGGATGGAGCAGGACTTGGCTAGAAGTCTAAGTGGCTTTAAACCCTCAGCTATTTGCAATAAGCAGGTGGCATTTTGCCTGCAGGAGACATTGGAAGCAGGAAAAATCAGAAGGCTTGGACATATTCCTGGAAGTCAGTCACTTCTGTTCTCCACCTCTGTTCCCCACCGACCCCAGATAATGCCTCAAAGCCATTCTTCTTAAGCCTGGGTCTCATTGCCTTCTCCATAGGCCTGTTGTGTTACTTTCATCCCTTAAACACCCAGCAGGGTATATCATACAACTCCAGGAATATCTTGCCCCTGCTTAAAAATATGTGTTGTTCCCTAGTGCCTGTCCATTTCCAAATTTCTCTGCCTGATATTCTAGGCCCTTCATTCTCTGCTGTCAACTTTCCTTTTTGATCTTGATTTTAGATACTTTTCTAAATATAATCCATACTCCAGTCAAACTGAACTACTTACTGTTCAGAGGCCTCCCTGCCTTTTGACATGCTGTTCCCCACTCTTGGAAAGCCTCTTCCTGTCCCCAGTGTCACTGCTTTAAATCCTACCTCTTTTTCAGGACCCTTTTCACTGCTGACTCTATGGAACATGTCCTAATATGAACTAACCTGCTGCTCTCTGTTTTTCAGCACAAAAGAACAATGAGGTGCTCCTCCCTAAACTTGGAAATCAGGTTAACTTCTGAAAATTAAACTAGTAAAATTCACAGTGGATGGCATCAGCTCTTTGCAAAAATGATATACCCAAAGGAAGACTCATGAAGTGGATAAAGAGAGAGGAAAACATCCTCCTGGAGGAAGATGACCAGGGCTTACTCTCAGGACACAATTGTGCCTTTATATCAGAAAGATGAGCAAACAAGGCCCTAATCAAATCAGTTACAGGAAACAGAGAGAGCCAATCAAACTGTAATCAATGGTGATAACTGGCCATGACAGTGACATAATCAATTACACTCTGCTCTGGTGTGTGGAAGCACAGCGTGTGCTATAGCAGACGGAAGGCAGCCAGGATGATGTGGCCAGGGCACAGCAGTACTAACGAAAGGAAACATTCATGGAGTTTAGGGACACTGGCTTTCAGGACATGGGAAAGGTTGGCTATGAGCTGGAGATGGCTCATCCCATGTCCTCAGACCTGATTAGCTTTCCCAAAAGTTCCTGCTTCCTTTGTTCAAATTACCCACTAAGCAACCTGAGAACCAATCTGGATTTCCCTCCCATCATCAGAAAGGGGTGCTCTGGGCAGAGGAAAGGTATGTCCTCAGTGTATCTACTCATGGGGATGCTGGGAAGATTTAATGGAATAATGTGTGTAGAGGGATTGGCCCAGGCTCCACACAGTAATTGTTCAATAAATGTAGATGACTGAAATTAGTTCAGCATGTTGGAGCTCTGCTTATGATGACAATCTCATATACATTTGGTTAAGGTGAACTGGCATCCTGGTGTCCAGGTGCCCTGATGAAGGTGGGTACCTGGACCTGCAAAACAGATGTTGTGATTCTGGGTAGGAGTGAGCAAAAGGACGTGTTGCCAGGCAGGGCACCTGTTAACCCTCCACCTGGCTCAAAGCACCTCTACTTCATTGTCATCCTCTAAGTGCCCCACCAGTGCCTTCCTGTACATGCTCAGCACACAAGGCTTATACCAGTTTTGTTCTATTTTTAATGCAATCACTTGTGTATCTCTAATTCCTATTTCATCAGAGTGTAAACTCTTTGAGGACAGCAGCTTTTAAGTCCCTTGCAGAGCTTCAAGTATCATAAATACTTAATAAGTTGAAATGAATTGAATCAGAGGCCAAACAAATTATCTGGGGTTCAAGCAAAGGCTACAACATGTGTTTCCCAGGCTCCTAGAGAAGTAGTATGGGAACATCTGGAGAGCAGGCCTGGTGATGCAGGCTGAGCACATCTCTCTGATGCCACCTCACCTCTTCCACCCAGGGGTGGATATGGGAGAGCTGCGAGGCTGCAGGAGAGCTGCTCAGCTGCCCAGGAAGAAGACAGAGGGACAGACAGATGGACAGGGCAGACACTTCACACTTACCCGGATCTCCGTCTGGACAGTGCATTTGACCAGTTTGAAGTTTTTCCCAGGATTGAAGCTGTTGCTATAGAAGCAGACCTTGAGGATACGCACGTCCTCCTTTTCCACATCTACTGGTACCACCACCATGGGCTCTGCAGGGCCTTCAGGCCGGCGTAACGTGCCCAACTTTACTCGACTCAGGGGCTCGGACACCCCAGACATCCTCTCAGGCAGCAGCTAAGATCGGCACATTGCAGTCCTGCAGAGACAGCAGAGGGTCAGCCCTGAAAGAGCCCCACACAGGCCCACATACCTCATGGCCCCAGGGACAGCACCCACCGAGCTCCAAGACAGACACAAATGCTATATATTCTCCCATTCCCAAAAGCTCCCCTGCAAGGCACCTGGCTCTCTTGACTGGGAAAGATGCAGCAGAAAGGGGCAAGTTGCAGAAGCATCCAGGTATGAAACCCAGACTTGGGGCTCCCAGGGGTATGAGCTCTGTCTCCTGGAAGCCCCTCTCTCTGACCCATTCCTCCCTCCACCCTGGCACCCAGGCAAGGGGCCCACCCTTAGCAAAGGCAGCTGTGAGAGAAGGCGGTCACAGCTTGGTTCCAAGGCACAGCTGAGCAGAAAAAGCAAAGAGTGAGACAGTAGAAAATAGCAGGAGAGGAACAGGGACAAGGCGGAAAATCTGAGAAGAAACAGATTGGAGAAGAAGTGGCCCCGAGGGAATGGGAATGGAGAAGGCAGGAAAGGGCCCAGGTGGAGGGCCAGGCTGTCAACTGATGCTGTCCACCCCCATCCTCAGCTGCCAACAAAAACTTTCAGGGTGGGAGGCTTCCGTCTGACAGGAGCTCATCACATAGACATCACTGATCACATGCAGGAGGATTCAAGAGGAACAGCGCTCTGCCCAGCAGCCCCGCAGGGAAGGGCATGCTGCACATGGGAAGGAGCTGAGCTGGGACTCTAGAAAACCCAGCCCAGTTCTGCAGACAGCCTGGGTTGACACAGATGTAGATGATAAGAATCCTAGGAATCTGTAGTTCACCTTGAATCAGCAACATTGGTCCTGGCCTCTAGGTCCAATACAACTCAGTAGAGTAGGGTTTATCTCCCACTGATCTAAAGCAGGGAATGCCCAAAGGAAGAAGTGGATATTCTAGCTCTAGATGGATGGCATCGGCCTTAGCTCCACATAATCACTAGGGAAGCTTTCAGAAACCCTAAACCAAGCCCTAACCTCAGACACTGCTGTCAAATTGGTCTGGGCTGAGCATTGACATATTCGTTTCCCAGGACTTTTCTAACGTTTGGCCTGGGTTGGAAACCACTGTTCTAGAACGAGCTTAGCTCTTATCCTGAAACCCCTTCTTAAAGAAAAATATCCCCTTTCTAAGAAGAGACTGTGATTTTAGAGGGAGGGAAATTCCTTGACCAGGAGTTGGGGGCAAAATGATGGAGTTGACAATGTTAAAACACGAACATGGAGTCACACATTTGAAAAGTGGAATCATAGCCTGTATGTATTTATTCACACTGTGCTGGACAATAGAAAAGAAAGATTTAGATAGCCATTAGCTTCAAAGAGCCATTCCTTTTTTAAAAAGTGAATATGTATTACGAAGATGCAAAAGAGAGGCAAGGATGAGAGAAGGAGCTGGGCATGTCCTTCAGGTCAGGGGCAGGCAGACAACAGGCAGCACCAAGCTCAGAGTCCACAAGGGCAGCAAAATGTGGCATAAGACCTATGGAGAGAAGAATATGCAATCTGCTTTAAGATATATATATTCTTATCTAAAAGATATATATATATTCTGGAAGTATCTGTCTATTCTAGAGGTATCCATACCATTTTCCAACAAACATCTGCTGGACATGTCCTGTGTGTCAATACTCTGCTATGTAGTGAAGATGTAACCCGGATCCCCTGACCTTCAACAAGGAATCCAGGGGGAAGTCGTTTGAGAGGTAACCCCAGGAAACATCAGAGAAATGATGACAGGGAGGGGAAAACAGCTAATAAGAGTGATCAAGTGAGTTATCGCTTGCACAACCACAGTTTAATCCTACTGGGAACTCTAGGAGCCAGGAAAGAATGGACCCCACCCAGAGAGGGAGGGATCTGGGGTATTTATACACCACTCTTACAGTCATTGTTCCAGCATATCCAGCCAGTTCTGCACAAGGGAGAGCTGAGAAAGTCCTCAGGCACAGAGGTGCAGAGCTGGCAGCAGGTGGGTAGAAGAGAGGATTGTACTGAAATGGCAGGGCCCAGGGGACACAGGAGGGAACAGTGGCAGCCCTGCTACAGGGTATGAAGATGAGAAAAGCATGCCTTTCCCTAAAGAGCACACACTCTAGTCAGAGAGACAACAGGCAAATATACTCACACAGCACAATATGGCATATTTAATCATGTTTCAGGCAATGGTGGACCGCATATAAGATGGTGGTCCCCAAAGAGTGGAATGGAGCTGAAAAATTCCTCTCACCTAGTGACATCATAACAGTGGCAAGGTCAGAGCACAACGCATGACTCATGTGTTCGTGGTGACACTGGTATAAACAAACCCGCCACACTGCCAGGAATAGAGAAGTCTAGCACATACAATTACGGGTGGTACATAACACTTGATAATGATAATAAAGATTATGTGACTGGTTTATGTACTTCCTCTACTATAATTTTTATCATTATTTTAGAGTATACTCCTTCTACTTATAAAAAAAAAAGTTAACTGTAAAACAGCCTCAGCCAGGTCCTTCAGGGGGTATCCAGAAGAAGACATTACTCTCATACGCGATGACAGCTCCATGTCTGTTACTGCCCCTGAAGAGCTTCCAGTGGGACGAGATGTGGAGGCGGAAGACAGTGATACTGATGGTCCTGATCTTGTGTAGGGTTATGCTAATGTGTGTGTTTGTGTCTTTGTTTTTAATAAAAACGTTTAAAAAGTAAAAAAAATAAAAAATAAAAATCTTTAGAAATGGAAAGCTTATAGAATAAGGGTATAAAGAAAGAAAATATTTTTGTACAGTTGTACAATGCACATGTGTTTTAAGCTAAGTATTATACAAAAGCATCAACAAGCTTTAAAAAAAGTTTATAAAGTAAAAACATTACAGTAAGCTAAGGTTAATCTATTACTAAAGAAATACAGTTTTAAAAAATAAATTTAGTGTAGCCTAAGTACACCGTGTTTATAAAGTCTACAGTAGTGCATAGTAATGTCCTGTGCCATCACATTCACTCACACTCACTCGCAGATTCCGAGAGCAACTTTCGGTTCTGCAAGCTCCATTCACTGTAAGTGCCCTAGACCGGTGCACCATTTTTTATCTTTTACACTGTATTTTTACTGTACCTTTCCTATGTTTAGATACACAAATACCTACCATTGTGTTACAATTGCCTACAGCATTCAGTACAGTAACTTGCTGTATAGGGTTGTAGGAGCCATGTGCTATACCATATAGTCTAGGCTGTACCATCTAGGTTTGTGTAAGTAAACCAGAGAAATGATGATAGGGAAGGGAAAACAGTCAAAAAGAGTGATCAAGTAAGTGATCACTTGGGCAACTGCCATTTAATCCTGCTGGAAACTCTAGGAACCAGGACAGAATGTACCCAACCCAGAGAGTGAGGGATCTAGGGTATTTATACCCTCAATTGTGTTATAATTACCTGCAGTATTCAGTACAGTAATCTGCTGTACAGGTCTGTAGGAGCAATAGTCCAGGTGTGTAGTAGACTGTAGCATCTGGGTTTCTCTAAGTACTCTGATGTTCACACAACTGCCTAATGATGCATTTCTGAGAATGCAGCCTTACCCTTAAGTGACAGGTGACTGTATATGCAGCTATGGAGGCAACACACATACAGCAGGTCCCAGCTTCAGGATATACTGTATCTAGTGAGCCTATGGCCCTGAGGCCCCTGGACATCTTTGGCGATCATGATGTGTCCACGCAGGTTCATGGACTGTGACAAATGCGCCACTCTGGGGGGTGAGGGATGTTGATAGTGGGGGAAGCGGTGCTTGTGTCAGGGCAGGGTGCATGTGGGAACACTCTGCACTTTCGGCTCAATTTTGCTGTGAAACAAAAACTTCTCTAAAAATAGTCTATTAAGAAAAAAATGTAGCAATGAGAAACCACACCCTGATAGTTGTCCTCCCATTCCGCAGCCTGGCTGGGCAGGGTCTAGCCCACTCAGGAGCCAACTCCCATATCGGTCCTGACCAAAGAGAAAGATTCACACTGTACATCAGACCCAATGCAGCCCACCCAGACACATCATCAGCGTGCTTGGAGGACTCTGGTGTCTTATCTTCCTCACTCTCCCTTGGCCCCTGATTCAAGAGCCACTAACTGCAGTCACCAACATAGCTCAAGGAGAAATATTTCAGCAGTCATTTCTGTCACCCAGAATCTACCTCTACCTTCAGCCTGATGCAAGTTCCTCAGTTCTCCCTTTAGCCCTTTGCAGCAGAAACATCTGCTGTGGATGCTCATTCCAAAAGTAATTACAATTTAAAAATCTATACAGAAACACAAGTTCTTTGCACAACAATCTGCTGCCCAATCCTGGGAGGTGGGCAGGAGTGAAGATGGCCATTTTACAGATGGTGACACACTCAAAAAGGTCTAAGCCATTTGGTCAAGGATTCATGCCTGCTAAGTAGCAAACTTAGATCCCAAACCAGGTTTTAATCAAAACCCACAGTTTCTCCCACTTCCCCAGCTGCCTTGGAAGAAGGTGAAATCCCCTAAGGGCGGCACAAACTCCACGAAAGATAAAGATGACAATTAGCATCGAATATTCCCAGTCAGTGAAGAATCCAGAACCTCTCCTGGCTTAGAGATAATCACCCTTCTTGTGCCAGGACTTTGTCTTGAGAGGTCCTAGACGGACTCAACACTAGAATATAGGTTTGATCAAAAGCCTCAGGCCCAGGAAGGTGGTGCCCATGTCTCTATTGACACATGGCAACTTCCTCAAGTGCACCCAAAACTCTGAGCTGTAGACACAGATCTGTAATGAACACTCAGAACTCTTTGAAGCAAAGTAAATGAACGGTTCCATGAAAGGAAGGCATCTGCCACCCCTCTTCAGGTTCTTGAGAGAACATAGCTCTCAATTCCATGCCATCTTCCCTTGCGCTCACCCTGCCTGTGTTCTGCTCCCAGCTCATTTTCTGACTGGCTCTAAAATCTTGTGCAAGTAACTTTACCTATCCCAGCCTCATTTTCCTCCCCTATAAAGTAGGGTAATGCTGCCTACCCTGTTTTCCTCATAGAAGGGTGGTGAAGATGAAGTGAGAAAACATAAGTGAGAGTTCCTCGTAAGCAATAAAGTGGGACACCAGTGAAAGGCTCTATCATCATGACTATTTTCACTTGCCTTTTTTCCAAAATCTTGTCTGATGACCTGTATTCCCTGTATCTTGCTCCTCCTGTCAGTAGTGCTCCAGAAAAAAAAAAAAAAAAGCTCGCTTTGTAGAACTTGCCAATTTCCGTAGTGTAAAAATTCCCACCATGACTGACCTTCAGGTACCAATGCACATCACCACTGAATGCTGAGTTGGGAAGAGATGAGAACAATCTGCTGACTCCAGCTCTTCTTCTTGATGATAGAACTTGTTCACGCCTCTAAATATTGTCTGATTATTTGAACTACTCGTCAATAGCCTATCTCTGGCCTTTAATGATCACAAAATCCTCTGATGCTCAACTCATGAGCCAAAAACTCTGCCCCTTTCTCCAGACCTTCCTGGCTCTCCAAGCCCTGGCATTCTGTCCTCCCTGCTTCCTGGTCTGCCCCAGACCGTCGGAGCAGAGTCAGAGGAGACTACATCCTGTGGCACCAGTGAAAACCCTGGCTCTGAGCCATCCTGGGCTTCGGTTTGCCTCCTGGCCCCCAAATCTGCCACAATCAAAGTCAAAGAATAACAAACACAAGAAATGGGCTCAAATTAAAACAGGAAAACTTCTGATTGTCTGTAAGAACTTCTTGGCCAAAATCTGCAAAGGGTACTACAGGAGGATGGACAATCTCTGAGTTCTTAAGATCTTCAGGAAGAAAATAAATTATGCTCTTCCTGAATGGCAAGACATTGACCTGCCTGCAGGAGGGGGAACTGAAGCAGCATTTACGTCCCCTCCAGATGCACCAGGTTGTAACTGCACCTAGTACTGTGCCCCTGGCACAGGGGAGATGCTAGGGTTACAGGAATAAATATCACAGGAAAACTTAACTCTTGCCTTTGAAGACATTGTAGGGTAATGTTACACATGTTGTGTTCAGTAAACAGCTTAGCCTCTTGGGGAGGCAGACACCAGAGGGGATGCTGAGAGTCCCAAACATAAAATGCATGGTCTTGAGGACTGAAAGTTCTGTTCCTGGCTGGGTGCAGTGGCTCACGACTGTAATCCTAGCATTTTGGGAGGCTGAGGTGGGCAGATCACTTGAAATCAGGAGTTTGAGATCAGCCTGATCAACATGGTGAAACCCCTTCTCTACTAAAAATACAAAAATTAGTTGGGTGTGGTGGCACGTGCCTGTAATCCCAGCTACTCGGGAGGCTGAGACAAAAGAATCCCTTGAACCCGGGAGACGGAGCTTGCAGTGAGCCGAGATTGCACCGAGCCGAGATTGCACCATTGCACTCCAGACTGGGGGAAAAGAGCGAAACTTCACCTCAAGAAAAAAAAAAAAAAGGTTCTGTTCCTGATTTGAGAGAGAGTGGAAAGGGGCCCATTAGTCAGAAAGGCCGTATGATGTCAGGGAGAAGGCGCGTACATTTAACTCATTCAAACCTGGATTTAAACCACTTTCTTCAGGGCTGGTAAGCCATACAACTGGGCCATTACGTGAGTGTGACAACATGGCAGCCTTGAGTCTCTGCCATGGACCCGTTGTGTGATCTGGACAAGATAATCTCTGTAGGCCTCAGTTTCCTCCATTGGGGCATGAGGTCACTATTACTTATCCTGCAGAATTTTCTGGAGTATCAGAGGTTACTTCCATTACTTCTGCAAACTCCTTGGCACATACATTTTTTAAGTGTCTGTGACTTGGAAGAAGAGAGAATTAGAAACATAATACTAAGACCCACTTTTTAATTCTGAAATTTAATTTTAATTATTATTAATTTTTAGAGATAGGGGCTTGCTCTGTTGTTCAGGCTGGAGTTCAGGGATGTGATCATATCTTACTACAGCCTCAAACTCCTGGACTCAGGTGATCCTCTTGCCTTGGCCTCCCAAGTAGCTGGGACTACAGGTACATGCCACCATGCCTAGTTCAATTTTTTATTTTTATTTTGTATAGAGATAGGGTTTCTCTATGTTGCCCAGGCTGGTCTTGAACTCCCGGCCTCAAGTGATCCTTCCTCCTCAACCTCCCAAAGTGCTGGGATTACAGGTATGAGCCACCATGCCTGGCCTTTAAACCTGACTTTTAAAAAATCTAAACTGACCTCCTAAGTGCAGGATCAGGTGGCTGTGGCAGCCCCTTCTACCTCCAGTGCTCCGTGCACTGAGGCTGCCTTTTCACCCAGCCCTGCCTTCCTCCATGCACCTGCCCCACCTCCACAGATCATGCCTCCCTCTCCTCTGCTCCTGCACAGCCCCATTGCCTGTCTCGAAAGCACCACAGGCGCCTGTCCATGGAAGGAAGCTTCCCAGGAGACAGTCAAGTGCAGCCCTTTGGATCTAGCAGAAGTCACAATGTCACGAGACACACACTTTATTTCCACTCCGCCTCTGAATCACTTCCCCTTGCTGTTTCCACATCAACAAGATGGAGAACGCAGCCCTTTCCTATCCCAAAGGCCTGCTGAGTGCAGCCACTTAACTAATTGGCAATGACCCTGCAGTCTCAGGGAGCTGGTCCTAGGTTTCTGGGCAAGGCTGTGCCCTGCTGGCTCCTCACAGTGCCCCCTCCCCAACCAGAGCCCTCTCAGCCCTCAGTTCCCGCAGGGCCAGCATTCTGCCTGCTCCAGGGCCCTCCAGTCCAGCATTTGCTAAATCACCTCCCTCCTCTCCAAGGCTTTCTCCCCATTACCTTGCGGAGGAAAGAACCAGAAAGGTTGTGATTATTGCCAGCTATAATTGAATGTAATACAAAACGCATTTGTTGAGACTTTACCACGTTTTCAGCTCCCCACCCCCGCACCCATTACCCACTGGGAGTCCCCCTGTTGCCAGCTCCTGCCAGCTCAGAGGCCAGCTGGCTTGGGGGGGTCTTGCGGGGCAGGAGGGGAGCAACAGGGATGCATTACCCTGGGCTTTCTTGCTAAAGGAACCTCTCCTCCCCTCAAAGCCTTTGATCCCTGCAGCTAGCCAGATTTTTCTTATCTCCTATTTGACTTCTGGGCTCCATTCTTCTCTTAGTTCTTCAAAAATTATACTCATTGTGCTCCTTACTTGCCAGGTCATGAATGCCTTTTGGCTGGAGTGTCTTCCTGTCTTCCCTCCTGTCTTCCTTCCTTCTTTCCTTCCTTCCCTCCCTCCCTCCTTTCTTCTTTCCTTCCTTCCCTCCTCTCTCTGCCTTCCTATGTTTCAGGAACCATAGCAGACCTGGAGCTATGAAGATAAACAGAAGAGGGAAGAAGGTCCCCATCTATTAGATCATAATCCAGTAAAAAGAAAAAAGATAAAACGGAACAAAACACACAAAAACAGCCACAGCCTGCTACGGTCTCTAATAGAACTCTAAGCATGGGACCAGATGATCACAGAAGAGAACCTGCCTACTGGGCCTCAGGATCTTAGGAAAAAGTGACCCAGAAAGATCAGGAAACCCCATGACATGCTGCCTGTAGGGCTGGTGAAGAGGGTGGGTGAGGGGTCATTGGGAAATGAGACCAGAAGGTGGCAATCTGCTAAGAAATTTTTGAACATCATCCATGGAAAAGCAGATTTTCATTTTAAAAATATAAATCTGGCACAAGGATACAGCACAGGTGTGAGCTGGAAGGCCACAGGGGCAGCGAGAATAAGTGCCTGGTGTGTGTGTGGCCACTGGCAATCTGAGAGAAGGATGCCTTGATTTGTAGCACTTGCCAATTTCTCTGGTGTAAATACTTTCATTGTGGCTGATTCCAAGCCACCAGCATGATGGCACTGAAAGGGGAGTTGGGGAGAAATGGACACCATTGGCTTGTGAGAGTTGGTTCCAGCACACCACTGTCTGAACAGCGACAGACTGGGCAAAAAGGGCAGATCTCAGGGTCCCTGGCCTCAAGCCACCTCTGACAGTTGATGTCCCACTTGTTGCCTGTAGTGGTGGCACCACCCAGTACTTCAAGACAACAATGTACAAGGTGCATGGGGGCATAGCATCTTACCATGTGCCCCTTCCTCCCAAGAGCTTCTTTTCTCTTACTCTCCAGTCCTCTGAAAGTTGTTATTTTCAAAACCACACTCTTTGTCATCTTTAACCCCAAACCAAGTTATCCTCCAACTTCTCCTCTTCAAATCATGATCTCAGCTTTTTCCTTCCCTCTCAACCTCCAACTCCTGCAAATCTCATGTCCCCCTCTGAGTGGGTCACAAAGTTGGTTGCTGAGCGGAGAAATTTGGTACCATGATGAATCAATGCTTCAATTTGTCTGAGTTCTTCCCCATTTTCTTGAGAGTTTAACAAGGAGGTCAGATGATAGCAGGTGAATTCCTAGTTGGTCAAATGGTTTCTTCTAAAGACTGCTAATCAAATGTCTGCATTAACCTGGATGGCAGACTGTTGTTTTAATTGTTCCTGTTCACGCCTTTTAATTGGGTATGAAGGAGCTTGTGGTTATTAAACAAGAAGCATCAAGTTGAGCACAGGATTGGGAGAGATTATGGCTTTAACAGAGGATCAAAAAAAGTTCTTGAAATCCTCACAGGCTGGTAAGTCATGCCAAGTTTAACAAAACGCAACTTGTGAAGTGGGATAAATGAGCCATTCTTCATGTAGATTTAAAAAAAAAAAAAAAGCCTTCCCCAGTCTAGGATGAGAAAGATGTGGTTTAGCAGTGGATGGATTAAAAAATAGGATTTAGGCTAACTGTAAATTCACTGTTAGTCACTATGATGTGGCTGCCAAAAAAAGTTAATGTAGTGTTGGGATTACCAGAAAACCCCTAAGAAACTATGGTGATTTCCCTCTGGGCTCTGCACACACGATCCCACCTCAGCAGTGAAAGCTGAGGGCCTGGGGTTTGAGAGGCCGTCTTCTAGGGCAAGGGCATTCAACAAGGCCCTATCACATGGTGCAGACCCCTAAAACCAAAGAGAGAGTGAGTCATGGGAACGCAGGATGGATTGCTGGTTTTGAACGGTTGTAGGACTGTCCCGTGAAAGATGGATCTGACTCCTTCATCCAAATCAACGTTAAGAAGAAATGTAACAGCTAGAGGAAGAGGAGCTTCACATTTGCATATCACATGCTGAATCTCCCTTCATAGCATTTGCACCCTTGCTACCTCACTGATATCTCCCAAGGCAGGCTGCTCTCCCATTTTGAGGATGAGGAAAAGCGACTGACTGAGCAGCTTGCCTGGGGTCCCCTTTCTTCAGTGGCAGAGATAAGACCAGAGCTCAGATTTTCCACTGTACCCCAACAAACACAGTCCACAGCCTACATCCCAGCAGTGAGTGACCCCCAACCTTCCCTCCACCCCTGATCTGAGCTTGGTCTCCACACATCAAGCTTATTTCTGTGCCAAAGAGTACAGCCCAGATGAACCTGCTTTTCTGATGTAGCCCCCAGAATTCTGCTCAAACACAAATTCCTCATACATGTATGGAAAGGAATGCAGACTTTTGACATGTTAATATGTATATAGTCATGGATATGTAGGACTTGATTAAGGTATATTTTATGATACATGTAATAAACAGAAAAAAAAGTAGGTGATTAAAAAAAAAAAAACCTCAGGTACTTTTTTTAACTAGAAAGTATAAACCCAAGTCTAACTGTACAGATGTAGCCCACCATCTCTCAACACCTTAAAACCAACAAAACCATTGTCTTGAACAAGCTTCACCTGCCAACCCCCTAGTCTGCCACTCTTTGCAAACCTAGTATACGCCAAACATTTGCTTTATGTAAACAGACCTCAAAACCATTCAACATGACCGAGCCCCAATCTGTAGATGTATTTAGTTTTCATTTTAATGCAAATTGGATAAAACAGCAATTTTAATGCCCCTTCAAGCAAACAGGATGCCACCTGTGTGTGAAAAGACTTGAGAAAATTAAAAATAGACAGAAAAGCCCTCAGCAGTTGAAAATGCTAATAAAAACAACTTTAAGGAACCACCATAAACCTATTAAACAAGCCAAGTTACCTAGGGAAAAAAAAGAAAAACTTATGTTCATGGACTTGAAATGAACTAGTACAATTGCCAATTACTCAGAACTGGCTTTCTGAAGCAAGGAAGTTAAATACAAAATAACTCACATGTGTTGATCTTGCTACCCAACGTTGGGAAACATACCGCATCTATCCAAGGCGAGGGGTGTGAAGCATTTGCACAAAGATGTTCCTAGCTGTACTATTTATAGTAGTGAAATAATGAGAATCAAAACAAAATGCTCAGGGGGAAGTCGGAGCACTAGCAATAATGAAAAACTATGATAAAAATATGAGTAGTGCATGAAAAGATTTATATAAAAATGTTAAGTGACAGAGAATGAAATTTACATACTGATTAGAACTACATAAAAACACAATCCACATTTAGAACTGCATGCAGTTAAAGATCTTAAGTTACATCAGTTATAATATTGTTATTTTGGTTAAATATATTTTAGAAATGTGTAAAGTCTATTGCACAAGGATAAAAACTGGACCTCTCTCCTATGCATCAATCTCTATCTCCTCCTCGGATACTGTCTTTTTTTTTTTTTTTTTTTGAGACGGAATCTCACTTTGTCACCCAGGCTGGAGTGCAGTGACATGATCTTGGCTCACTGCAAACTCTGCCTCCCGGGTTCAAGTGATTCTCATGCCTCAGCCTCCCGAGTAGCTGGGATTATAGGTGCCCGCCCCCATACCCAGCTATTTTTTGTATTTTTAGTAGAGAGGAGGTTTCACCATGTTGGCCAGGCTGGTCTTGAACTCCTGGCCTCAAGTGATCAGCCCACCTCAGCCTCTCAAAGTGCTGGGATTACAGGCATGGGCCATCGCGCCCGGCCCTGATACAGTTTTATTTTCTGTACTCTCCACATGGCCCACAGAGAGGGGCTGAGCTTCTTACCACCAAGCTAGATGAGGAAGCAACCAGGCCCCTGAAATTCACCTAGATTTCTGGATCCTATCCAAAATCAGGCTTGGGTTAAATAGGATAGACAGATATCTCAATGAAATGTGACAAGAGAAGAGATGCCTAGGATTACAGAAAGTTATCGCCAACTCTGAACAGTTCTCCAAGAGCCCAGAGTGTCTGGCAGTGCCTTGAGGTCCTTTGCCACCCCATGATCATGATTTCCTCTCCAGCCCTGAGACCTTGAGCATTCGTCCTCTTCCTCCAGCTCTCCATGCCAAAGGGCTCACTTCTGAGAAACAGCAGCAGGTAACAGAGTGCTTCCGTAGCCCAACCCTGGGCTAGCACTTTCCATGCACAATGAGCCCAGTCCATCCTAAGAAAAACCCAAAAGCTAGGTACCATTACCCCCTGTCCCATGGATGAGGTCTCCGAGGATGAGCAGAGTAACTTCCCAAAGGCCACACAGCAAGTCGAGAGCAGAACTGTGATTTGAGTGGAGTCAGAAGGGGCTACAGGTGTGGGCTCTTTACCGCTATGCCCTGCAGTGATGAAGATTCTGGCTATAATTCAGAGTACAGACCTACCTAAGAAGGAGGCCTCATTCCATAGACACCCCCAGAGTAAGGTCCTCTGGGGCTCTGGGTTCTAATGGTAAAACGTTGCTGTTAGATGAGAAACAACCTCAGACAGCGCTTGGTCCCTGGGTTCTTCACCCTGTTTACATGCATGTTGGCATCGCTGGAATATATAGTGTAAATATCTCTAAGCCTTAACCTGACCTAGTGCATGGAGACCATGGGGGTTGGGGCCTAGCCATCTGTATTTCTCCATAACATCTCAGGTGATTCTTTATAAAATATTTTAAACTGAAATTGTATATATTTGAGCTGTATAGCAAGTTGATTATTATAGTCAAGCTAATTAGCATATTCATCTCCACACAGTTACCTTTTCTTGTGTTTGTAGTGAAAACACTTAAGATCTATTCTCTAGGAAGCCCTAATCAGTGCAATTAGGCAAGAGAAAGAAATGAAAGGCATTCAAGTTGGAAAAGAGGAAGTCAAATTGTTCCTCTTTGCAGATGACATGATTTTATATAAAGAAACACCTAAAGACTCCACCAAAAATTGTTTAGAGTTGATAAACAAATTTGATAAAGTTGCAGGATATAAAATCAACATATAAAAACCAGTTCTGTATACTTATAACCAACTAGCTAAAAAATAAATAGAAAAAGTAATCTTGGCTGGGCACAGTGGCTCATGCCTGTCATCCCAACATTTTGCAAGGCTGAGGCAGGAGGATTGCTTGAGTCCAGGAGTTTGAGACCAGCCTGCACAAATAGGGAGACCATGTTTCTACAAAACATTTAAAAATTTGCCAGGTGTTGGGCCGGTCATGGTGGCTCATGCCTGTAATCCCAGCACTTTGGGAGGCCGAGGCAGGAGGATCACCTGAGGTCGGGAGTTCGAGATCAGCCTGACCAACATGGAGAAACCCTGTCTCTACTAAAAATACAAAAAATTAGCTGGGCATGGTGGCTCATGCCTGTAATCCCAGCTACTCGGGAGGCTGAGGCAGGAGAATCGCTTGAACCTGGGAGGCGAAGGTTGTGGTGAGCCGAGATCACACCATTGCACTCCAGCCTGGGCAACAGGAGTGAAACTCTGTCTCAAAAAAAAAAAAATTAGCCAGGTGTGGTGGTGCACACCTGTGGCCCCAGCTACTCAGAAGGTTGAGGTGGGAGGATCAGTTGAGCCCAGGAGGTCAAGAATGCAGTGAGCTATGATGGTGCCAATGTACTCCAGCCTGGGCAACAGAGTGAGACCTTATCTAAAACAAAACTAAACAATCTCATTTATGATAACTACAAAAATCATAATAAAATAACTGGGAATAATTTTAATAAGAGAGGATATTTTTTAACCAAGAAAGACCTTTATGATGGAAACTATAAAACACTGATGAAAGAAACAGAGGAGGCCAGGCGCGGTGGCTCACACCTGTAATCCCAGCACTTTGGGAGGTCAAGGTGGGCAGATCACGAGGTCAGGAGCTCGAGACCAGCCATTTCGAGACCAGCCTGGCCAACGTGGTGACACCCCGTCTCTACTAAAAATACAAAAATTATCCAGGCCTGGTGGCACGTGCCTGTAATCCCAGATACTTGGGAGGCTGAGACAGGAGAATTGCTTGAACCAGGAGGCAGAAGTTGCAGTGAGCCACGATTGCACCACAGCACTCCAGCTTGGGTGACAGAACAAGACTCCATCTCGGCGTGTGTTGGGAGAGTGGGGGGGTGGGAAGAATTAGAAGAGGACACACACACAAAATGGAAAAATGTTCCATGTTCATGGATTGGAATAATTAATATTGTTAAAATGACCATACTACCTAAAGCGCTCTACGAATTCCATGCAACCCCCATCAAAAGACCAATGATATTCTTCACAGAAATATGATAGAAAAGACAATCTTAAAGTTCATGTAGAATCAAAAAATACCCCAAATAGCCAAAGCAATTCTGAGCAAAAAGAGCAAAGCTGGAGGCATCACACTACCTGATTTCAAAAATACTACAAAGCTAAAGTAACCAAAATAGCATGGTACTGATATAAAAACAGACACACAGACAAATGAAACAGAATAGAGAACCCAGAAATACATCCACATATTTATAGCTAACTGATTTTCAACAAAGATGCCAAGAACATACATTGGGAAAAAGACAGTGTTTTCAATAAATGGTGCTGAAAAATCTGAATAACCATATGCAGAAGAATGAAACTAGATCCCTATCTCTCACTATACATGAAATCAACTCAGAATAAGGACTAAAATGTGAGATTCAAAACTATAAAACTACTAGAAGAAAGCAGGGTAAATCCTTCGGGACATTGGTCTGGGCAAATATTTTGCAGGTAAGACTTCAAAAACACAGGTAACAGAAGCAAAAATAGGCACATGGGATTAAAAAAAAAAACAGAGACAGCATCTCACTATGTTGCCCAGGCTTATCTTGAACTCCTGGCTTCAAGCAATCCTCCTGTCTTGACCTCCCAATGACAAATGGGATTGTATCAAGCTACAAGCTTCTGCACAGCAAAGGAAACAACTGACAGAGTGGACCAGGCAACCTGTAGAATGGGAGAAAATATGTGAAAACCGTTCATCCAACAAGGGACTGATATCCAGGATACATGAGGAACTCAAACAACTCAATGGTAAATAATAATAATTTTTTTTTAATGAGCAAAGTATCTGAAAGGACATTTCTCAAAAGAAGACATATAACCAGGTGTGGTGGCTCACACCTATAATCCCAGCACTTTGGAAGGCCAAGGTGGATGGATGACTTGAGGACAGGAGTTCAAGACCAGCCTGGCCAACATGGGGAAAGCCCCTCTCTATTAAAAATTCAAAAATTAGCTGGGCATGGTGGTGCACCTGTAATCCTAGCTACTCCAATGGCCGAGGCACGAGAATCATTGGAACCCAGGAGGCAAAGGTTGCAGTGAGCCGAGATCATGCCACTGCATTCCAGCCTGGGCAACAGAGTGAGACTCCGTCTCAGAAAAACAAAGAAGACATAGAAATGGCCAACAGATAAATGAAAATATGCTCGATATCACTAATCATAAGGGAAATATGAATCAAAACTACAATGAGATAGCATCTCACCCAGTTAGAATGGCTATTATCAAAAAGACAAAAAATAACAAATGCTGGTGAGGATGTTGAGAAAAGAGAACTCCTAAACGCTATTGGTGGGAATGTAAATTAGTATAACCATTACGGGGAACCGTATGGAGATTCCTCAAAAAAACTACAAATAGAACTAGAACTACCATATGATCTAGCAATCCCACTACTAGGGATTTTTTCCAGAGGAAATTAAATCATTATGTCAAAGAGATATCTGCACGTCCACATTGATTGCAGCACTACTCACAATAGCCAAAACAGGAAATCAACCGAAGTGCCCATCAACAGATGGAGTGCTATTTAGCCATGAAAAAGAATAAAATCTTGTCATTCACAACAACATGGATGAGCCTGGAGGATGTTATGTTAAGTGAAATAAGTCAGGCACAGAAAGAGAAATACTATATTTTCTCACCCATAGGTGGGAGCTAAAAAAGTTGAGCTCACAGAAGTAGACAGAATCGTGGTTATAATAGGCTGGGAAGGGCAGGGTGGAAGGTGGATGGAGAGAGGTTGGTTAATGGATACCAAATTAAAGCTAGATAGGAGGACTAAGTGCTAATGTTCTGTAGCTCTGTAGGGTGACTAGAGTCAATAATTTATTGTATATTTTTAAATAGAAGAGAGGATTCTGGATATTCCCAACACAAAGAAATGATAAATGCTTTCCATGATGAATATGGTAATTACTCTGATTTGATTATTACACAGAGTATACATGTATTCAAATATCATTCTGTACCCCATAAATATGTACAGTTATTATGCATAAATTTAAAAAATTACTAAAATTAAAAAAATCAACTCTCTTAGCCAATCTGAAGTATCTAATACAGCATACTTAGGTACAGTCACCATGCTGTGCATTAGATCTCTGGGACTTACTCATTCTACGTAAATAACTTTGTCCCCTTTGACCAACACCTCCCTCTTTCCCCACCTTCCTAACATCTCAGGTGATTCTGGTACCCACCCGGTGAGGCTGAAGAATGGCTGGCTTGGCCCTCAACTCACTGTGAGAACTGAATCGAGAGAGACTTACTACATGGTGAGGCCTCTCCACTGGGACCCAGGTCTCCCAGTTCCCAGGCTGCAGGCCTCCCTCCCAGGGCGGAGCTCGGCAAACATTTGGTGCCACGATGGATCTCAGGGAGTGACAAGTCTCAAAGGCAGGCCCTTCCTGGGTGTCTCTGAGTCTCTTATTTTAGAGCAGAGTTGTGGTTTCAGTTTTAGTTTCTTGTCGTTACCCAAGCCCTTTATTGGGAAAAAAGGCGCTTGGGTAAAAAGAGAAAAAAAAAATAGGTGTTTTCAATCATTCAGCGTTCAGAAAATTTGGGGGAACTTTGGCCTTTAAAATTCCAGCCACGAGGCTTCCAAAGTAGGGAAACCCTGCATGTGGTAGCGAGAAATCCCCCTGCAGGCAGCTCTTCTCTGGCAAGTCTCCCCTGGCACAACTCACATGGTAGCAGGAGTTTTCCTCCCTGGTGAAAAACATCAAATAAAATACAAAGGGAAAACCCAGCTGAAAATTTCCTGAGCAAGGTCACAAAATGACTGCTATCCTTTCAGAAGAAAGGTAGGAGAAAAAGGTCTCAGGGATCCAAAATCAGACATGAACACAGCACCAGGAAGCCAGGGCTGGGCAGAGAAAGACGTGACCCCGAGAGTCTCCTGTGGATCATGATGTGAGTAGCAAGTCCCTGAGAATAGGAGCTTATGGACAGAAAGCTCAGCAATGTGTCGTCCAAACAATAATAAACAACAATAACAAAAACAACATCAAAAAAGCACAGGGCCAGGTGCAGTGGCTCATGCCTGTAATCCCAGCACTTTGGGATGCCAAGGCGGGCAGATTGCCTGAACTCAGGAGTTCGAAACCACCCTGGGCAACATGGTGAAACCCCGTCTCTACTAAAATACAAAAAAATTAGCTGGGCATGGTGACGGGAGCCTATAATCCCAGTTACTCAAGAGGCTGAGGTGGGAGAATCGCTTGAGCCCAGGAGGCAGAGGTTGCAGTGAGCCAAGATCACGCCATTGCAGTCCAGTTTTTTTAGATACCATCTCAAAAATAAAATGCACAGATTTTTCCCTGCGATGCTGTTCTCACCTGGATGGAGAGACTCACTCGTAAATTAACTTGCATGTGCTAAAAGGTAAGTAATGAGGAGACTACTTAGGCATATTCAATTAAGGGAATATGAAGATTCCAGAGATTATATGCAAATTATCTATGGAAATGTGCTCCTATGGTTACAGCTGAGTTGTACACTGAAGGAAAACAGAGAAATTAAAACAGCTGTGGTAGGCTGGGTGTGGTGGCTCACGCCTGTAATCCTAGCACTTTGGGAGGCCGAGGTAGGTAGATCACTTGAGCCCAGAAGTTTGAGACCAGCCTGGGCCACAGGCAAGACTCCTATCTCTACAAAAAATTTTTAAAAAGACCCCGGCATGGTGGCATGTGCCTGTAGTCCCAGCTACCCAGGTGGGTGAGGTGGCCTAGGAGTTCAAAGCTCAGTGAGCTATGACTGTGCCATTGCACTCCAGCCTGGGCGACAGAATGAGACCCTGTCTCCAAAAGCAAACAAAAAACAGTGGTTGCAGAGAGGAAATTAAATGTTCCCTTTTAATGTTGGTTTGATTTCCATGATACATCTAAAGACTCACTTCGGCTACCTCTTTAAATACATTAGACCTAAGCCTGAAAAGAATGAGAAGCCTGCGACCTACTTCCAGCTCCCAAGCACTGACATTCCCCATGCAGCCACGTTGGGAACAGGGCAGTCAGAATCCTGAATCCTGGGTTTCATCTCTATAAAAATCGGGCATCCAGCTCCCCCGTGTCGGATGTGAGTCTATGTTTGGCATAACGGTGCCGGGGCCCTTTCTTCCTTTAGCTCTTTGTTCATTGAGGTTTCTGAAGCACACAGGAAGTCAGAAAAAAGAACAGCAACCCACTTCTCCACAGCCTCACCACAGACAAGAGGCAGCAGGGAGGAGACAGCCAGTGAGGAGGGGAACTGTGTGCTGCTCTCCCCTAGCTCCACTTGGGGTGGGGGATAAGATGAAGCAGGTGGGAGTAGAGTGTGGGGGTTATGTCTACACCCCAGTTTTCAGGAGCCCCAGAAGGAACCAAGTTCTACTTTTCTGCTTCTATTGACAGAATATTCTGATTGCCTTGTGTACACACACACACACACACACACACACACACACACACACACACACACACAGATAAGCTGTAAGATTTTATACTCTTGAATCATGTGCAACTTAAACCCCAGAGCAACACTCGGATAACTTGGAGACATCACCTTATCTATCTGACCTCAGCTTTTCTCATCTAAAAAGTGAGGGGATTAGGTGAGGGGATTAGGTGAGAGGGACGTTCTTCCAACAGTCTTGCATATGAATATTTCATACTGTTTAAAGTGATCGTTCAGCTCCTGAAGTGGTTTATTTCTTCATTGTTTGGCTGAAAATACTTCCATATTTGCAGAACCCCCCTGAATCCCTCACCATAGCCCAAGATTCCTTAAGGTCTGGGCTAAAGCCCCTGGACTAGATTTGATGCTTCCAGGATCATTGTCTTGGTCTATAATTCTGGGAGCTAAACTCGTTAGCTACAAGGAGAGACCTTGGTTGTTGAGGGAGATATGAGACAGTGGAGGGAAGAAAAGGTGAGGGAGAGAAAAGCAGAAAGAAAGAAAAAGATAGAAGGAGATATTGATAAAAGAGAAAAGTAACAACTAAGATTGTAAACTCACCAATGGCAGGAACCAAAGCTAAAGGGAATGTCAGATAATTTGTTTTTACTTCCCTCGTTTTTACAAGTGAGGGAACCAAAGGTAGGGATGTTCCCTTCCCCAAAGTAAATGCCCTGGGGTGTGCTAGCTTTCAAGTAATCCCTTGAGGACTGACTATGCAGGTGATGCCAGGAATAGTGTTAAGTAGGGGAGGAGGTTTACATTTTCCAGAACCTTCTCCACCTGCACTCAACACCTCCTAATCTTTACCTGTGAACTGTGCTCTTGGGGGAGGCTCCTTCCAGCTAGAGATAATGTGCCCACCTGTTTAGAAATGGAGTCTCCATTTTAATGTAATGGCGCCCTTCAGTAAAAATACCCTCCCGTGACACAGGCAGTGCATGTGACAGAGAGCTCACAGTGTACTAGCTCTTTGTCTTCTCTCCTGCCTCCGGAGGTGGCCCTGGCCCCTTTACAGGAAGGAGACACTGGCTCAGAAAGGGTTAAGACCACACTCAGCTGGAGACAGAATCAGGACTAGAACTAAGACCTCCCCATGGCAGCCAAAGAAGGATGCCAGGTGTGCAAAGTTCTTATCACACTGGCATGAAACAAGCACATTTCTGGAGCTCTGTCATGGCCCAGTCTAATCATCTGGGACAAATCCTGTTACCTCCCTGAATCTCAGTGTACGTGCCCATAAAATTGGGCATGTTAGCACTATCTTTCCCAGAACTGTTGTGAACATGAGTAAAAATAATATCCATCATGTACGTGGTAAACTACACATACCCAACACTGAGTGTTGGCCGTGATCACAGATCACCCAAGTTCCTCTGGTTCCTTCAAGCATCTGCATATTTCAATGACAGGCGCCCCTTTTGGCAAAAACAACCTATCTATTCCATTTCTGGTTGGTTTTCAGTACCAAAGAGGTCTTTCCTAGGATATGTTAAAGGAGTTTTTCTACACCTTTTACCCGCAGGGGGCAGCTCTGCCTCTGGAGCTGTGAGACACAAGTTGCACCCTCCTCACTCCCACTTTGCACAGCGAGTCTCTGGTTCTAAACGCAGGAGTGAAAATGTTATAGGAAAGGGGTCCCGATCCAGACCCCAAGAGAAGTTTCTTGAATCTCACACAAGAAAGAATTGAGGGTGAGTCCATAAAGTGAAAGCAAGTTTATTAAGAAAGTAAAGGAATAAGAGAATGGCTACTCCATAGACACAGCAGTCTTGAAGGCTGCTGTTTGCCCATTTTTATAGTTATTTCTTGATGACATGCTAAACAAAGGGTGGATTATTCATGCCTCCCCTTTTTAGACCAGAAATTTTAGATCAGGGTAATTTCCTGACATTTCTATGGCATTTGTAAACTGTCGTGGCACTGGTGGGAGTGTAGCAGTGAGGATGACCAGAGGACACTCTCATCGCCATCTTGATTTTGGTAGGTTTTGGCCGGCTTCTTTACTGTAACCTGTTTTATCAGCAAGGTCTTTATGACCTGTATCTTGTGCTGACTTCCTATCTCACCCTGTGACTTAGAATGCCTTCATCATCTGGGAATGCAACACAATAGGTCTCAGCCTCATTTTACCTAGCTCCTGTTTAAGATGGAGTTGCTCTGGTTCACATGCCTCTGACAAAAAGAAACATGAGGGTTTGTGTGGTTCAAGATCATTCCAGTCCAGGCCCACCTGCTGCTCAGACACATTTTAGTCCCAACCTCAAGAAGCCCACAGGAATCAATTTGGACAAGATCTGCTGACACCAGTGATGATCACCAGAAGTCTCCAAAGACTGCTCCCTCCCAGAACGGCCAATGGCACTAGTTGGGGTGGGGGCAGCCAAGCCTATTGGTCCTGCCCAGATTGGCCTGGCCTGAACCCACTCTACAGCTCCCTGTTGTCTGGGTCTAGGTCTTGGGTTCTGAGGACTTTAGACCTGAATGGGCTTTGAAGGTCAAGCACCCCTGGACTCTCTCCCATGGCTTTACAGCCCACACCTGGGGCTCCTGTCTGATGCTTCGTCCACTCTGAGCTCTGGTCTCTGCTCAGCCTCAAGCTGAGGTGGCAACCACAAACCTCTTCATCCCACAGCACGGCTGAGCAGACTAACCTCCCACTCTTGGGTTCTATTCTCGGCTGTCAACATTGGCATCATGTGTCAAGTGCCTAATTGCATGGCCGTGTGCCTGGTGAGGGGAATGAAGGCTCCAGAACACAGGGTACCCTGCTCACCAGTGCAGCCCACGGCTCTTCTGAGAACAAACAGGTCGTACAGGCAGAATACTAAACCAGACATAAGTGGACATGGCACGCTTCTATATAGCTGGGGGCACCCGTGCATAACTGGGGAGGAGGGAGGTGCCCACTCGGGGAGAGGCACATGGGACAGGGAAAGAACACGGCCCCCGGAGGCAGGAGACGTGGGGTCTGGTTCTCAGCCCTTCACTACCTAGTAGCTTATGACCAGGAGGCAGTCAATGAGAGCACTGTAGGATTTAACACTGGAAGGGTCTGGTGGATTCTAGGACCTGGATGTTCCTCGAGGGAAACACATATGTTCTGCCCTGGATCTACAGGTCAGAACTAGTGGGTGGGGCAAAGGGATCTTTATTTGAACAGAAATGATGATGGCATGCTTTGGAAATGACTGGATGACCACTGGGAAGGGTGATACCAGAGAGGAAAACTCAACTGCCCAAGTCAGACACTTGGTTCAGGGCAAAGCTGAGACCAGATTGAGGTCTCCTCATCCCAGGCTACATCCTGGCCCTAAGACCTTAGGCTCTGAGTTCCCTACATGTCAAGGACAGGGTAAGGGGACTCAGGAGGGCCTCACTGGTCTGGCAGGGACTGTGCTACTGCCCACATCTTCCTTCTGCCCCAGAAACTCCCTATGCTGCAGCCTTGGCACTCCTGAGCCCATGTCCTCCTCATGATTGTGAGATCACATGGATGAAGATGTCATGCCACTCCCATCAGCCCCTTCCAGCCTCACAGGATGGTGGGAAAGCCTTGAGTTCCAGTCCCCACTTTATAATCCATCATGAGACTAATCAAGTTGGTTCAGCTCTTTGGACTCAGGTCCCTTCTGTTCAAAGAGAAGATAAGGCTGAACTCCCAAGTCATTTCCAGCTCACTATGCTATTAGATTTACAGCATCTCAAGGCTGAAAGGAATTGCAGACATCACATAGTGCAGTGCTTTGCATCTGGTGCACTTGGGCAAACTGATCCCCTCAGCTCTCAAGGGCATGTGGGCCAGGCTTTGTAATAACCACGTTTTCTGGTTTCTACATTTGATGCTTTGACATGGGGCCCCACTGACCCTGGAGGGACTGCTTCTCCCAGAGCCAGCCAGTTTCTGACAGCTGCCTTTCATATATGCAAACCAACCCATCCAGAGCCCACACTCGCAACTGCCTCCTGTCACACTCACACTGGAGGCCACTATCCAACTGTCCTAATCACCCCAGAGTAGGTACCAGGTAACTGGGGACAGTGCCTATGTGAGAGCCCAGAGCCTGCTGAAATTATTCACGTGAGCCAATCCTAAACCTGCTATGCTGTTTCATGTTCCTTCCCACAGAAATCACAATAAATGCTCCTGCTTACATTTTTTCTTACTCTCTCTGCCTCCTGACCCACCTGTGCTGCCCCACGGGGCCCTATGTGGTGTGCTGGGACTCCTGTTGTGAGGGGTCTGTGAATGCGAACTTCTTCCTTCATGACAGTCATCTCTGCATCTGCATGTCCTACCATACTGGATTAAAACAGATCCCAAGTATCCTCAAAACAGGCCACTCATGGTTTGAACCTTTAGGCTTAAATGCAGTCCCCTTTGGGGTTTCAAATCCCTGCCAGTCTACTTTGTGTGCCCTGCAAATACTTCTATTGTCTATGTGCACTGCACATGAAAAAGACTTAGAAGCCCCAATGTGCAGCCCCTGCTGCCCCTCAGCCTCAGGATTTACCACCTATGTATCAGCGTTCCCACTTCCAAGGAGCTCTCCTTGGTGGTAAAGCCTACATTATACTCACTGCAAGCCTGCTTTCTCACTGCTTTGGTCTCTGCTTGGACTTCTGCCCTCTGGGGACATGCAGGGTTGGTTCGATCCCTCCTCCTTGCAATGTCTCTTCAGCTTTTTACAAGCAGCAGCTCTGGGTTCCCTAGAGGCTTTTCTTCTCCCACCAAACACCTCCTGTTCAAGAGGCGTATTTTTCACTATTCTGTGGCTCTAGAAGATCCCATCCCAAGGCTCTTCTCTCAGGGCCTCTCCTGCTTTAAACCAGAAGGAGAAGACACCCTGCCCTGAAAAGATGCCTGACCTCCATATGACCACTGCTGGTTTTTCATGAGAGTTTTAATGTGAAATCTCCAATTTTTTTTAAAAAAAATTTATTTTAGAAACAGAGTCTTGCTGTGTCACCCAGGCTAGAGTGCAGTAGTGTGATCATAGCTCATTGTAACCTCCAACTTCTGGCCTCAAGTGATTCTCCTGCCTCAGCCCCCCAAGCAGCTAGAACTATAGGTGTGTGCCACCACACCCAGCTCTAAGTTTTAAATGTCGGGATAAACTTACACAATATAGAGGCAGGGAGGAGCAACGGGTCCTCTCCTAGCTGCTTGCCCAAGGCCAATTCTCTCCAGTTGTTTAGCTACTTTCTAGTTGGAGGGGGAAGAGTTTTCCCACCACTACCCAAGTCCCCTCCCCAGGCAAAGAACTATGTGAAGACTCTGGTCAGGGAGAACACTTTAGACAGCAGCTTGTTGGAGAAGTCTGTGTGGGGACTAGGGAGTAAGATGTCTGATGTGTGCTTTGAACACAGACTCATGCTGCCTCCCTGCTGTGCTCCCACAGAGAGAACACAGCATGCTGCTGCCATGGGCTCCCCACTGTGGCAGGGGCAGGACCCTGATGTTTAGGCCTGGGTGTCTTTTCTCCAAAAGCAGCAGCAGTGGTAACTTGCATGAGTGAAGCCCATCAGGCATGGCTGGTGGAGCCTAAGCCGATAGGCCAGTGGGTATCTGGGCTAAGGGGGCAGCTGTGGCTTGGGTTCAGCTGATGCTTGCCTTATGAGAATGGATGCTTGACCTCTATGTGGCCACTTCTAGTCTTTCAAGAGAAGACTTGAAGTGGCCACATAGACTTTGGAAATGTCTATGTGGAAATTTAGACTTTGTATATGAACTCTCTAATCTTTAAATGCTAGTGCAGATTTGCAAAACAGTATAAGCTAACAAAAACACATCTTTGGACTGGATCAAGTTCCAGGACCACTAGTTTGCATCCTCTGTCCCAACCTCAGCTAGGGTTACCCTTCCCTCCAGAACAGGGTGGTTGCCAGCACAGCCCAGGTGTCCTCAGCTCTCCTCTAGGCTATCTCAACTATGATGTCCTCTGGCCATTGCTCCCTGTCATGGTTAATTTTCTGTATCAACTTGACTGGGCTATGGAGTACCCAGATATTTGGTTGAACATTATTCTGGGTGAGTCTGTCAGGGTGCTTTTGCATGAGATTAGCTTTTGAGTTGGTAGACTGAGTAAAGTGGATCGACCTCCCTAACGAGAATGGGCCTCATACAATCAGTTAAAGGCCTAAATAGAACAAAAGGCTGACCCCCCTGCTGAGTAAGAAGGAATTCCTCCTGCCTGAGGACCCTCCAACTGGGACACCAGCTTCTTCTTGCCTTCAGAATCAAACTGAAACATTAACTCTTCCTGGGTCTTGAGCCTGCCGACTGCAGATCTTGGGACTAGCCAGTCTCCATACTCCTGTGTGCCAATTCCTTATAATAAATCTCTTTATAGACATCTCTACATCTTGTCTGTTCTGTTTCTCTGGGGAACTTGGACTAATACACTCCCTTTAATTAAAAGACAGTTACGCCTTTGAGGAAGAAACTGAAGATTTTATCAAATGAAACTCCTCTTCTGGCTCACTGACCACATTTATATCATATTTCTAGTGTTGAATATAGTCACAATAGCAACTACTGTTTATCAAGTGCTTTGTATGTATCAGGCATGGGGTTAAGCAATGCATATATGCTTTCTTATGCAATCCACATAACACCCTGTTCCCCTTGCAGAACATATGAGTGTCCCTAGCTCAAGCGTCATATTGGTACTTCCCAGGCCATGCGCCTCTGCCTGGATCGGTGCCTGGCACACACGAGGTGCTCAGTAGATTACTCCTGAAATCAGGAAGTGAACTCTTCTTTAAAATAGATTCTGTTGGCCAGGCATGGTGGCTAATGCCTGAAATCTCAGCACTTTGAAGGGCCAAGGTAGGCAGACCACCTGAGGTCAGGAGTTCGAGACCAGCCTGGCCAACATGGTGAAATCCTATCTCTACTAAAAATACAAAAATTAGCAGGGCATGGTGGTGCATGCCTGTAATACCAGCTACTTGGGATGCCGAGGCAGGAGAATTGCTTGAACTCAGAGGGCGGAGGTTGCAGTGAGCCAAGACTGTGCCACTGCACTCCAGCCTGGATGACAGAGTGAGACTCTGTCTCAAAATATATATATATATATAAATAATAAAAATAGATTCTGTTTATATTCCCATATTACAGATGAGAAAATGGAATCTCAAGAACAATAAATAACCAGCCCAAGGTAACAGAGCTAAGAAATGGTAGAGCTGAGACATACCTCCAAGTCCCTTGAGTTCAAAACTCACATTCTTCACGCTATGCCCATTCCCAGTGTGCATGGAAGAACCAGGCCCACCTCCAGCCGCCGACCTTGGCATTCACAACACAACTCTCTCAGCCGGCAAGAATGCCCTCTGTGTAGCTCCCTCAATGCTCAGCAAGCCCAAGCTACCCCCAGGCTGACAGCTTTACTCCTGGACATTCCACTGGGGCTTATAAAGACTAACTTGGGGCCAGATGTGTTGGCTCATGCCTGTAATCCCAGCGTTTGGGAGGCTGAGGCGGGTGTATCACTTGAGGCCAGGAGTTTGAGACCAACTGGCCAACATAGCAAAACCTGGTCTCTACTAAAAATATAAAAATTAGCTAGGTGTGGTGGCGAGCACCTGTAGCCCCATCTTCTTGGGAGGCTGAGGTGGAAGGATCATTTGAACCCAGGAGGCAGAGGCTGCAGTAAGCCGAGACTGCACCACTGCTCTCCAGCCTGGGCAACTCTGCCTCAAAAAAAAATAAAAATAAACTAAAAAGACTAACTTGAGAGTCTCACCACAGTTTTCTCTTTAAAAATAAGAGAAAACCAAGAGAGGAAACCCACTGAAGTCTCAGATCATCCTCTTTTCATCATAGAGTTGCTTTCAGGTAACAGGGGGAAAAAGGTCTGATGCACAGGCTGAGAAGTGAGACCACGGAGCAAGATGAGGCTGACCACACTTGGGCCTGGGTAGAAGGTCGTGAGGCAACATACCCAGTTTCCAGGAACTCCCTGTCCTTGCATTCTGCATTGCTCTTGAGTCTCATGTGGATGAAGCTACACAGCAGATCAGCAGATAGAGGATGGGTGGTGAGTGGAGTTAGGCATATTTTACAAAAGGGAAATCATACCAACCACAGGTAAGGGACAAGAGAGGGAAAGGATGAAGGCCGTAACGGAAGGGCTCTGGATAGACCACAGAGGAGGTGAGTGATATGCCTGGGCCTTCACACACTGTCAGACTTACTGGTTTACAAAAGAGTAAGCTAATAACGTGGTCTTGAATGTGGCCACATATACATGTCTCTTCATTTGCTCCTTAATGATTAAACCTTCCCACCCTCTGGTATCCGGAAAGCATCTCTGATTGCCCTGTTCTTCCTAGAAGCCATCTCAGTCCATAAATCCACTGGGTAGTGCACATCTGCTTTGTCCAAGACAAACAATGGTCTGATTTCTCTGTCTCTTGCAGCATCGAGCTCCCTTTCACTGATTTCAATACAACACAGCTGTTCTGATAATGATATAGCCAGGTACGAGGAAAACTGCACAGAGTGTTATGGCTCCTACCTGAACTCCCAAGAGCTCTGAGACCCTGAGCCCAACACATCTTCAATGGAGACCTCAGTTGCCTCATTGAAGCAGAATGCTGGACCAGCTCTGATAATCTCTGACTTAAGTTCTTTCTTTCTTTTTTGAGATGGAGTCTCACTCTGTCACCCAGGCTGGAGTGCAGTGGTGTGATCTCAGCTCACTGCAACCTCCGCCTCCTGAGCTCAAGCTATTCTCCTGCCTCAGCCTTCCGAGTAGCTGGGATTACAGGCACATGCCACCATGCTTTGCTAGTTTTTCTATATTTTTAGTAGAGAGGGGGTTTTGCCATGTTGGCCAGGCTGGTCTCAAACTCCTGCCCTCAGGTGATCCACCTGCCTTGGCCTCTCAAAGTGCTGGGATTACGGGCATGAGCTACCACACTCAGCCTTGACTTAAGTTCTTTTGTTTTTGAGATGGAGTCTCACTCTGTCACCCAGGCTGAAGTACAGTGGCACGATCTCGGCTCACTGCAGCCTCTGCCTCTTGGATTCAAGCAGTTCTCCTGCCTCAGCCTCCCCAGTAGCTGGGACAAAAGGCACCCACCACCACGCCTGGCTAATTTTTGTATTTTTAGTAGAGATGGGGTTTTACCATGTTGGCCAGGCTGGTCTCGAACTCCTGATCTCAGGTGATCCACCCTCCTCGGCCTCCCAAAGTGCTGGAATTATAGGCGTGAGTCACCACACTAAGCCTTAAGTTCTTAATACATGAACTCCTGTGTCACTTGGCATTGGGTTCTTTGCAGATAGAAACCCCTGGATCCCCCAGGCCCAGCACAGGGCCTGGTCATCTCAGGTCCCCCTACATGCCAGTGAAGGGATCCTGTGATTATAAGAGGGTAGAAGGTAAGCTGTAGGGCAGGGGGTGTGGAGGAAGAGGTCTTAGGGCAAGGCCTTTAAGAAGAGGGAAGTGGAGGTTGGAAAACATGGGGAAGAGGGAGGGCATAAGGAAGAGATGTTATTCCATTCTGCTTTCAACATAATATCACAGCTCTGTTTATTCTGAGAAGCAACCAGCTGCAGCTCCAAAATAGAGATGCTGAGAAATGCCTCTGATGACAGAGACTGCTGCTGAGGGAACAAGGTTAGAACAGCCCTTCACAAGGGCTGGAGTGAGAGAGGTCCTGAGAGGGGAGACACTCCTGGATCTCTTTCCACTTCCGCCCTGCCCACCCCTGCTTCCTCCTTCCTAGCCCAAGGCAGCCCTAGTTCTTCTTTCCAGGGTCTCCGGGGCCCAGGGCAGGCACATGACAGAGCAGAGTGTGGCCCTGCCGTCACTCCAGGCCCCAGCAAGAGTGGTCAGTGTTCCTGGACAGAAGCTCCATGGCCAAGTGGGACAGGTGGCTTCCTTCTCCCTGGACCTGAATACCCTTTTCAAGCAATGTTGCTGGGAGCAGAAGAGACAATGAGATAATGGGATGGAACCAGAGGGTTTGCTAAGTGTCTGTGTTAAGAGCTTGTGTGTGATTGCACATGTAAGCAGGAGCAAAATCACACCAGGTGAAGTTAATCAGGCAGGAAGCCTTGTTTCCAGTTTATTGCAATAGGGCCAAGACTATTCCAATAGGGGAGGGAGATTGAACTCAATTCCTACCACAAGGGGAACAGCTGGGGATTCACAGCCAGTGGGCAAGGTGAGGGAGTCAGTGGAGGGATGAATACCAAGGGGAATTTGGTGAGGTAGTGATGGTGGCGGGGTAGGGGGTGAGGGGGTAGTTCTTGCTGGACTTTCTGGAGCTTAGCAGGCCAAGGAGCAGGGTGGGGGAGCCAAAAAGAGGGCTCAGAGGAGCCTGCCTAAGGTTCGGTCAAGGAGGGAGTCCTTGTCAGTGGAAGGAAAGCAAAGAGAGCAGGATATTTGGGGACATAGCCGTTCCCCTCCCTCACCCATGTAAGCATCAGCTCTAACAGGAGCCACCCGTCCGTCCCGCACTCACTCCATGGCAGAGAGAAAGGACGGTCCTAGGCCATCTGGCGTCTGCTAACAAGGGCAGCATGGGTTTGGGCCCACAGAGGCCCATCCCATCCCCAAAGCAGGCCAGCCTGGGCCTGACTCCACAGCACCCTATTCCGTGGGGCCTGCTTTGTCCCCTGGCTCTTGTGGAATCAGAGACCCTGATACGGTTTAGATGTTTGTTCCCTCCAATTTTATGTTGAAATGTGATTCCCAGTGTGGGAGGTGGGGCCTGGTGGGAGGTGTTTGGGTCATGTGGTGGATCCTTTATGAATGGCATGGTGCCTTCCCCATGTAATGAGTTTAATGAGTTCATGTGAGATCTGATTGTTTAAAAAGGAGGCTGGCACCTCCCCTGCTTCTATCTTGCCATTTGAGATGCCAGCTCCTCTTCCCTTCTGCCATGATTGGAAGCTTCCTGAGGCCTCACCAGAAGCCAAGCTGATGTTGGTGCCATGCTTGCACAGCCTGCAGAACCATGAGCCAATTAAGCCTCTTTTCTTTATGAATTACCCAGCCTCTGATATTCTGCTACAACAATGCAAAGAAATTGATACAAACCCTGAAAGGACTTTCCCCATCAAGGCCCCACTGCATTTGCTGGGGACTGACCTGGGGTGACTGAGGAGAGAGGCCATCGTCCTGGGGGCCTGTCACCTTCCTCCTTGTTGAAATGGACACTTGGCTAAACATGGACAGGTGGGCAAGCCCAGACACCCCGCACCTGGGCTGTTCAGTCCCTCACCATCCCCAGCAGGACCAGTCCAGATGGACTTTCTGGACTTTTTGTTCAACAGCCCAGAACACCCTCCAGCTGCCACCATGCCCACAGGAGGGTCTCTCAGGCAGAGCTGCTCCCAAAACCAGGATGGCCACTGGGCCCAGGCCTCACAGGACAAAGAGCCCTTGACATTATTTCCAAATGAGTCCATTCATGTAGTCAGTGTGTGTGTGGCATGTGTGCGTGTGTGTTTAAAACTATTAATTGGTGAAAGTAAACATTTAAACAACATCATAATGTTTGCTGTCCTATTTGGCTATTTCTGTCTCTTCTTCTTCTTTCTTAATCCAGAGAGACTCCAAACATGGAAGAGGCCCAGGCTTTTCTAGAACTCCAGAGACCCTGGTCTCAGGCACCTTCTACCTCCTCACATTGAGCATTCCAGTGCCAGCCGAGCCACCACACTCAGCCTCCTCCTCTGCTGCATCCTGTTTTCTCAGTCCAATTCTGTGTCTGAGGCTGCAGCTCCTCCCTCCCCCACACCCTCTCCTCTGCACCCTCCCCTGCCCCAGCCCAGCATTGCCCTCTGCTCTCCACACACAGCCACACAGCCACAAACACCCCTTGACATGCTTGAGTGGGAGTCTCAGAGCTGGTCCTCTCCTAGCCTCTGTTGTGTGTGCTCAGAAATTTCAAAAGGGACTTCCTGCCTCCCTCGGGGGGAAATGGGCTGGGTCACAAGAAATTTGCATATTGTAAAGACTGACCTGCACAGGAACCCTGGCTCAGGAAATACCTGCCTGGGAGCTAGACGCCAAGTGGTAAGAGGAAGAGGCTAGAAGTTGTTGCCATGCCCAGATGCCTGCTCAGCTTCTGCCTAGAACTGACTCCATAGGATTTTTGGAAGACCATGATCTGGCTGGTGGAAAGACTTCCTAAAATTAATTAGGCAAAGGCCAACATGGCACCACATGAACCCTGGGCACCCAAATCTAGAAGCTGGATGTCGCCTGGGTGATTGCTTTGTACACATAGGAGACAAACAAGATTAGCACAAAACCTCAGAAGATGGGAACTGGGGGGATTAGTCCAAAGCCCCAAAAGAAGTAGACAGCCTCCCCCTGGGGGATGAAGAGATGGAAGGGGTGGGAGGTACTGGGGTGGATCTGTCCTCAGGGAGCCTGAACTAATTCTAGGATCAGCAATGGAGTGAGATTTTCTAGTGACTTGTGCCACCCCAAGACCCAAGAGCCATGATTTGCTTCTTTGGGTTTCAGAACTTCCTGTCAATCACAGGAAGTAGCACAGGTGGGTCCTTCTCCTATTTGACAAGGAAGCTTCTTTGAAACATGGTGTCATGAAGAGATGAGGCAGGTGTGCCAGGGCTGGCTGCCAGAAGCCTCATGTTTCTGGGGCAGTGTCAACAGAAAACAATAAAAACATCAGGTATGATTAGTGGTTCTGTTTGAAATGCTTCTGTCAGGACTGGCTAAGTCCGAAGTCCTTAATTGGTTCATTTCATAACTGAGGAGCAGTTTTACAGCCCTTGAAAGGAAGGCAAATTACCAGCAATGTCTGGCTGGAACAGTCCCCATCACCAGGGTCATCTCAGGCCCTCCTAGCTTTAAGGTTGTGCATTTTGCCCTCTAGGAGGGAGCACAGGCTACTACTCATAATAACCTTAAAATAATAAATATCTTTGGGGTATTTTTAATGAGTGGTGACAAATGTTAACTCATTTAATCCGCAAAACGAAGTTGGTATTATCATTCTTCTACCATGTTACATATGGGGAAACTGAGGCATAGGAGATTAAAGGAACTCTCTCAGTGCCACAGAGGTAGGAAATGGCAGATCTGTTTCCTATTTCCTTTACCAGTACACCACACTGTCTCTCAAAGAAACATACAGGACTTTGCCATATTGCAGAGGAAAGAAACCAAGGCTTAGGCAGGTCCCTGTCTTGCTAAACTCTTTCTTTTTCCAAAGAAAGAGGCCAAGATTAAGGTGTCATGGGTCTCCTGCCTTCCCTCGGGCTAGGGATGAACTGCGGGAATTGTGACTACAATCAATTCAACAAACACCTTTGAGTACCCACCAGGTTGGCAGACGAGAGAGAGTACAAAAGGAGTAAGTAGTGATCCAGGGACTTACAGCCAAGTTGGGGAGACAGATATCGCCATCAAATAATACCACGCAGCACAGTGTGGTTAGCGCAAGCGAAGGGGACATGAAATTATGTCTGGGGAGCAGCATGGGTGAAGAAAGTTAATTTCATCTCATGGGAAAGGCAGGATATGAGTTGGACCTTCCAGGCTGGATAGGTTTGCAAACAAGAAGACGTGGGTTGAAAGCTATCAGAAAAACTTAGAATGTATATGAGCAAAACTGCAGGAAAGCCTGAGGCTTGCTGAAGATGTCATCAGAAGTGTCAAGGTTTACAGAGGTGACTACCCACAGGTATGCATAGGACAGATTTGCAGGAAGAAACCCTGGGGCAGCAATCGAGTGACAAATGCATTGATTTTGGCAAGAAGTAGTGTCTTACTCAAGATGGGGGCGATAATGAGGAAAAAGGAGTAGATGAAGGAAGATGTCCCAAGGTGGAATCCACAGGAATTGACAGCCAGTTAGAAGAAAAGCGAATATTGCCTACAATCTTCTCCCGTCAATTGGACGTCAGTGAGGCCACTCATCAAGTCAGGATGAGAAGGTGGGGCTGGAAGGTTCTGGGATCACTCATATGCAGGTAGACAAAGTGGGAAAGTCAATAATGCTTGCTTAACTGTAGCTCAAGAATTCATGGCAAAATTCTGTTCAGTCCCTGCAGTACTGAGCGAATGTCTCCCCGCCTCACACCTCCATATCTCTGCCTATCTAAGACTCCTCTTGGTAAAGCCCACCTCAAGTTTCACCTCCGTCAGGAAGCTTTTCTTCACGGCTGCTGTTCCCTTTTCAGCACATCTGGCTTATTGTAAATGTGCTATGTTTACCCTTTGGGGCTCCAGGTTTCTGGTAAGCTGGAAATAATGCGTTACGCACTTCTTTCCCAGTTGTATTTAGCATAGGACCTGGAATTCTTGGAGGAGGCCATCATTCACCCAGGAGTATGGAAACGAACTGCCCTGGCTGAAGCCCCTGAGGTGCATTCTCTGAGCTGCCTGAGGTGCATCGCATGGAAGGCAGCTTACAGCCTCTGGTGGCAGTCAGTGGCACAGAGGGCAAAGCTGAGCACAAGCCACAGCTCTATCCCTTGCTAGTCATGCACAGACTTATTTCCAACTATCCTGAACCCTGGCTTCTTTCTCTGTAAAACGGGACGCTGATGCAGCTGTTTCAGCGCTGTTGTGAGGACTCCTTGCCAGGTGTTTGTATGTAGAGTGTGTGGAGAGCCCCAGGCCCTGGGACTCAGCTGATACACAGGCTCTTAACTTGGGGGAGCTGCTTGTGCGCATGTGTCAAGACAGGCGGCCGGGCCCTAGTCTAATCTTAGCCCTGCAGCGCCCTGGGTATTTCCTCACTTCCTCATCTCCAGCACGTGGGAGAGTAATCGTGGCCCACAGGACTGGGGGTGGGTGAAGCCACCGGTGAGAATTCACATGAACATGTCCCAGGAACGCCAAGTGACTGTCACAGCCCAGCACATGGCAGGTATTTCTGGGGCTTCAGCCAATCAATAGTCATCATGCAGCCTACTCAGACAGGACATGGGAGAGCCCCTGAGCCTCTGCCTGGCTCCGGGGAGGAGGTCCATGATGAGAAAAAGGAGGACTTGCAAGAAGGGCAGGGGTAGACCCAAATCAGAATCAAGAGGCTCAGAGCAGCAAGAGCAGTCAGAGTCCATTCCCTGCATCCCAGACCATGCGGGCACTCCCTCTTGCCCACTTCCTGCTTGAATTCTTCTAGTGATGAGAAACTCACTCTCTCAACATTTCTGCAACCTGTCCCATTGCTCGGAGCTCTAATTATTAAAAAACCTTCCTTTATATTCATCCCAAATCTACTTTTCTGTAACTTCCTGGGCCTGCTCATGGAGATGCACAGAACAAAACCCATCTCACTTCCACCTCCTGACCTTTCACTAGTGGAAAACAGCTCCTCTGCTCTCCCAGGCCTTCCCTGGACCTGCCTCAGTTCCTCCAAACACTTCTCACGAGACGTCCTCTCTGGCTCCCCTCTCTCCCTCAAAGCTTCCCAAAAGCTGGTTCAAGAGGGGCCCTCAGAACTGGGCTGAAGACCACAGAAGTGCTCTGGCCTGACAGGATGGGCTGGCCCTTGTCCTAGTCCCTACTCCAATGAGGGAATTTGCCCAGGGCCAGTGGGATATCCTGAGTTTTTAGTCATTTTCCACCATGACGAGAACAGGAGTGATGCTATCCAAGGAGCTGCTTCCACAAAAATTCCCAGCTGACTCTGGCCATGAGGGTATCCCTGTTTGTCATAAAGACTTGGGAAGATGCTCCAGAGAGGTGACACTGCCGCACCTACTGAACCTCATTTCCACCCAGCGGTTCAAGATTTCGCATGGGAGTGGTTCTAGATTTCGCATGGGAGCAGTTCTAGATTTCGTGTGGGAGCAGTTCTAGATTTCGTGTGGGAGAAGTTCTAGATTTCACGTGGGAACAGTTCTAGATTTTGCATGGTAACGGCTCTTTGCCTGCATCTGTCTCTCAGAGACAGGCTCCCGAGGCTGGGTCCCTCCTGTCACTGCTGGAAGGGGAGGCTGCTACAAAGGGGGTTTGGCAAGGCCAGAGGGCCCCAAGGAAGTCTTGGTGGGGGGAAAGAAAACACTGCTGGGGTCAGGGTGAAGGTGGGGGTGGGGTGTTGCTTTGCTAAAGGCCCACAGGTGTTGGGAAGGAGGATGAGTAGTGTCAGAGGAGCAGAGAACCCTGCTCCCCACAGTCATCTCTCAGCAAAAACAGAACACCTCCCCTAGGTGAGAAATTCATCCCAACAGTAAATCCCTAGGTCAACGACTTTAGAAACCCTTAGCCCTTCTCCATTGGGCTAGAAGAGCCACAGTGTGGGGGTGCTAACACTGAAACTCTGGGTCTCACCAGCATAAGGAAATGACACATACCTGCCATGCCGATAGGGCCTGCCTGTGAGTCACGCCCAGGAAGTGGAGAGGGGAGGACAGGTCAGCCTAGGGGAGAGAGAAGGGGAGGCCCCGGAAAGTGCAGGCTCCTGGTGCTGCCCTGAGGCTCTAACTTTTCAACTCAAGCCCTGCCTCCAGGATGATGAACTGGGTCAGCAAAATGACAGGAGGCTCAGGGCCAGACCTGGATTAGAGCAGGCCTGCCCAGACAGGTCAGCGATTTGTGTCCATAAAAGGAAGATCCAAGGGAAACAGGGCCTGCCCTTGTCACCCACAGACCCAGTCAGGTTGGTTAGTAAACATCAGACAGGGCACGATCGGTGCATCACCTTTGAACACATAGAGTGTGCTTGTCTGGCACACGGGGCAGGGCTGACTGAAATGATGACTAGGAGGATGAGAAAAATTCCTGAGGGAGGCTGTCTGCATCATCGGGGTTATCAGTGAAGAGCAGTGTGTGGGTGTGGAGCGGAGCAGGGGGGCGGATAGACTTCACAGCCTAGTCCATCCACATACAGAGGACCCCAGGACTGTACTTCATTGAGAGCACCAGAAAAGCAGGCAGTGGGCCTCAGCCACAACCACCACCCCTGGGGAGACCACCTGGGATACCAGAAAGAGAAGGGCCCTCCAGCTCCCTTAGTATGACCTAATTTTACAGAGAAGGTGCCTGGAGCCCATAAGCCCCCTATCCAAGGTCCCTCCCTGAAGTCAGAGGGAGAGCTGGGGCCATTTTCCCACCCTGCCCAGTCCAGGGCTCGCTCTTTCCTTTAAAGAGCCAAATCCAGGCCGGCTGCGGTGGCTCATGCCTGTAATCCCAGCACTTTGGGAGGCTAAAGTGGGAGCATCGCTTGAGGCCAGGAGTTCAAGAACAGCTGGAGCAACAAAGTGAGACCCCCATCTGTACAAAAAGTAAAATAAAAAATTAGCCAGGCATGGTGGTGCATGCCTGTGGTCCCAGCTACTCGGGAGGCTAAGATGGGAGGATCACCTGAGCCCAGGAGTTCGAGGCTGTAGTGAGCTATGATTGCACCACTGCACTCCAGCCTGGGCAACAGAGCAAGACCCTATATCAAATAAACAAACAAAAAGGAAACAAAAAAGAAATAAAAAGCTAAATCTGGAGCTAAATAATTTGTACATATGGACATAGAGTGTGGAATAATAGACATTGGAGACTCAGGAGGGTGGGAAGGGGGTGAGGGATAGGAAATTATTTAATGGGTACAATAAACAGTATTCGGGTGATGGTTGCACTACAAGCCCAGACTTTACTACTATGCAATGTATCCCATGTAACAAAATCACTCTCACTTGTACCCCTTAACTTCATATCAACAAAAAGCACAAATCCTATGTTTCTTTCTTTCCTGGGACCCAGACATCACCCCACTGACCATTTCGAAAGACCGACACGTTTTATTTCGAGAATAATTGGGGGCCCTTCCTGGTTGTCATCTGGAAGGAGAAGAAATCCCCACATCTAGACCCAGAGGGCGAGAGAAATGCAGTTTTGGCTTTTTCTCCCCATCTTGCTAGTGAAAAGATCCCAGGTGAAATGTTTGCACAGAAGTCTTTCACATCCTTTTTTGAAAGTTCACAGAATATACGTGTCATTTGGTAGTTCACAGTGTATTGGGGCATCGTACCCCAGGAAATCCTGCCCTCTCACCCACCCCCACCCCTTTATGATTGCATCGCCATGGGGTTCTGCCACCGGTTCAGGAGCCAGCTAGCTCACAAGTCACATTGGCTTCCATGGTGGAGGAACGGGGCTGGAAGGAGGGAGGGACCTGGAAGGAGGAAGGGCACCAGAAACACTGAATGCTCTTGGGCTGTCCTCTGGCCTCTGTGACAGCTCCCTGTCTCTATCCCTCCCTGACCCCTGCCCAGGCCAGGCCTCCTCTGAGCATCAGCCGTCTCCCATCAGCATCAGCATGACTTTCCTTCTCTGCGGCGCTTGCCGGCATCGCGCATGGATTCCTTGGGCTGTCTGATTCCAGCCCATCTCCCATTCTGGGTGTTAAGTTCTGGGAGCTCAGGGAGGACTGTGTCTCTTTATGCGTCACCCTAGACCTAGATTCTAGTTGACTCAGTGACATTTGTTGACTGAATAAATGAAAGTGAGCTTTTGCCAATGTGAGAACATGGGGATGTATGATTTTTCAGTCCTGTAATAGACAGACCTAATGTCGACTGGGCCCTTCCCCCTTCATATGCATGGCATGCTGAATAAACCATAACAAAGACATCTTAATCACATCCGAGTGGTAAAGAAGAAATTCTCAGGTGTCAGAAATATCCGGAAAAATCTAAAGCAGTGTGTGGGCACTAAAGCTATGGAGGCCACCTGGGTATCAGAGGATGTTGGCCCAGGAGCTGGGGCCGGGGGTTTAACGTTTGTGCAGGGTGATGTCTTCAGGCTCCAGACCCTTGTGAGGCAGGGATTAACTCAACAAATACCATCCTGACTACAAGGTGGGCACTAGAAACACTGTTCACCAGCCCTGGGCATGAAGAAGCTTGACCTCTGTCTGGGTCCCAGGAAAGAAAGAAAGAAAGATAGGGAGAGAGAAAGAAAGAGAGAAGGTAAAACCCAAAACCTGTGTCATTCTACTTACATGCAGTGGGAATTCTAATCCAAGTAATTAAAATAAAAACAAATCCAGAGATGGTGACAAGTGATTCAAGCAGAGGAAAAAGCAGAACTCTGGAGTGCATTTCCATAAGCAAAAACACATAAATACCCTGCTCCTCCTGCCCCAATTCACAGTGACGATCCATACAACCAAGCAACCCACCTTGAGAAAGGGGCAGCAGATGCACGTTATAGATTAGAAAATCAAGAACTGAAGTAAATGGAATAACTTAAGACAATAAAAAGTATATTTGCAAGGCCAGGTGCAGTGGCTCACGCCTGTAATCCCAGCACTTTGGGAGGCTGAGGCAGGCAGATCGCTTGAGGTCAGGAGTTTGAGACCAGCCTGGCCAATATGGTGAAACCCCTTCTCTACTAAAAATACAAAAAATTAACCAGGCATTGTGGTGCATGCCTGTAGTCCAGCTACTCGGGAGGCTGTGGCAGGAGAATTACTTGAACCTGGGAGGTGGAGGTTTCAGTGAGCTGAGATCGCGCCACTGCACTCCAGCCTGGGTGACAGAGCAAGACTATGTATGTTTCAAAAATATATATATTTGCAATATCTAAATAGAAAAAAAAGAAGGTATGCAAAGTCCAAGATAATAATCCTAATGGCTAAAATGGGGAGGGGAGATGTTGAAAAGAAGATAATACTATAATACCAGTGGACAACAGTTTGGGACATGAGAAGAGAAAGATTAGAGTCAAAGTGCCATAAAATCCTTCCAATTTGGTAAGGAGGATAATGATATTGATTAATGTTAGACCTTAAATTCAAGTATGTGTTAAAAAATTAAAATAATAGAAACCTATTATTAGGTTTTATTTTTAACCTATTTTTCCATTAAAATAATAGAAACCTAATATATAACTTCTAAACCAATAGGCTACAAGAGGAGAAAATAATAAACACATAATCAATACAGTGAAAGGCAAGAGGTGAGAAAAGGCAAAGATGAAGCATGGCAAACAAAATAATGTAGTATACATATACTAAATATATTAGAAGTCTTAATAAATAAAGAAGCTTAAATTGCCTGTTAAAAGACAAAGACACTTAGACTTAATTTTTTAAAAATCCAGCTATCTGTAGTTTACAAGAAGCAAACCTAAAAACATTAAGACATCAAAAGTTAAAAATAAAGAGACAGAAAAATATAAACCAGTTACTAAGTGAAAGTTGATATTGATATATAAAATAGCAAATAAGATTTGAAGAAAAACATTAAAAATATGATTATGAGGAATCATGTTAAAAAGGAAAAATTTGCCAAGAAGTTACAATCATAAGCTTATATGCACCAAAACACAGACAATTAAAAATATAAAGCAAAAATGGACAGAAATGCAAAAAGTATTGCTTCTTTTCTTCTTCATGGTTTCATTTGGCCTGAGTGCTACAAAACTGTGTAGCAGTCAACTCAACTGAGGATGGCTTAACTCAGCTGAACCTACAGTGCAGAGCTATATCCACAGCCCTGTGCTGCCCTGGGGGAATTTAGATGGTTCTAACCAATCTACCAAGGAGGGGAGCAAAGAGTGAGGATGAAGAGAACTAATGAGAAAAAGGGAACGTCTACTATGTTTAAGACATTGTGCTAAGAACTAAGTAAACCTTCTTATGCAACCCCATAGAAATCCAATGAGGTTGGCTTGGTTACCCCAATTACTACTAGTAACCCCAATTTACAGAGTAGAAACCGAGCTTCAAAGATATTAAGTGACTTTTCAGAGGTCACATGACTGGGGAGCTATAGAGTCTAAATTGCAGTCATCTGACATAATCTCCATGAGGCTAGGGACCATATTTTCACTCCATATCCCTAGCATGTAAAACTATGCCTGGCACAGATTAGGCACTTGATAAATATCAGATGAATGAATGAATGCAGCTGTAATTCCAAGCCTGTGCATTTTCTATTATGCCAGAGCACCTACTCTGTTATCTCACTTACTCTTGGCTATCTATATCTTTATCTCACTCAGATCTCCTCTTCAAAAAAGGCATCTCCTCTCTCTAACCTGACCCATTTCCCCTCTCTCATTCAGAGTTGACAAAGGAGAGAGAAGAAAGCCCAGTTTCACAACAAGAGACCCAATTTCCTTCAAAGCTGGTGGTTGGGAAATGATGCTCCTGATAGCGGTTAAGGGAGATGGCAGGCACGGGGTGGCCCCCTGCACTGGAGATTTGCAAGAAAATGAATTTCCCATTCTCTTCTGCTGTCAGTTGCTGGTTACCTCCCTATCCTACAAGATCATGAGAAGACCCCTGGAAATGATGTGAGGACCATGAGGGATTAATATTTAAACACCAACTGAAGTGGCTCTGGAACCATACAAGTGGTGAGAAAATTCTTGGAGACAGAAGAAGTGTCAGAGGAATTTTAATTTGTCAGTATTTTTTGTACTTTTTATTTTGAAAGAATTATAGACTCACAGGAAGTTGTACAAATAGCACATAGAGTCCTGAGTACCCTTGACTCATCTTCCCCTAATGGGAACACCTTGTAGAATAATAATATCAAAACCAGGAAACTGACATTCATATAATACTGTGACTGAACTACAGACCTGATCCCATTTTCATTATTTTTTTTACATGGATTCATTCGTATGTGTGGGTGTGTGTGGTATGTATGTAGTTCCATGCAATTTCATCCTGTGAACACACTCATGAGACCATCACCACAGTCAAGATACAGAACTGTTTCATCACCGTGAAAAGACTTCTTTGGGTTACCCCTTTTAGACACATTCGTGCCACCACCCATCTCCACAACCCCTAGTTTGCTCTCCATCTCTACAGTTTCATCTCTTAAAGGATGTGATGTCAATGGAATCATACAGTATGTGACTTTTTGAGATGAACATTTTCTTCATTCAGCATAATACCCTTGAGATCCATCCAGGTCGTTGCCCGTGTCAATAGTTTGTTCATTTTCATTGCTGAGTAGTATTTCATGGTGTGAATATACTAGTCTCCCATTAAAGGACATTTGCATTGTTTACGTTTTTCCGCTATTGACTGCAGCTCTTTGACAAGAGGGCTAGTCCTGCTTCAGGCTGCAGAGCCTTCAGAATTCCTGGTGAGCAGTGAGGATCTATACTGCATTCCATGAATTCACTGGCTTTTCAGCTGCAGTTCATCAGAGCCTTCAGAATTCCTCGTGAGCAGTGAGGATCTATACTGCATTCCATGAATTCATTGGCTTTTCAGCTGCAGTTCATTCTTATCAATCCTTCAAGTTTTAAGTAAAACACCAAGTATTCTGTGAAGTCTCTGTGTTGATAACCATCTCCCTGGCCAGACTCTTGCAGCTTCCTTACAATCCCATAGATGTCCTTTACTCTTTGCCCTCAGCTCTGGCCCAGGGCCCAATACGGTCAGTAAGCATTTGTTGAATCAATAGATCAACAGCAAAGCTGTCATCACAGTCTTTTCCTAATACAGGCCACCCCAACCTGCGATCATAACACATTGCTGGAAGCCACATAGAGAGGGACTGTCATCACTAAGGGGGCCATGTTTTCTTACTTGAACAGTGTTGTAATTATAATAGAGATAGAGCCACCAGTAGGGCTCTCAGACGGCTCCAAGGTGTTACTATTCTAGTATTCTAGATAATACTGGAACTTTTTTTTTTTTTTTGAGACAGTCTTGCACTGTCGCCTGGGCTGGAGTACAATGGCATGATCTTGGCTCACTGCTACCTCTGCCTCCCGGGTTCAAGCAATTCTCGGGCCTCAGCCTCCCAAGTAGCTGAGATTACAGGTGCCTGCCACCATGCCCAGCTAATTGTTTGTATTTTTAGTAGAGACAGGGTTTCACTATGTTGGCCAGGCTGGTCTCAAACTCCTGACCTTGTGATTCACTGGCCTCGGCCTCCCAAAGTGCTGGGATTACAGGCATGAGCCACCATGCGTAGCCTCAAACTTCTAAATATATAAGTGTATTTCTACAGATCTGATTATTTCACTAGGAGAGAAGCCTAGAGCTAGAATTACTGAGTCAGAAGGAATACACTCATATTTCTTAGTACATGCTGCCAAGTTGCTCTCCAGAAAGGTAGCTGTATTGGTTGCCTACTATTGCTGTAACAAATTACCACCAATTTAGTGGCTTAAAACAACACTAATTTATCTTACCATTCTGGTGGTCAGAAGTCCTAAAACCAAGGTGCCAGCAGGGTTGACTTCTTTCTGGGGTGCTAGGGGAGAATCCTTCTTCTTGTCTTTTCCAGCTCCTAGAGGCTACATTATTTGGCTCGCGGTTCCTTCCTCCATCTTCAAAACCAGCAGCATAGTGCCTTACAATCTCTCTCTTGTCTCTCTTCTCTCTCTCTTCCCTCCCTCTTTCTGACTTCTGCTTCTGTTGTTGCACTGCCTTCTCTTACTCTGACCTTCCTGCCTCTCTCTTAAAAGGACCCTTGTGATAACATTAGGTCCAACCGGATAATCCAAGATAATCTCCCCATTCCACTATCCTTAACTTAATTGCATCTGCAAAGTCTCTTTGGCATGTAAGGTAGCACACGCACAAGTTCTGGGATTAGGATGCGGACATCTTTGGGAGGTTGTTATTAGACAGCCTGTAGCAGAGTATTAGAGCTAATGCTCCTTTTGAATAAGAACAAAGTATAGTCTGGGGAGTTAAGAGGCAGAATCAAAAAGAGTCGTTTACTGTAAGAACATCATTCCCTCAAGACTGAAGAGCAAGGTGGTTTTTCAGCTCTAGACATAAGCAGTATAATAAAAATATCATCCTTGAAAATCAGGGATGATTCCGTCGGAAGACCATCCCTAATATTGACATTGGGTTCCAGCCCAGGAGAGACAGAACAAGGAGCAAACACACAAATTGGTTGGTGAGATCCTACAAGCAGGCCAATGAGACAAGGAAGGCAAGCTCATTTACCTTCATAGAATAACAATCATCAAACAGCCCAGCGGTATGTAAATGATTTATTGACATATACTTCACACCCTCACTACCTGTTCTTTCTGCAAAGTTTTATTTTGTTCCCAGCTATAATTACACGCTGCCATTTTTCAAGCACTTCGGATGTCACTATTTTCCTGTTTTCCAAGTTTAACAGTCCTCCCAACAGTCAACATACCTGCCGGCCGCAAATCAAAAACTGCTTGCACATAGATTGCAGGTGACCTCAATTGTTTCATCTGTCTGCAACGTCTCCTTTCCCTGCTTGGGAGAATTTCACTGGCTTTCTTTGTGAGACTGTTCCTCCTCCCAGGCCAGCCTTGTGTGCTAGTGGAGACGGCTCATCACAGAACACCATCTCCTCTTCCTCCCCGTCCTGGCCTGGACCACAGGATGGGGCACATTAATCAAGAGGAAGCAAACACAGTACCCCACCCTTTTGGCTGTGGGGGTTAGTCCAGAAATGGACACACGATCTTAGCCAAACTAATCAGAGTTATTCTTTGGCATTTTTACTTTAGCTTGGGGAAAAGGGCTTTTCTCTGGGTGATAGGGCTATGGCTGGGAGCTCAGACACCATTAGCCACCAAGTTCCTTTCTTTTGGCACAAGTTGTTCTGAAAGAATTAAGCCAACATGTAATGACAGCCAGAGATGTGAGAGACAGAAGCAGAGGCAGAGGGGCAGACACAGAGATGTCTGAGGTTCTGGGATGAGGTCCTGATTCCCACCACACCTGAGTTCAGCTGCTTCCTGAATCTTCCCTTAATTTGGGTATGTGAGCCAAGGTGAATCCTCTCTTTTGGGTTTCTGTCATCTGCAACTAAAAGAGTGCTGGGACAATAAACAGGGGTGTGACACCTGCCTTTCCCTGCTTCATCTTCAATAGCAGGCCCATTTCTGCTGAGGCTCTTTGTCCCCTGCTCTTGGGAAATATCTTACAGAGCCACCCATAGTCAGGTCTAAGTGACTGATAAGGTTTACGGAGTTGGCACTCCAGGCTATTAACCTTCATGCAGCTGAGCAGTAGAAATCGTGCCTCCTGAACAGCCTCCCCTGGGAACAGCCCTACCCTAGTTGCCTCATCTGTTCAAGTGCTGTCTTGGTCTGCCATTACTAGGTAGATACAGGGCTGTGCTATGGTGACCACAGGATCAATGTGTGTGTGTGTTAGAGAGAGAGCGAGCATGCATGAGTGAATGAGTTAGGAGCTGTGTTTACTCACACTCACAGATCAGCGTGTGAGGGCATAGTTAGGCCAAGCTGGGCCTTTCCTATCCCATATGAAGAAAGGACAAGGAGGAGAAAATTTCACAGCAGATTGGTAAGCAATGCACCCTGCATCTGAGATGTCCTAGCAAAAAACAGCACTTTCTTGGACAAGGAGTGCCATCCCAAAGCCAAGGGTGACTGACTAGCCTGATGTGGTATCTCCCCATCCACTCCCTACTGCCCTTGAGTATTGGAGAAAAACACAGCCCCCAACATTAACAGCCCAACTGGTATGTAGCTTATGGCAAACTTATACCGTAAATCTTCTGGGTCTCTTCTGTAGTGGACGCTAAATATTTTTGGATTGCTAACTAAATATTTTTGCAATTAATCCCCTTTAATCCCAAGACTAGATGAGCAGTCCCGTGAAAATGTGGTTCTCCACTTCTCTGTATCCTTTAGGTGACTGTAGCCTGGGCTGGCTTAGGTGAAGGAGACCCCCATACTCTTTATTCAATCCTTTGTAACTGTTCTTGTTATGTAAAATGCTACAGTTCTTGTTCTAGAATCCATCCCCTTGAGTTTAGAATAATAATGTATTAGTCCATTTTCACACTGCTGATAAAGACATAACTGAGACTGGGCAATTTACAAAAGAAAGGGGTTTAATTGAACTTACAGTTCCACATGGCTAGGGAAGCCTCACAATTATGGCAGAAGGCAAGGAGGAGCAAGTCACGTCTTACATGGATGGCAACAGGCAAAAAGAGCTTGTGCAGGGAGACTTCCGTTTTTCAAAACCATCAGATCTCACAAGACATATTCACCATCATGAGAACAGTGTTGGAAAGACCTACCCACATGATTCAATTACCTCCCACCGGGTCCCTCCCACAACACATGAGAATTCAAGATGAGATTTGGGTGGGGACACAGCCAAACCATATCAAATAATGTGTATCCAAATAAGTGAAAGCTCCTTTCATAGCTGATTCTATAGCAAAAAGAAGTTTACAAGTGTAGGCTGGCCCAGATGACCGCCCCCCCTCCACCCCTGAAGACGTTAAGTAGATTGTGGTCTTGCTCCAACAAGCATTTAGAAGAGGTGAGATGGTTGGGAGGCTTTTCCTGTCTTTTGCTTTTGTTTTTTGCAGGAACACATGTTGGCCTTTCCTTGGCCTTCCATGCGTCATGCCTACACTGGAGACTATGAATTCTATAGGTGAGTAGGTGGGTGAAAAAAGCACTTTGGCAGCTTATCAAGATACGTGCACAGCACTGCTTTAGAAAAAGTAATGGGGTGATGGGGAGCCACCAGCCTTATGAATTGGTGAGAACTTTGAAAGCTAGAAGAGTCAGGGACAGCAGCGCTTGGAAGAGCAGAAGGGTGTTTGGTCAGCTGGGGAGAGGACAGGCAGCCCCCCCGCCGTGGGTCCCCTGAGTCAACCATGATGGGCACAGCAGAGCCGCTGCTGTCAGCTCCCTGCCCAGAGGAAGTGAAGCCCAAACAGCAGCCTGAGTCATATTTATTGAAGAGACCATGGGAACAAAAGCTGTAGACAGGAGCTTCTGCGGGGGATGGCATTCAAACTGCTTTTACCATCCCATTAGCAGTTTCTCTTTCCCTCCAGTGGATGGGCTACGTGGGAAGTGGGTTACGAAAGTCAAACAGAGGTTCCATTTTCACATTGCCCTTCAACGGGTGGTTTTAATCCTACATAACCAGGTGTCTTTTGAGAGATTTGCTGACTGCTGACATTTTAGGTGTAATGTTTCCCCATAGATAAGTCTATGTTTTATTCAAAAGATAATGTTGATGAAATTATCCTGGAGATTGTGAAATGTTGAAAATGGAAAGTTTTACATTGCAAAGACTAGTTGGAGGCATTAGTACACTTTTATTTATTTATTAATTAATTTATTTTTTTTGGTAAAGGATATTTTTGGAAACTCAGTTCTAGCCTCAGATGGAATCCATTAGGACCAGTAGAGGGATGGAAGTCAACAGATTCAGGGTCTAGACAAATTCTTTGTCTGTGTGGCTGTGGAACCTTAGGTAAGTCACTTTTATGCTTTCTTATTTTTGTATTTTTATTTTAAAGGCAAATGGAACATTTCTACAATCCCAGATTAATCACTTCTAACATCTTGGAGACCATTTTCTCACCCGTGATTAAAGGGATTGGACCAGGTGATTATTACAGTTCCTATCGGCTTAATATTCTTTGATTCCATGACTTTCTATTCTATGGGTCCAGGAAGAACATAGATTAAATCCCACTGCTCCTTGTGAAATATATATATATTTCATTTTTAGAGACAGGGTCTTGCTCTGTCACCCAGACTGGAGTGCAATGGTATAATTATAGCTCATTGCTACCTGGAACTTCTGGGCTCAAGTGATCCTCCCACCTTAGCCTCCTGAGTAGCTGGGACTACAGACTACAGGTGTGCACCACTGTGCCTGCTCCAAGCACGTATATATATATATATATATATATATATATATATATATATATATATATATATTTTTTTTTTTTTTTTGAGACGGAGACTTTCTCTGTCCCCCAGGCTGGAATGCACTGGTGTGATCTCGGCTCACTGCAACCTTTGCCTCCCGGGTTCAAGCAATTCTCCTGCCTCAGCCTCTCAAGTGGCTGGGATTACAGGCATGTGCCACCAACACCCTAATTTTTGTATTTTTAGTAGAGATGGGGTTTCACCATGTTGGCCAGAGTGGTCTTGAACTCCTAACCTCAGGTGATGACCTGCCTCGGCCTCCCAAAGTGCTGGGATTACAGGCATCAGCCACCTTGCCCAGCCCCAAATACCTATACTTTTAAAAAGTTAGTTACAACTGGGGTTAACAGTTCGCACTTGTGTTATGTCCGACCTCTTGCAACTTTATTACGAAGCAGGAGTTCCCCCACTTATTAACAGGAGGCTCTACTGATCTTTGCCCTGAAGTCACGGGACTGGAGAATGTATAACAGCAAGGTCCCTGAGTGGGGTTGCACCCCTCTCCCCAAAGGTTATTGAAATAGATATTCCAGACAAATCCAGAGCTTTGAGAGCTCTGAATCTCCTATCTTATCTGCTGAGATGCTCTGTTATTTGGAGACCCTATAATTGCCTGGCTGGGGGAAGTCTCTCAGAAGAGAATGCAAATGTCTCTGGCTCATGGCCAGACTCCCAACCTTCAAGGTTTCAATAACATCCAAATTCTATTTGTTTGTCCCTCTGCTGTTTGACTTACTGTGACTTACGTTACGCCTTTTTAAATTTCTTGCTTAATGTATCCTCCATTTGCAAATTCCACTGTCTTTTAGGCTGCTACTAAATACACAGCCACCATGGAAGTATCCATGACATAAACTTCAAACACCTACACTAGCGATTGCTTCCCCGTACCTTTATCATGCTTTGAGTATGCTCTGACTCATTTGTTTTGCTTACTGAAAGAACAGAGTTATATACATTTCCATGCTAGGATGAGAAGCCTGCAGAATGTTACTGGGCTGAAGTCTTGACCGGGTGATAACCAGCCACCTTGGTCAAGGGGACCCTGTGAACAGAGAGTGGAAGTATTGCTGCAATCTATCCTGACAACTTTAGGACAAAGACTGCCTGTGATGAAGGAGTCTGTCCTGTCTAGGGTGGCCCTTGAAGGGCAAGCAACCATCACCTCTCAGTTTGTCACAATATTAGGATTTAAGGGGGTTTTAGGCATGTTGGAATCTCATTTCATTTTACAGGTGCAAAAATGAGACCAGGTTTGTCCGAGAAAATTATTCTAAAATTTGTAAAACATCTCAAAATGTGTACAGGATATTGATGAATATTATTTCCTTTGAGTTTTATAGCAGCTCTTTGCATGAGACATGCCAGGTGCTCTTCGCTCCATTTTACAGGGGAATGAAAGGAATCTCGGGGCTGTTGGGGGTGGGGCCCAGGATCAGAGCTGAGGTCTTCACCCCCTGCCCCGCATTCCTGCCAATGCACTGTGCTGCCTTCTGAGAATCCAACTCCAAAACTGGCTTTAGCTTGAAGTTTGAAAGGAAGAACAAAGAGGCAGAGATGGAAGGACAGGAAGAGGATATTTAACGGGTTCTCTGACTGTATGCCATGTGGTTTATTACGGGGTTCTATTTGTACCTTATGTAATTGTCATCCTAGCCATGTGAGGCAAATATTCCAACCCCTCTAGAAAATTAAGACTTAAAGAGGTTAAAGAAACTTGACCTAAGTCATACAGTTAAGACCAAAAAACAAACAGAAAAAGGGATCTGGGATTGGAAATACACTTTTAGACTCTAGACTCTCTGGCCTTCTCTGTTGTTTTCTCAGTGCAACATGACACCTTGGAAACTTTAGTTAAGTCACAATGATCCAATTTCTAATAAGGACACCAGAAGAGAACAGGAGGTGGGCCTCAGTCCCCTCTGTTTGGCATCAGACCCAGTGGTCTGAGGCTGGGATGCATAGGAACGTGAGAGATAGTGATGAGGGAGAAACATGCCTGATGGGGTGTTGGAAAGACAGAGGCATGGGTACTGGGAGGACAGGTCAGCTGCAAGGTGGAGGCCTGTGCAGTGCCAGGGCATAGAAGAACAGCCTCCAAATGGAAGAGGCAGCGGGGAATGGCTTGGGATGCAGGGGGATGTGGCTTGGTACAGGGCAGGGCTGCGTGGGAGTAGAGAGGATTCTGCAAGCTGCCCAGCCTGCATCACTGGCATCCTGACAACAAGTGCAAGCAGAGAGATCCGGCCCTTCAAGAACCACCTACCCAGCCGCCCCCACAAAGATATTGCCCAATGCCAAGTAGAAGCCAAGCAACAACCAATTTGGGCCCCCGGATGATGAGCCACTATCTCTGGAGCATAATGCTGGCCACCTCTGACAATTACCTTCCTCTAGCTGCAAAGAGAACCAGGGAACTGTTTGTATTGTCTGCAGTGCTTCACATACAGTGCTGGGAGGTGCGATCGCACTTCCCTTACCGGTTGCTAAGCATATCGTTACTAGGCGACGGCATCAAGATGATGCACAAGGCTGGAGTTCCAGGAGGTGTGTGTGCACGCCGGGAAGAGCTGGAAAGCAGAGTGGGAAGAACAGGGGGTTCTGTTAATTTTACTTTGACCGAGGGGTCTTGGCAAGTGAAATTTAGGAGAGTCCTGTCATGCAGAGGAAACAGGGCAGAGACCACGGTACTCCCGCACGGCTGGAAACAAGCAAAGAAACATTTGAGTATTCGTAACACAGGAAAAGGGCCAGATTTGGCTTAAAGCTGCTCCCCAAGAAGAGTATCTCAGAGTGGACAGACTTCAGGCATCCAGTTTCACTGGTTTTCAACTTTGGGGATATTTCTGTTTTTTTCCCATATGTTACTCAGTTCTCATTTTATCTGGAGGTCGTTTTACTTATCTGGAGATTGTTTTATCTGAATTGAAAAGCACCTTGGGTTTGTGAAACGTGAGGCCTCTCCAGGTCCACATTGCTAGGGTATGATGCTGTTGAAGCCAGAAGAATGGGCTGCTTCAGAGAGAAGGAGCTCCCCATCTCTGTGGGTGTTTAAACAGACTGGACACCTGCTTGGCATGAGAGCTTCTTGGAAGAGCAGCTTTGAAAGAGAAGCAGGGGAGGAAGGCAAGAGGTAGTGGGGTCAAATGCATGAGAGGTAGAAATATAGTGATTGCAGAGACTAGGTAAAGTCAGCTTGGCTAGATGATGCTAAGATAGAATGTTCTGGCTGAATTGTGTCCCCCAAAATTCCTATGTTGAGGTCCTAACCCCCAGTACTTCACAATGGGACTGTATTTAGAGATGGGGTCTTTAAAGTGGTGATTATAATGGGACCATTAGGGTGGGCCCTAATCCAGTATGGCTGGTGCCTTTATAAGAGGAGGAGATTAAGACACAGACACACACAGAGGGATGACCATGTGAGGACACAGGCAACAGATGGCATTTGCAAGCCAAATAGAGAGGCCTCAGAAGAAACCAGCCCTGCTGACACCTTGATGTTGGACTTCCAGCCTCCAGTACCGGGAGAAAATAAATCTCCGTTGTTGAAGCTGCCCAGTCTGTGGTACTTTCTGATGACAGTTGAGCAAACTAACATAAGAATGGCCAGGTACAGTGGCTCATTCCTGTAATCCCAACATTTTGGGAGGCCGAGGTGGGTGGATCTCGGCTCACTGCAACCTCTGCCTCCTGGATTCAAGTGATTCTCCTGCCTCAGCCTCCCAAGTAGCTGGGATTACAGGCGCATGCCACCATGCTTGGTTAATTTTTTTTTTTTTTTTAGTAGAGATGGGGTTTCACCATGTTGGCCAGGCTGGTCTCGAACTCCTGTCCTCAAGTGATCCACCCGTTTTGGCCTCCCAAAGTGCTTGGATTACAGGCATAAGCCATAGTGTCCAGCCTAGCCATGACTTTTTAAGATGGCAACAGAATCATTGATCCAGAAGTGGAGAGCCAGAAAGGCACGACATCTGAAAACCCACCTCATGCAAAGAAGAGGAGAAGTAACTCTTGATGTTAAGCCTAGATCAGGGGATAATGCGGTGGGTAGCTCCCTATCACTGAGGGCTGTCAAACTGCAAAACAGTCATCATTCTGGGCTATTGCCAAGTGCAGTTCAGCACCAAAGGAGCGTGAGCTTCAGACAGTTTGGCTCAGTGAAAGAAAGAACTTTCCAGCCATGAGTTATCCAACAATTGGAATGAGGTGTTGGGACGAAACATTCCCAACAGGTGCTCAAGGAAAAGATACCTTTCTCCATGAGGAGGAGTTTGGGCTGGATGACTTTTAGTGGTCTGCCCCACTTTTCCCTCAAATAATTTGTTGTTCAATGGGGATATTTCTGGTCCTTTGTGATGTTCCATTTTTCTGTGATGAAAGGAGACTGCTCGTCACTTCCTCCATCACTCACAGCAGCATGAAGAGCAGAAAGCAACTTTTATTTCTCTTTCAAGACAGTGTCTGGCTCTGTTGCCCAGGCTGGAGTGCAGCTGCACAATCACGGCTCACTGTAGCCTCAACCTCCAGGGCTCAAGAAATTCTCCCACTTCAGCCCCCTGAGTAGCTGGGACTACAGGCGTGTGCCCCCACACCAGGCTAATTTTCGTATTTTGTATTTTTTTTGTGTGGAGGCAGGGTCTCGTCATGTTGCCCAGGCTAGTCTTGAACTCCTGGTTCAAACGATCTGCCTACCTCAGCCTCCCAAGTGCTAGGATTACAGGCATGAGCCACAGCACCCCGCAAAGAAAGCAAGTACTTTTAAGAAAACAGAGTGAAAACATGAATCCACATAACCTCTTTTATGAGCTCTTCCCTGTCTGCAAATGGAAAACTGTAGCTCAAAGAGGGCAAACTACCTGTAACATATGCCATAGTCCTGAGCAACCAGACTTGTAGCTGAATCAGCTTCTCCTTAACTTCAAAATTGCAAGAGGGAATGAGGAACATCTGAGTAGGAGAAACAGCTCTTCTGGCAGAGGGGTGAGACATGAATCTTTTTTTGGGGAGCAAGGAGTTTGGACACCTTTGGTCTGGTGTCTCAGACAGGCTCAGTCACTTTGTAGCCAGTGGTGTGAGCATCTCCTGCTCCTCTAAGTTCCTCACCATGGCCCCAACCCCTCACTGTGGCCTCCAGGATCATGAGGTCCTGGTTTCCTCCATGGCAGCTACTGGATCTGGGGCACATATACACATTTTCACCTGACTCGCCTTCCCATTAATGTTATAGGTTTCGTATGTTTTCCATGCCTGGAATCACCCATGTGTCATAGAAGCTGCCTACCTCTCATCTCCTCCTTTGATCAGAAAGTCAGCATAGAAGTCTGCACAAATAGGTTACTGGGTCCCATCATCCAAATGTCATATCTGCAGGCTGGGGAAGGCAAGTACTTCCCAGGATTCACAAACAGAATCATCCACACCCCACTCCTGGCTCAGCTTGCCTTTACAGGGGAATCAGGGGGATTCTCCAAGAGGGGTTGTCCTCCAGGCTGCTAAGCCCCTCACTCAGAGCAGCCCCACCATTCCCCAGGGATAGGCAGGTCCTCGCTGTGGCCCAGATGTCAACATGGGCAGCTCTGCCCCAAGGATGTGGCATGTGTTTAAATGTATAAAAGATGAAGAGGAGATGGTAACAGAAGTCCTCCTAAGAAGAAAACTATTTAGAAACATGTGCTCACTAAATCATTGCAGTTAGAAGATGAGGCCCGAGGAAGCTGGGGTGGTATAATTTGTTCATTGCTCTGGGAAAAGAGGGAGAAATAAAAGCAAGGAGGAAGCCAAAGAAGTAGTGGAATGGGAATGCCCCCATGATCTGACCCTCTCCCTAACCCTTTTTGAGACAGAGTCTCACTGTCTCCCAGGCTGGAGTGCAGTGGCGCCATCTTGGCTTAGTGCAACCTTTGGCTCCTGGGTTCAAGCGATTCTCCTGCCTCAGCCTCCTGAGTAGCTGGGATTACAGGTGCCCACCACCATGTCTGGCTAATTTTTATATTTTTAGTAGAGACGAGGTTTTGCCATGCTGGCCTCAAACTCCTGATCTCAAGTGATCCACCCGCCTTGGCCTCCCAAGTGCTGGGATTACAGGTATGAGCCACCATGCCCGGCCTCTCTCCCTAATACTCTTCTTCCTCCCTCCTTCCTTCCTCCAAGAAAAATTGTAAGTGTTCTGTATGGTCTGAGACTTCTTGGCATCATTGGTGAAGGGGCTGAGTTGTGTGTCCTGGAGTAAAGTGGCCAAACAAGACGCAACAGTACAGAGGTGGCAGAAGCACAAGGAAGTGAGTTTACACCTGGTGTAGACAGACCAAGATAGCCCCAGGCTGAGGGGCTGAAGTTCCTGCCAAGTGCCATCAAGCGGACGAGGGGTGGGATCCTGGGTGACCTTAGTTATCTATATTTCTGTCTTCTAGTAATATATGCCATCAATACAAGTAACAGCTACATGGATTGAATACTTATTACATGCAGCACACCAATGAATGCTAAGTGCTTTATATACGTATGTGTATGATCTCCTTTTAATCTTTGCAATATCCCTTAAGGAAAACACTGGGGTTGTCACCCTTCAGCATGCAGGAAAGCTGAGGATGGGAGGGGTCAGAAGGTGCTGAGGTCACATGGCTGGGAAGTAGAGGGGCCACACCTTGAGAAGCCCTCGCTTCTAACCCTTGGGACCTGCCTTGCTGATATAGTGTGAATAATTGTGTGCAAACCAGATATTCGTCCTTCTCCACGGGGAGACATATTGCTCCAAATTTAAAAGAGCAATAATATCAGTTCCAACCTCATGCTGGGGAGGGGAGGTCTTGGGGAGAGAGAAGTGGGAGAGGGCGCACAAATACATGGGCTGAGGGGTGTGCCATTTCCCTAAAGAGTAAAATATAGGCAGGAACTGAGTCTAGGAGTCCTTTCTCCAAACTTAGTGCATTTTCCTTTAGTTACAGCACTGATGAAAAAATTTTTATTTTTTTATTTTTTATTTATTTATTTTTTTGAGACGGATTCTCGCTCTGTCATCCAGGCTGGAGTGCAGTGGCATGATCTCGGCTCACTGCAAGCTCCGCCTCCTGGGTTCACACCATTCTCCTGCCTCAGCCTCCCAAGTAGCTGGGACTACAGGCGCCCACCACCACACCTGGCTAATTTTTTGTATTTTTAGTAGAGACAGGGTTTCACCACGTTAACCAGGATGCTCTCAATCTGAGAGTGGACCTCGTGATCCACCTGCCTCAGCCTCCAAAAGTGCTGGGATTACAGGCATGAGCCAGCACGCCTGGCGAAAGAAATTTTTTTAAAGGAGAAAGGTCAGAAGGCAGGCGACATGGTAACAGTGAATGAATAAGGTAAAGGTTGAATGGGGTTGTCAAGCACACCTCTGTGGCATTGGGCTGAGACTGGCTGAAGGTGCATTCTGTGAGCTGGGCATCCCCTCCGGGGTGATATGTCATTAGACAGGTATAAAAAAGCATAAAAGGGCAGTCATTCCCAGACAGTTATCTGGAACACTCCAGAGCTTTGGGGACTACATGGGGTCCCCAGGTTAGGGGACCCCATCTGCCTGGAAAACACCAGTGGCTTCATTTCAAAGTCATTTGTGACTTTCGTAACAAAGTAAAAGAGCAAGACCTTGAGTCAGGCTTGAGGAAGAGGAACCATGTTTGGAAATGATTTGAGAGGGGAAGGGAGCAGTGGGAGGGCTTGGCTGTATGTCAACTGAGAGATCCAGAAGAAGAAGGTGGATCTGGAAGATGTACAAGAACGAGCAAAAAATAAACAAACAAACAACAAACAAACAAAGAAGGATCAATCATAAAATGAAATTCCTGAGGCTGACTTGGATGTCAAAGCCCGCATATTTGTTGCCTGAGGAAAACATTCTTAATACAGCTCTGGGGGTGGTAGATCCCTGAGCGATACAGATCAGTAATCAAATTATTTTCAAGGTTGATGAGCACATCGGACCCTGGCACTCGGCCACATCAGCTCAGGGGTGGCTTCACAAACGCCTCCTCCTCCCCATCACCCAGGCCTTGGTAGGTGCGTTTCGAGAGCTGGTGTCCAGCAAGGGCCAATGTAAACAGGTCTCGGTTTGCTTTGGTTTGTTTCTCAGGCCCTTCTCACTGCAATTCAGCAGATATGGATGGAATACATCTTCTATGTGACCCACTGAGGGGGGATAAAGGAGCCAGGACTCCATCCTCAGGACTATAGTGTAAGTGGGGAAGGCACATGTCCAATGAATGATAAAATAAGGCAGAAGGAAAGTCCTAACAGAGTCAGGAAGAAGACTGTGGGATCAGAGGAGCACAGACGGGATGAACTGGGGGTGCTGGGAGAAGCACATGGCAGAGGTGACACAGGGGGAGGGTTCGAAGGAATCTGAGAGGTGGGAATTTAGGAAGCCTGGGAGAGGCAGTCTTGCCTTCGAGAACACCGGGAACGAAGACAAAAAACTGGGGAAGCCAACCAAGTCGTCAGGGCGCTGTGGGCAGGAAAGGAAACATAGTCGTTGTTTCAACCAGGGTGGGCACCAAAACTATTTTTGAAGCATTAAGAACAAAGCAGGCTGGGCTCAGTGGCTTCTCGGGAGGCTGAGGTGAGAGGATCATTTGGGCCTGGGAGGTTGAGACTGAAGTGAGCTATAATTACACTGCTGCACTCTGGCATGGGCAAGAGAGTGAGACCCTGTCTCAAGAAAAAAAAAAAAGGAACAAAGTAAAGCAAAACCAAAGAGAAGAAGAAATGACTGCCTGGGCACAACAGCAGACAGGCACAGAAGTGTCTCAAAATCTCACCCGTGGAGTAGGGGGTTCTGATACACACCCCTAAGGAATGGAATTGCAAAGGTGCTTGAGGGTACATCCCTGTGGGGGACCTCCACTGCAGTGGTTCTCAAAGTGGGGTTCCCAGGCCAGCAGCGTCCACATCACTTGCAACCCTGTGGGAAGTACAATTCTTGCTCTCCCCAGATGCACTGTGGCAGAAACTATGGAGTTGGAGCCCAGTTTGAAAGCCCTGCAGCCAGGTGGGGTGGATCATACCTGTGTAATCCCAGCACTTTGGGAGGATAAGACAGGAGGATCACTTGACCCCAGGGGTTCAAGACCAGCCTGGGCAACAGAGCAAGACTCCATCTCTACAAAAAATATTTTAAAATTAGCTGAGTGTGATGGTGGGTGCCTGTAGTCCCAGCTACTAGGGAGGCTGAGGTGGAGGGGATTGCTTAGCCTGGGAGGTAGAAGCTGCATTGAGGTATAACTATGCTATTGTACTGGAGGCTGGGCAACAGAGCAAGACCCTGTCAGAAACAAAAAACACACAAAACCCCCCCACAGCCCTGCAAGTGATTCTGATGCCACTGACTCCATGCTATGCTGAAGGGCTGCAGTGAGTCCAAGGACTGCCCGCCTTGGTCATGACACACATCTCCCCTCAGAACACCCTCCACTGAAGTGGCCGCATCCTGGGGCCAGGGAGTCCTCCACTCACTCAGCTCTTTTGGGAGTGGATGAGCTTTTGTGCATCTTGTTCTTATCTGAATCTCTCTGATGCCCCTCATTTCCACAGGTATCAGAGACCATCCCAAAACAAGCACTTTTTCCTTGATAATCTTTTCCCTAAAACTTCTCCGCATCTGAACAAATGTTTCCGGAGTGTGAGCTCCGTATCCTGACATTTGCTAGATTATGATTGGGAGACAAAGGGGCACGAGACGGGGGCCCGCCTTTCCTTCATCCCATTTAGCAATGCATGTACTTGTGAAAAATAATTTTATCTCAAGAAAACATGTGCCAGGCACAAATGGATGGTACAGCCAAGAGCTCTGGGAGGAGGGGCACCCGGGGAGGTAGAACATGAGGATGCCCTTCCCTCCACCACAGCGCCTTCTACTCCTGAACATCCTCTGTGTGTCATCATCCCGATGGAATAGCTGAGCCCAATTGTTGGGGCAAAAATAGCTGCCAGGCCACCCCCTTGCTCTCCAGGTAGGTATCCCCTTCATCCGTCTCTCCCACTGCACCTCTTGCTGACAGCTGGCTGGTTCTTACCCGCCTGGCCAAGCCCTGTCTGTTCTGTCTGCCCCCCTCCCCACTGCACATACGCAAACAGCAGCAAGAGGCAGGAAGTGGGTTCTTCCTTCACCAGCCCTGCTGGCCAGCGGCCAGCATGGACAGCTTCAATGCCCAAGCAGCAGTTGGCAGCCTGGGCCATGCCCCTGGAGGGCTGGCACCTCCCACTTGCTGCACCAGCTCAGCCCTGCCTGCAGCCCTGGCCACACCCCAGAAATGCCTGTCTGCCCATGCCCAGCCAAGGCTTCTCCATGCTTGGTGCAAGAGCTCCTGTGGCCTGGGGCCAAAGTCCTCTTCAAACAAAAATCTGACTCTCTTCCCTGCTTAAAAATTCTTGCAACTGCCTATCCTATCCTATCTATCCTATTGCTTCCTGTCACCGGAGAATGATGTCCAACACTAAGCCACCCAGATCAAGGGTCTCTATAGCATTCTCGCCTTATCTCCACCGTGCTCCTGCTAGATCCAGACACCCTGAGATGTTCCCAGCTTCCAAAACAGGCCCCATTTCTTCAGTGCCTTCTTATCTTTGCATATGCTGTGCTCTCAACCTGTAAAGCACCTCACCCAACCACCCTTTGCCTGGCACACACATATCTTCTTCAAAATCCTTCCCAGCACCACCTTTTGGGCCACCTCTTGGTAAAGTTGGTAGCTCTGGCCTTCCTGCCTCCATGGCATCTGCTCCACTGTCATGCAGAACATCTGGTCTCACTGTGGCTGCCTGAATTACTGTTTCATCTTGAGAATAGTACCCCTTGTTCACCTCTGAAACCACTCATGCCTTGCATGGTACCTGGCCCACAGCAGGTGCTAAGTGATGTGGAGCTGGGCTTTAGATTCACCATGTCAAAGCCACCAATTCTACATTCTCAAAAATAGGAAACATGGCTTCAAGGAAGCACATAGACTCATTCCTTGCAGATGTTTAAAGCCGAAAGGAAAACAGCCACCTGCTAGGATAGGTGAGACTCCGTCCTGACCGACAGGCACAGAAGAAAGGACTAGGTGTCACTGTCACTGGAAACACTGGAATCCTGCCCAGGAATGGACTAAAATTCTACAGAAGGGATCTGAATGCTTCTCTGAAAGATGCTGACCTGAACTCCTAATTCTGAACCTGCCAACCACCATCAGTAAAGGAAAGGAGTCCAGGCCATGTATGTCCACATTGCTGTGTACTGTCCCTGACCCCCTGATCCCCAACTCCAACCATACACAATCCAGAGTCAACTACGCCAGAGCCTGCCTGCTATGTTACCACCCTGCCAGTCTTTCCATTGTCCCAACTTCTTCCCTTTCCGGGGTCTGAGCCTTTAAAGGTCATCTCTCAAGCTTTCGCCCATGTCTCTGTGCCCATGTCAGGCCACAGCTTCCTTTCTTACCTTCTTGCCCAGTATTCTTCCTCTTTCTCTCTCTTACCCCAAACTCCAGAGTACCATTTGCCAGCTGACACATTTTCTTAAGAAAGGACCAATGGTAAAGGATGGGGAGGGGGCTGTGTCTCTGTGCAGTAGGTGGTGAGTGTGGCCTCTGAGATGGATCAGACTGTCTCACCCCAGAGAAGGTAGAAGGAGAGACCTCCAGGGCCACCACACAAAACATCAGCAACCCAGAAGCCTTTGTGCTGATGGAAAGAGCAATGAAGAGCTGGGGGGCCCACCCAAGAAAATCCTTGTTATCATGTCACAAGCCTAAAGGTCCCACTCTGGTGACTTACAACTCTGGACCAAGGCCTGCAATCACATCACTTGATGTCTGAGTCTCTCAACTGCCTCCAGGACCCTGCGCAGCCTTAGTTTCTTCCCATTTTTAAAGGAAGATGATAAAGATATTCCAGGCGACAGAAAATACAGTGTCTTGTTTCTAATCTGTAACTGTAAACTTGTTTTTTAAACAATTTTATATATGGTTCCATAAAATGTAAATTAAAGACCAAGGCTGATTTACTAAGTGGGGATTAGAAAATCCTAAATAAAGAGGGAAAGATTGGTGTGGTTGCTTGATTGGTTTACTTGCTTGCATTTCTTCTTTTGTTCATTCATTCATGAGTCCATTGTCCATTCATCCATCTACTTATTTTTAAATATCACATTTGCTTGAATAGGAGGTAAAGCTCTCTACCTTCCCAAATTATCTGTCAGAAAGGAGAAAGTTTATATCCAAGCCCTTACAGAATCTTTCATGTTATGGGTTGCTTTCTCAATTATCTTATTTTGAACAACAATATACTGTTTGGGAAAAGTATTAGCACTCCAATCAATCAAGGCTAGTTTGGGATGCTTACAAAGGTTACTTAAAAGAATTGGTTTTTATGAAAAGCAACCACCATACTATAATATAGATTCAGCAATTTTTCTTTTTAAAATTTTTTCTTTCTTTCTTTCCATAGGTTTTTGGGGAACAGGTGGTGTTTGGTTACATAAATAAGTTCTTTAGTGGTCATTTCTGAGATTTTGATGGACTCACACCACTGGAGCAGTATATATTGCATCCAATTTGTCTTTTATCCCTCACCCCCCTCCCACCCTTTCCCTCGATTCCCCCAAAGTCCATTGTATAATTCTTATGCCTTTGCATCTTCATAGCTTAGCTCCCTCAGCAATTTTTTTGAGGGCATAACCTTAAAATTTCAAGTGCTAAATGTTGTAAACAAACCTTTAAAAGATCATTGTCTAAAAAGCAGTGTACTGAGTGGTTATATTGTTGACATAAAAAATAAATACTTTGTAAAGGATTTGAACAGACATTTTTTTTCCCAAGAAGACATACAAATGGCCAACAAGAACATGAAAAGATGTTCACCATCATTAATTATCAGGGAAACGCAACTGAAAACCACAGTAAGATACTACTTCATCCCCACTGGGATGGCTAACAACGAAATTACAGACAACAACAAGTGTTGGCGAGAACGTGGAGGTATTAGAACCAAGAAGTACTGCTGATGGGAATAAAAAATGAGGCAGCTGCTGTGAAAAACCATTCAACAGTTCCTCAAAATGTTAAACAGAGTTATCACAGGACCCGGCAACTCCACTCTTAAGTCTATAGCTCAGAGAAATGAAAACATATGTCCACAAAAAAACTTGTATGTGAATGTTTATAGCAGCAGTACTTACAATGGTCAAAAAGTGGAAACAATCCAAATGTTTACTAATGAAGAGATAAACAAAATATGGCATATCCACACAACAAAATGTTACTCATCAATAAATATCAATCAAAACGAAACGAAGTACTAATAGATGTTACAACATGGAGGAAGTTTCAAAACATTGTGCTAAGTGAAAGCAGCCGTCGCGAAAGGCCACAGTGTTGTACAATTCCACTTATATGGAATGACCAGAAAAGGCAGATCCATAAAAATAGAAAGTAGATTAGTCTTGCCAGGGGACGGGGGAGTGGAGAACACGGTGTGACTGCTTATGGTACGGGGGTTTCTTTTTGGAGTGACGAGAATATTCTGCAATTAGATAGCAGTGATGGAGGGCCAGGCGCAGTAGCTCACGCCTGTAATCTCAGTACTTTAGGAGGCCAACGCGGGTGGATCACTTGAGCTAGGAGTTCAAGACTAGCCTGGCCGACATGGTGAAACCCCATCTCTACTAAAAAATACAAAAACTAGCCAGGCATGATGGCAGGTGCCTGTAATTCCAGCTACTTGGGAGGCTGAGGCAGGAGAATCACTTGAACCCAGGAGGGAGAGGTTGCAGTGAGCTGATACCATGCCATTCACTCCAGCCTGGGCAACAGAACAAGACTCTTGTCAAAAAAAGAAAAAAAGCGGTGATGGTTGCACAACTCTGTGAACGTACTAAAACTCATTGAATTGCACATTTTTAAAAGGTGAATTTTACGGTATGTGAATTGTATCTCAAAAAACTACTATTCATCAATAAGTATTAATTAGCGGTTATTAAAAAACTGGCAGTGGCGGGGGGAGGGGGGACGGGTGGTGGGGACGTGGGGCTGAGGCAGGAGAATCGCTTGAATCCAGAAGGCAGAGGGTGCAGTGAGCCGAGATTGTGCCACTGCACTCCAGCCTGGGTGACAGAGAGAGACTCCGTCTCAAAAATAAAAAATAAATAAGTAAATAAACTCCTTTTGGATCAATTTGAAACAGCTAACTCTCTTTAGACCACAGGGACTATGATGCCCACAGAACATGAAGAGCTGATGCAGAAAGGGTTCTGGTGACAAGAAGGACACTGATGTCAGAGATGGGAGTGAACAGTTACAATGTTTCCTAAACTGGGAGAGTTGGGGGAAAGCAGTATTTAAGTTAATGTATTGTTATTAGCATGTGATTGAAAATGTATCGCTAAAATAATCTATTCAACATTATCCTACAAAGTTTACATATGAAAATAAGCTTTTTAATTTTTTTTTAGCAGCCCTCCTTATTGGGAGAACAGAGCTGCCTTATATCAGGCACACATTGTACGTACTCAATGCCAGCTGTGTGTCAGGTACCAGGCTGTGTCCTTGGGATGTAACAGTGACTCTCCATACAGATACGGTTCTTTCCTCAACAGGGCTTATGGCCTAGTTTGTCTGAATTAAAAAGGAGCTCAAGTTTGAGGTCATTTTTATGAAAGGTTTGTAGAACGGATGATAATATCTTATGAGAGATGTTCTTAATCTTTTGGGGTCACAGGTGCCTTGGAGAGCCAGATGATAGCAATGAACTTTCTTTCATAAACATATGCATTTACTCTTTGGTAAGAATTACACATATCTTCTTTCAGGGAGTTCAAATCTACAGCCCCTCCCGCCACTCACACATACATAAACCTGCCATGCCCCAGGCTGGACTTACGACTTTGACATTGTTCTTTTCCAAGTCCATTTGCACCTACAGCCATTCTCCAGCTCCCATGACACATACACAATGAGCACCTCACGAGCCTGAGACCCGGAAAGAATTCCAGATGACCTGCACCCCAGGAGATCCATGGAGGGGACTCAAGGGCCTGGTAGGTACCTCGCCTTCTCACTTCAACCCTGGATAGGAATATTTTTGCCTGGTTTATATTGGGCTCTTGCCTAAGATCTGCTTTGAAGAAAGCTTTGCTAAAAAGTCCCCACACCCCCTGATTGCACATACAAATAAAAAACAGGAGGCTTGAACAGGCTTACCCAGGGGACTCACCCCATAGCATGTGGTGGGATATGAAGGAGGCAGTGACTAGCCCAGGGCTCCTAGGCTCAGGGCAGCTCCTGTGCCCTCTTCCAGGGACCCCCAGGGCATGAACACAGGCTGGGGCTGAGTCTTCAGTGTTGGGTGCAGAAAGCATTTTTCTTTTCTCTTTTTTTTTTTTTTTTTTTGAGACAGTGTTTTGCTCTTTTGCCCAGCTAGGCTGGAGTGTAATGGCATGATCTTGGCTCACTGCAACCTCCGCCTACTGGGTTCAAGCCATTCTCCTGCCTCAGCTTCCCTGGTAGCTGGGATTACAGGCCTGCGCCACAATATCCGGCTAATTTTTTATTTTTAGTACAGATGGGGTTTCTCCATGTTGGTCAGGCTGGTCTCAAACTCCCAACTTCAGGTGATCTGCCCGCCTTGGCCTCCCAGAGTGCTGGGATTACAGGCATGAGTCACTGCAATTGGCCCTGAAAGCATTTTTCTATACAGGGTCAAGTAAAGACAGGGAGAGGGCTCAGAGGCTGCACTGGTGACAATGCAGATAAACGAGGTGATTGTCGAACAAGTGTTTGCAAATCTCGAGCTTCCCAGGGCCAGAAAGCTCAGAGTCCAGCAGCCAAGGCTATGTCTGTGTACACTGGAGGTCAAAGTCAAGTTACTAAAAACTGTCAATCTCTGCCTTGTAAATCTCTCCCATTTTCCCGGAGCATTGCACCCTCTGCCAAGGCTGCCTAACTTCTTTCCTCCTCCCCATCTTTCTCCTCTCATTCAGCCTGGCCTAGTTGTACTCAACAGTAGGAGGAGGAGAGAAAAGGGAAAGGCAAGACTCACAGAGATTAGAGAGAGTTAGGAGTGGTTTAATAAAGAAATGATGGAGTTCCTGCCCTAGACTGCTGACTCCCTCTCTCTCGGCTGTAGGAAATCTCCACCTTCAGGACAGGCAAGAAGGGCATCCTAACCACAGGGCAAGAATTCAAGAGACTCGGGATGTGGCCCCTATTCTAGTTGCAACTGGCTGTTGCGACACCCACTGCGGGGAATGAGGAAGCGCTGTCTGGCTCACTCCGTGTGAGCCAGGCATGAGTGTGCAGGGAGGGAGGGATCCCTTTTCACAGGCCCAGGGAAATGCAATTTTCTATCCTTGGAATTTGACGGTATAAGGAAGAAGAACAAAATAAAAGGCATCTCCCTGCTGTGGAGGAATGTAGCATCAGGTTGAAAAATAGATTCTGGGAGATCCCAGGATGCAAAGAAGCCCAGAAGCTGCCATGGGGAGCTCAGATGTCCTCCAAAAGGGTGGGTCACCGACTGAGCCTTAAAGGAGTAAGTAGGACTGGTGAAGTGCATGGGGCTGGCATTCCAAACAGAACACAGGACTTGAGCAGAGGCTTGCCAGAGACTGGGGAGCACACCAGGCTGGCTGGGGCTTCATTTGGGTATGGGGAAAGTTTAGTTAGAAGAGCAGATCAAGGTTGGATTATGGGAGGCACTGAATGGTAAATTTAAGGGGGCTGGATTTGCCTGCAGGCATTGGGGAGCTTCCAAGGGAACCAGAGATAGGACGAAGCTCTTGGGTAAAAATATGAAGCAATATTAGGTAATATGATTTGGGTCAGAGTAGGGGCCATAGAAACGGGAAGGAAGGAATGAAAGGCATGAAGAAAGAATCTGCAGGATTGAGTGATGGGCAAGATATGAGCAGAAAAAAGTGGGGGCGTGGAAAGAGGGGAGGCAATAGCAAGGTTTCTGACCTGAGTGTGTGGGAGATGAACAACCCCATGAAGAGGAGAGAAGCCAGGAGGAGAGATGGTTTGGCGTGAGAAAAGGAGGAGTTTAATTTCTGAGATACAGCATTGAAGAAGACAAGCTCCTCAAGTGGGAATATCTTACAGACTCTTAGAAGTGAGGGCTAAGGGAGGGAGGGAGGGTCCTGGGAATCATCACATCTGGATGGTCACCGGAGACATGATGGAGAAGGGGCCTGTGGATCTAAGTGCATATTCCTGACTTGATACTTCAAGGTGCTGCCAGATAGAGGTTGAGACAGGCTTGGCATTTAACACACTCCTAGCAGAGGGGAGGCCCAGGGGGAAGCGGCCAGGCTGGGAATCAAGAATATGGAAGACAGAGGTGAAGAGGAATGGTGGGTTTCTCATGGATGTTCTCATAAGTTATATATCTCTCAAATTCATCAAAGAACCAATTTCAGCTCAGAGAAAGTAGAAGCCTCCAGGGGATGCCTGCATGCTCCACAGGACCGCAAAGTATCTGAGTTACGCAATTTATTCAGATGTGTGAGGCCTGAAATATTACAACACTCTCTTATCTGCTCCCTTGCGAATTCAAGCTCTCTTCACTCTCATCCACTCTACACACCAGAATCTGACCCTCGCACCTCCACCGAAGTCAGCATGGTCAACAGCTCCTACTGCCTTCAGAATAAAGCCCCATGGCTGTCTGGGACTTCCAGGATAACTCCCAAACACATTGGCCTCCCTGTCCAAGCCTTATCTTCCGTTCCACCCCCAACTCTGATTGCCTTTTGCCACTCTTGGTTCCACCCAAAATGAGTCACTCAAACCACACCTCTCCATCTCTCTGCTGTTATTTATACTCTTCTTTGACTACAGCCACCATCTCAAGTTCCCACAGTGTATCCTGTCTATCCTTTCAGAGCTTTGCCAAATGCCGTCTCCTCCAGGAAGCATTCCCAGAGTCCATAGCCAGAAGGAATCTCTGCCCTGCAATCTCATAGCACTTCGTGCCTCTTTTATGGCACATTATTTACCTTTAAGTAACTTAGAGTTAAATAAATATCTTACAGTTCTTTATCTTCATGTATTGCCTCCCCTACCATACTATAAACTTTGTGAGGACAGATATAATTCCTCAAATTAGGGGGAAGAAGTGGTGGTTCATGCCTGTGATCCCAACACTCTGGGAGGCCGAAGCAGAATTGCTTGAGCCCAGGTGTTCAACACCAGCCTGGCCAACATAGCAAGACATCGTCTCTACAAAAATTTTAAAAATTAGCCGGGTGTGGTGGCATGTGCCTGTGGCCCCAGCTACTCAGGAGGCTGAGGCCGGAGGATTGCTTGAGCCTGAGAGGTCAAGGTTGCTGTGAGGTGTGATCGCACCACTGTACTCCAGCCTGAGCAACAGAGTGAGATTCTGTCTCGAAATGAGATAAAAAAAAAAATTGGGGGAAGAAAAACTATACCCTGAGAGTAAAGGGGGTGATGGGGAGAAACATTCAACAAGTGCCTAGAACAAATTACAAATTAGCAAAGTAAGGCTCAGAGAGGTTCTATCACTTGGCGATGTCAGACAGGCAGAGTATGACAGAGTCGAGAGTCAAACCCACCACGTTCTGATCCCAAATTCATCACTTTTCCTGGGACAATGCCTGTGATGTTTTATGGGGGATTTTCACACAGTCAAGTATTTCTCTCCATTACCCTATTAGGGAGGCAGTACCAATTCTTCATCTTCAAATGAGAAAAGGAAGGCTTGAAGAGGAAAGAGATTTAGCCAATGTACCCCAGTTAACAGGTGAGAGAATCTACACCAAAGCTCAGGCCTCCTGCCCTCTGACTCTCTTTCCTCTTGCCCGGGCTGAAAAACTGCCTGAGCTTCTGCCTGTAATGAGCTAGGGGCTGGGATTCAAACTTGCAGTGAGCCACTTGCAGCTGTCTTGGTTGGCACCGCTGTCTGCCAGCACCAAACATCTGCCTAAATAGCGGAGGGGATGTGACCGGATGTTGCCAAGAGCCTCTGCAGAGGTGCAAAGTGCAGCAGCATCAGATCTCTCATAACCTACCTGGGGTGGGACCTGGGGGCGGGGACTGGGTACATGGAGCTGGGTGAGAGGGGTTGGGTTTTGACTCCAAATACTGCCAGAGAACATAGAAAAGCACTTGAGGTTCCCAGAGCAGTGGGATGGACATAGTACATTAATTTAGAAATCAGAAACCCTAAATCAGTACATTAATTTAGGGTGTGGTGGCTCACACCAGTAATCCCAGCACTTTGGGAGGCTGAGGGGAGTGGATCACCTGAGGTCAGGAGTTCGAGACCAGCCTGGCTAATATGGTGAAACCCCGTTTCTACTAAAAATAAAAGAATTAGCCAGGGATGGTGGTGGGTGCCTGTAATCTCAGCTACTCGGGAAGCTGAGGCAGGAGAATCTCTTGAACCCAGGAGGTAGAGGTTGTAGAAAGAAAATAAGCCAGGTGTGGTGGCATGTGCCTGTAGTCTTGGCTCATGCCCCTGCACCCAAGTGAGACTTTGTCTCAAAAAAAGAAAAGAAAAAAAAAAACCAGAAAATGATGGTGCTCCAAGTGGTCAGAACCACCACAGGGGCCATTCCGTCCCAGGTGAGAAAGGTGAGAAGGGAACCCCCAGAAGAGCAAAACCCAAACTCAGGTCAGAATTCCCAGTACACCCCTCCCCATCAATCACCCCCATATGAACCAGTGGGACTGCTATGGCTTGTGGGGGGCAGGTTCTCACAGAATCAGGTGCAAGGCCCTCAAGAAAGAAAGGGCATTAAAAGGGGGTCTGCCCCCACAATTATTGGGAGAATTGGTCCAATTTAAAGGAAGACAAATGCAGGAGATGTGAATTAAACCTGGTACCGAGCTCTAAACCCTGGGCGAGGTGGATTCTTTGAGCCCTCCTGTCTCTAGTGAGTGATCTTACCAGATTCTGTGTGGGTGGATTTCAGAACATAAAAGGAAGAGAGAGAACTGGAGAGGGGGAAGATGTTAGCGAACACAGCCAAGCTAGGAAACGGGAAGGCTTGCCTCCCGCAGGTATTGGCCATTGCTGATCTTGGTTTTAGTCACACTAACTGGCTGCCTCATAAAAGCAGCAACCACCTTAGTGCTGGGAAAAGGTAAGAGGCCACGAAGACCACTAAACTCAGAGCAGCGTCCACCCCTGCAGGCCCCCTGTGGCCTACCTGGAGGGTCTCCTGAAAATTAAACTCTGCATTCACACCAACCTGCCCGCTGCATCTGGGTGAAAAGTGTGTCGGAACATGCAGCCTCAAGTCTGCTCTTCTTAATAAACTGTCACCATGAGTAATAATTATTCCTTGAGAAATAGCAGAGTGACTCAAAAAGCTATCCCCTCCCCCTCTGCCGCCCCCTTGCACAGCTCGCAGCTTTGTACACAGAGTTAGGAGGCCCAGAAAGTGAAGCCACCATTTTCTCCTACCTGTCAGCTCTCTGAACGCTTTAAATGACCATCTAGACTTCAGTGCCGGCTGGGCATTCGTAGACAGTCTCTTCGCTGTCTAAAGAGTTAATGAGGGCTGGCTGTTGCCAAAACACAGTGAACTGAGAGTGGGATTAGGCAGAAACAAACATCATTGAATACCTGATGTATGCTTGTGAGAGAGTGCTCAGGGGAAGCTGCCTGATGCCTCGCAGAAGAGGACCTATAACCTCTGGAAAAATAAATGGTGCTGCCCCGCCAGCTCAGATATGGCCATATGTGTAAAGATACCAGAGAGCTCATACTTATTGGATGCATATCATCTGCCTAATTATGGGACTGAATGTTTTATTGTACTTCGACGCTATTATTATTCAGTGGGTGCATAAGATGCTATTATTAAGCGGGTGCATCTGGGTTGTTGAAATATCGAAACAGTCCATCCTCGTTGGATATGTCCACGCTACAGCCCTCCAAAGGCCTGTTTCTTCCACCCCCAGACTCCACAAGATGCACTGACGGGGTGAGCCTGGCATGGAAGGGGGCCTCTCTGACGCTGCTCAGAGTAATGGTGGTGTCTGTTCTGTTTGATCTGTACTCAGGTTTTAGTAGCTGTATTTTGAATATCTCTCTAATGTACACTATCTCATGCCACCCTCACCCAAAGCCCTGTTATTGTCTCCATCTTGCAAATAGGAAGCTAGGGCTAACTCACCTACCTAACGTCACTCAGGGGGTACCAAACCTGGGCTGGAACCCAGGCAGACTGACTGAGCCTGAGCTCTTGACCATCCGACTGCTTGGACAGATAAGGCATATCAGTGTTGCAGAGTCACCACTATCCCTGCTCTTTCTCCTTAACCCTGGAACTGACCCGTACTCTACAAGGAAACTCTTCATCCTCAAGCCAGCAAAACTTATCTTCATCACCACACTTTCAGCCCCGGGCACGTCGCAGCTCTGCACCTCTACTCCATCCCCCAATGTGGCCATTTACCTGGGAGGCCAGGGTCACATGGTCCTGAGACATATGGGTCCCAGGCAGGGGAAACTAGAGACTGAGTGACCTACCATGCAGGGTAGCCCCAGGGTAGCCTCCCTCCCCTCCCTAGCCTCACCATCAGTTTCCTTTGTCCTAGCAGTATTTGGGGTACATGGAGCTACTGTCGTCACTATGGAGAGCTAAGTGCCAAGGGACTTGGACTTTCTCCAGGGTCCTCTGCACGATGAAACATGGCCGGATCTGCAATGGGAAGACTCAGGCTGATACAGGTGGGAGTTTGTGTCTCTGAAGGATGCATGATGCTAGAAAGATTGCATACAGCCAGACGCGGTGGCTCACACCTGTAATCCTAGCACTTTGGGAGGCTGAGGCAGGCAGATCATGAGGTCAAGAAATTGAGACCCTCCTGGCCAACATGGCGAAACCCCGTCTCTACTAAAAATACAAAAATTAGCTGGACGTGGTGGTGCGTGCCTGTAATCCCAGCTACTCGGGAGGCTGAGGCAGGAGAATCACTTGAACCCAGGAGGCAGAGGTTGCAGTGAGCTGAGATCGCGCCACTGCACTCCAGCCTGGGCAACAGAGTGAGACTCCATCTCAAAAAAAAAAAAAGGTTGCACGCAAGGGCTCCTTCCTTGAAGATCTTCTCTAAGTTGGACACTGCCTAGTCTAGAATGAATTAGGTCCATCCTGGCTAGAGTTATGAGAAGGGCTATGCCTTCTGAACGACCTGCTTGGTCCCCAAACTGCCCTCACATCAAGGTTCACTCAATGTGGAATGCTGTTTCCCTGAGAATGTGCATGGGCTCTACAGCCATCCTCAGGGAATGACACGTGTCTTTTTATGCAGGACTTATCATAACCTTGATCTTGCAAATATTCAAGACACATGTCCAAGTGCAGGCTCATTTGAACGTTTCATCAGTGGAACACCTCTATCCATCTCACGCCATAGGGTCTCTCTCAACACCACCTGGGCAAACAATCCAAGGGCCTGGGGACAAAATGTTTATCACAGGGGGATGGGGAGATTTAGCCACTGGAAAGAAGGACCATTTTTAACCTAGCCGTTCCCACAAGGGAAACACACTTTCCATTTCCTCTTTCTCTTAACGAATTCTTAACTTCCTCTAGGTTCCCTTTTAGGAGGACCCTAATTTGTTGTTACAAATGCTCCCATTAAAGTCAAAATCCAGTTCATAAGGCACCTTCACTTCCTCTATCTCTTAGCGCTACTTTTCTAATAAGGAACTCATCCTAAAACTGGGAATCATGACAGCCAAATTTCATGGCGCATTTGTCTGCGCTGAATATTTTATCTGGATTCTCTACTTTAATTCATTCACATTTCCCTTCAGTTAATTCTACTTTGAGTCACTCTCTGCCCACCCACCATCCCTCAAGAAGAGTGTTATATCTCCACCCCTTGAAGCAGGTCATATGGGAAGGGAGTAGCAAAGCTAAAAACATAATGCAGACTCTGTCCCCAACCCAAGGGCTAACCCCACGAGTTCTCACTGGAAGCATGAACCCTACTATGTATTTCACCTGAGACCTCCAAGTGCTCACTTGTGGAAGTAAATGAACCCAAGCACTCTGTGGCTGTTGCTTTGCTCAACCCTGTGAAGGTGTTGCAAAATTCAATATGTACCATGTTTCCTTTAGTACTCACTAGGCAATTTACATACATTATCAGGGATCCTCCCAACCACCTGCACAAACAGATACTCCTGCCCTCATTTCAGAAAAGAGGATTCTGAGGGTCAGAGAAGCTCACCGGTCTACATGGATTTGAACCCAGATCTGTCTGGATTTAATGTCGTTTTTTCTGAGGTACCATACTCCTTCACCTGTATAGATGAATAAACTGACCAAGGAATTGATTTTTTGTTTTTTAAATGAGCTCATAATAAAATCCAGGAGGAATGGTTACAAGATAGACCTGAGACTGTTCTCAGAGTGCCTGGGCAGTTTCCAGCCTTTACTTCACAGCATTGCGCCAACCTCAGCTTCTCCTAGAGTAGGGTTGCCAGATAAATACAGGACACCCAGTTAAATGTGAATTTCAGAGAAACAGTGAATAATGTTTGAGTATAAGTATGTTCCATGTAGTTCATGAGACATATTTGTAGTGAAAAAAAAAACCATTGAGTGCTTATCTGAAATTCAAATCTGAGTGTCCCGTGCTTTTATTGGCTAAATCTGGCAATCTCTTCCTGCTGGGAAGTCTCCTGCCTGGCTCCAGGTCCCAAGTGTTGCTCCAACAGAAGTTGCCATGGCAGCCTGGCAGGCCTTCCAAAGCCTTCTAGAGCAGTCTCCACTCACCCCTGCAGCTTCCCCTCGCCCCTGCACGCTCTAGGTTCCCAACAAGCCCAGCTACTTTCATTTTCCTGGATGCCGCCCGCTGCTTCCAGCCTCCTGCTGCTTTTAGCCTCCAGTCTCTGCACTTGCTGTTCTTTCCCCTCTTCTCTTGTGCTAATTTCTAGTCATCCTTCAGCTCTCAATTTGGAGTCACTTCTGCCAGGACGCCCTCCTGGCCATTGCTGACTGGCTCCCCCCACAGCCCTCTAGTGCAGGGTTGGATAGTACCCTGCACCTTCCCCTGGCAGCCCTCCCTCAACCACCCGGTATCCCACACTGCCCTGGTGAGCAGAGGCCATGCCACACTCACCTTGTCCCCACACCTTGCACCTGGCCGCAGGTGGGAAGCCAGTGAGTGCCTCCTGAATGGATGACTGCAGACTGTCCCACCAATGCTGGGGCTCTCCAGTGTGACTACTTCCTTCCTCCCTTCTGTCTTTAGTCACTTTTTCATCAGTGTCCTCCTCCCCCTCCCCCAGAGTGGTTGGGAAAGACAGGGCCTTCAGCAACAGCACTTGGGGTGAACAGAGAGCATCCCACGTAGAGGGGCCTCCCAGCACCCACCACCACATCACACCACGTGCACTGCCCCAGTGGGCTCAGACCCAGCCACAGCGCAGCTTCCGAGTTCCTCCTGGCTAAAGCCACCTCTAGGCACAACTTTCTGCTCTTGTCCTTCTGCTGGCTCCTTAAATGAGCGGACTTGGATTTTGCTCCCAGTTTGGGGTATAGGGAGATGCCAGTGTCATGTGGTCGAGGCTTAGGGCAGGTGGCAGGGCTTGCAGAACATCACCCATATGCCGCTCCACGCTCACCCACCCAAAGCGGTGCCCACGCGCAGCCTGACAGCAGGCAGAGGCAGCTCTGAACTTAACCCTTGAGTGGCACTCAGGAGGCGGCTTCTCAAGATACCAGAATGGCCAGTGTTAACTACACACACACACACACACACACACACACACACACATACACACGAGCTCCCCTGTGCCCCAGAACACCCTTGCTTTCCTCCAGCCAGGGCTTGATTCAGAAGATGACCTCTCAGGTGCAAGGAGTGGCTGCAGGAGAGTCAGGGTGGGCTGGGGGTGAGACTATAACCCCTGGGGCTGCGGAAGGGCCCGGGAGGGAGCGGGGAGCGGGGGCAGGAGCTGAAACCCCGTGGCTCCCTAACCTGAGCTTTAGAGGCAGCAGCCTGGCTGTGCCCTCACACCGTCACCCCTAGCCTCCCCCAGCCTCCCCTGTCTGAATATGTTGAGAGGACAAAGAGGGAGAAACACCCTATAGTGTCAAATTTACTCCAAAAATAGAACCCCTCTTCCCCGCGGAAGGCTGGCGAGCTCCGGGCATGTGCACAGCACCCACGGCTCCGATTTCCTGGGTCTGGCCGTTTCTCCGGGAACTCCCAGCTCAGGTGCCCAGGATCCCGGAATTGTCCCCAACCCCTGCCACCCGGTCAAGCCTCCAACTTCTGCCGGGCGCAGCGCTCAGCCCTGGCTCGCGGGAGGGACTCACCCAGGGAGGCGCGGACTCCAGCGACTACTCCTCGGGCACCGCCAGGTGAGCCGGGACGGCGGCAAGTACAGGTAAGTCGGCCGGGCAGGTAGGTGTGCAACGGCTCCGGAGGCTGTGGCTGAGTAAAAGGGCTGACAGGTTAGATTCTCCCTCCTCCTCTGAGTTGTTAACCACACCCCTGCTGCTCTCCTCCCCACTTCCTTAAAGGGTGGGGTGTGTTGTCTGTGTGTGCCGGCTCCAGCCTCTTACCATAAACTCTGAAATAGACGCTGCCACCAATTCCCTGAGCGCCGGGCAGACCTGGGGGGCGATCTCTGCCATTCCCCCGGCCGCAAATGGGATCCTCGGATGTTATGTGCCCCTTGTGAGCAGTTAACTCCCCAATTCCTAACACCCCTCCATCCTCTGTCCACTCCACCTGCAGCCTTTTGGAGGCCAAAAGGTGTGTGTGAGGTGGGTGGGGGCGCAGGGCGGGCGGAGGAAACCAACTTCTCAGGCTGGTTCTCCCAAGACCCCCCGCAGTGGGAGATGTTATATCTACATGGTACTGAGCACTTGTGTCCTAATCTCTCCATGTCCTAAAGTGGCCCCAGTCCCTTTGCAGGCATGAAAAATCATAAATACCACTAGGGATTTTGGCAGAACCGGTCCAGGTCCCTGAACACAGAAGACCAGGTCCCTGAGCTGTGACTAAGTAGGGTCTGAGGACAGCACAAGAATAGTTAGAGATGCTGGACAGCCCCTTCCAGGGGCCCCGCCCAGAGGCTGGTCCCCTCTTTCCTCAGGCCGGTGATATGTGAGCAGGCACTCAAGGGCACTTAGCAACACTTCTTCCCTATCCCTAGGAAAACTCCAGACTTGCTCCTGAGTAGGAGGAGGAAGTGACCTGGACTTGGCATAAAGTGAAAAAAGTGGAGTGTACGCAGCATCATCCTCATCCTACAATGTCCTCTCCAGAGCCCCTGTCCCAAGCTTCTTTATTCTGTGTCCTGTGCAGGATTGGAATCTGATTCCCAGAGCTGCCCTGTTGCACAATTCTAGAGGATGCTATTCACAATGTACTTTCTGAGAATGGCGCCCCCTGGAGTTGTGCTGAGGAAGCACTCAGTTTCCAAGATTGCACTGACTCCTTCCCATTTCTGAAAAGAAACTGGAGACTTAGATAAGTTAACAAAGCTAGGAAGTCAATGTTTCTCAAAGTATAATTAGTGGACTACCCATAGCTATTGGCTGGATGTCACTCTGGGTCCGATGAAGATCAGACTCTCTGCAGCTAGGGCCCACCTGCCCAGCATGGGGCTCACAACCCATTGATGGGCACTGCCAGCCTTGACAGCTGGAGCCCCCCCACCCCTTCCCATTTGTGCTATTCACAGATTTGTCACGTTCCCAGCACTCAGCATTTTGGAGGTAATCTTGGTGACTACACAGCGGTCAGCAGGTCAGAAGGTGGTCAGGTGGGAGAACTTGGCCAGGGATGGAGAGGCAAGTCAGACAGAGGTACACTGAAGTTAGCAGGGAAGGTGTGGGGATGAGGAGGCAGGTAATTGACTACATGGCAAGGACATGGTCAGAGGGCATCTGACAGTGGGTGTCCCCTCCGTATTCTTGCGCTTGGAAATGAAGTGATGAAGGCTGAGTGGCACAAAAGTTAGATACCTGGGTGAGTTGTTGAGAGTCTGTACTAGGAGGTGGCAGTGGGAACTAAAAGCAAAGACAATCAAGACCTGTTTAAGAAAAGGAGAGTTTGTGTGTGCTGCCCCTGTGTGGCCACATAAATGAACTACAATCTTATCTTGCTGGGACCAATTCTGGGAAAGGTGAGTTTTCAGAGGTTGTTGAATTCTTCAGCACTTTAAAAAAAGAATCTCCCAAATCTACCTCACAGAATCATAAACCCATAGCTTTTTAAATGAAAAAGACATTGAGAAACTCTCTGGGGTGGCCAACTCCGCCATCAGGTCTCCCTAGGTTCTGTCCAGTGTCATGTACAAGCAACTCAGGTGACAAGGTCATGCATTTCTGCCTGTTACTGCCTTTTAAAAAAACCCATCAGAAATGCCTCAGGAGCCCTCAAATTCCATGGAAATCCCTAAAAGACACTATCCATGGCGATGCTCTCCATATGGCATAAGTTGCAATAATGATCTACCCCAGTTAGAGAAGAAAAATATTTCCCTTCTACTTCTGTATCTCAAGCTGACCAAGTGCCATGTGGGAGGCCCTAATTGTGGGGGTGTTGGGGGGATGCATACCTGGATCAGAAGAAGGAGAAAACTGTAATGAAAAAGGCCTTTGAACAAATGTCCTTTCAGCTGCTGGACTCTTCCATTTGGATGTTCCACTCTTACCCCAAACTCAGGTCTATAACCCTGGCTCATATTGCTCTTCAAACAAGCCCCGTTCCAGCCCTCCCTGTGAATGTCAACAAAAGAGAAGTCACCTTTGACTCTCCCTCTCCCTCCTTACCCTGCAGCCATGCAATCTCCAATCTCTAAGTCCTGGGAGTCCCACAAACTTTTTTCCTATTCCTCGTTTTCTTTCCTGTCCTATTGACCCATCCTGGTTCAGGTTCTCTTTTCTTATCTTTTCACTAACTGGAGATCACAAAGGTGGTTGAGCTGGTGATTAACTTTTGGGATGGCATTTGAAACCACAAGAATGGATAAACTTGTCTAAGGCAAGAGTCAGAGACAGCAGAGGACTTCAAGTGAAGCTCTTACCAGGAGCAAATGAATGAAGAGCCAAAGGTCAAGTGGGGTGGGCTGATAAGTAAACTGAAAGTGAAGACACAGAGGCGGCACGCGCTGATGAGTCCTGGAAAGCTTGACTGCCAAGGGCAATTGAGACCAGGGGATATTGGAGGGGGTCGTGGGTTGAAAGAGGACTGATTTGTCATTTAGGATGATAGCCAGTAGAGCAGGTTTCAATGCTCACAGGAAGGATCCAGTCAAGAGGGAAGAGGTTGTGACTTTGGACATGCGAATCCATCTTTCTGAGCTTTTATTTCCTAATCTAGAAAAGTAGAAAAATAAGTATTATCTGTTCTACCTGTTTCCCAGGGTATTGTGAAGCCCAAATTAAGTGATAGGTGTACAAATGCTATGAAAAATTCTATAGCTATAATTTTTAGAAATGATAGCAATTAAAGTAAGCTTTATGGGGAGATAGTACATACATACCTGCCATATAGTTTATCAAGTGTTCACTCTGTGCCAAGAACTTTCATCTGCCGTCTAGCTTGTCTTCACAACCGTCTATGAAGTTGCTAGTCCTATTCCTGGTTTGCAGAAAGGAAAAGGAAGCTTGGATAAGGTAAATAAATTATTCACAGGCTCCCAGGTGGTAAAGAGCAAAACCCATCATTGGCAGGGCTGCGACATTATGTAACTGGCATCTCTCCATTGTAAATGATGGAATTTAAATTACATCATGTAAATTTACTATTATGTAGAATAAATTTTATTTTAAAAGAACAGTATGGTTATAAGTATTCTAACAAAAAAAATGGATAAATACAAAAACTAGCTGGGCATAGTGGTGTATGCCTGTAGTCCCAGCTCCTTGGTGGGGCTGAGGCAGGAGAATCGCTTGAACCTGGGAGGCAGAGGTTACAGTGAGCTATAATCATGCCACTGCACTCCAGCCTGGGTGACAGAGTGATAGTCCATTTAAAAAAAAAAAGGGACAAAGAAAAACTTATGGGTACAAGTACTGAAAAAAGTACTTCATCACCAAGGGATGTCTACCTCTAATTTAACCAGACATCACTATGTTTACGAAGTGGGCCACAGTTGAGGCCAAAATAAGTTGAGTATGGCTTGAATAGAACTCAAAATCATGCCCTCAACCTAAAAAAGAACTTTCTCTTTTCTTTCCTTAATATTGGAATCCCTGACTTTCAGATGGTCACAGCCTGCCCAAAATGAAGGCTACATTTCCCAGTCTCCCTTGCATGTGTGACCAGGTGCGACCATGTGATTAAGTTCTCCGCAATGGTTGAAGAGTAGAAGTTATGCACGCAACTCCAGAATCATGCCCCTCAAGGGAATGAGCACATCCTCCAATATTTTCCACTTTATCTTTTCCACCTCCACCTGACAATGAAACCTGGAGCAGCCATCCAGTCTATGATGTTAAGAATCCGGGTACCTAATGCCGTCCAGCCACCATGCTTACCCTGGACATAGTCTGAACCTAGTTTAACTTTTACATGAGAAAGAAATTTAAGTTGCTTGGGTTACTTTATTTTGGCCTTTCTGTTACCATAGCCTGAACTGCATCGGTGATACTATGACATAATAAGAAATATATATTTGGTCTCTGACCGTGCACACAACTTCTAAAACCCTTGGAATTTCTGGAGTGTTAAGAATGTTTTTTTGAGGCCAGGCATGGTGGCTCATGCCTATAATCCAAACACTTTGAGAGGCTGAGGTGGGAGGATTGCTTGAGGCCAAGAGTTCGAGGCCAGCCTGGCCAACGTGGCAAGACTTCATCTGTACAAAAAAATACAAAAATTAGCTGGGCATGGTGGTATGCACCTGTAGTTTTAGCTGCTTGGGAGGCTGATGCAAGAGGATTGCTTGAGCCCAGGAGACTGAGGATGCAATGAGCTATGATTGCACCAGTGGATGAATTTAGCTTGGGCAACAGAGCAACACCCTGTCTCAAAAAAAAAAAAAAAAAAAAAAAAAAAAAGCCTTTTGTATGCCAATGAGATGCCTGGTGGCTTAGGTATCTTAGATCCCTTAGATAGCTTCAGGATGAGGGCTGGTCATCAGAAAAACTGAGGTATGATGAGAAGGCTGAACTTTCAGCGCTATCCCTAAAACTTGGGGAAGGAAAGGGGCTGAAGGTTGAGTTGATCACCCATGGCCAATACTGTAATCAGTCATGCCTACATAAAGAAGCCTTCCTAAAAACCCAAAAGAACATGGTTCAGAGCTGAAGTTGCAGAGGTTCTCAAAGGGTGGCACTTTAAGGGAAGGCATGAAGCTCCATGCCCCTTCCCACAGACCTCACCCTGTGCATCTCTTCCCTTTGGTTGCTCACCTGTATCTTTCACAATATCTTTTTTAATAAAGGACAAAAGAAAGAAAAGTGTTTCTCTGAGCTTTGTGAGCCACTCTAGCAGATTAATCAAACCTAAGGAGGGGTCATGGGAACCCTGATGTATAGCCAGTCAGTCGGAAGCACAGGCCACAACCCGGGACTTGCTACTGGCATCTGAAGCTGGAGCGGGGTGGCAGGGTGGGGAGTTGGGGCAGTCCTGTGGGACTGAGCCCTTAGCCTGTGGGATCTGATGCTATCTCCAGGTAGATAGTGTCTGAATTGAGCTGAATTATGGGACGCTCAGTGTTGTGGGACTTTTCCTTAGTTTAGCTAAAGACGGGGTCCTTGTCTCATGGCCATGAAAGATTAGGCTCACAGACAATTTGAAGGGTGAGTAAGGCAGGGTTTTATTGGGTGAAGAGGGAAAAAAATGGCAACAGGGACCCTTCACAAAGCCAGAGTCCCTACGTGCTTCCTACCTCACAGTTTGAATCGCAGGTACCACCCAGGAAAAGGAGGGGCCAGACTCCTCCCCACTACAAACAGCAGGAACTCCTGTGGCTCCACCCCAATGCGCACTCCTCCCAGTATACAGGCTGGCTAGAGTTTCTCTGGGGACCCTTCCCACCCGGCTGTCTCACCAGCTGGTGTTCACTGGCAATCAGTTGTTGGTGGGGAGAAACTCCTGCACATCCAGCATCAGACGTGACTGTTGGGTGGTACAGAAGAGTACAGAGAAATATGCAGCGTTTTTCTTTTCTTCAGAGCATCCTAGCTAATACACCACCATTTATCCTATTTTCTTTTAGATATAAGTTAAGGCAGAACCTCAATTTTCTCATGTATAAAATGGGATTAATTTACCTTATGGGATGTTAGAAAAACTAGAAGTACATGTGCATTTCCTTGCTATTGCTATAGCTCATAACTGACCATTAATGGATATTATGTCCTGTTGTAATTTTTTTTTTTTTTTTTTTTTTGAGACAGAGTCTTGCTCTGTCACCCAAGCTAGAGGGCAGTGGTGCAATCTTGGCTTACTGCAAGCTCTACCTCCCAGGTTCATGCCATTCTCCTGTCTCAGCCTCCCGAGTAGCTGGGACTACAGGCGCCCGCCACCGGGCCTGGCTAATTTTTTTTGTATTTTTAGTAGAGACGGGGTTTCACCATGTTAGCCCGGACAGTCTCGATCTCCTGACCTCGTGATCCTCCCGCCTTGGCCTCCCAAAGTGCTGGGATTACAGGCATGAGCCACCATGCCCCACCCTGTTGTAACTTTTTAAAACGGGTTCCTGAAAAAAAAAAAAAGGTTGCTTTAAAATATTCCACCTCCCCCATCCAAAAAAAAATCTGTAGAGGGGAGAGATAAAACGAAAATAGCAAAGTTGATAATAATGCAAGCTGAATGATGGGTATGTGGGGGTTAATTATACTGTTCTCTCTAAAATATTGAGTGCATTTGAAACTGCACATAATGAAAAAGTTAAAAAAAATGAACAAAATAAGATCTTTCCACAGAGGATAAAAAAGGGCTCCTGGAAATAATCCAATGTGAATCTCTTTGGGAAAAATAAAGACATAGTTAAACCATTGAAAAATTGATTTGGGTCAATTTTTGGAAGGATGGAAAACACTGAAGAGCATTTTTAATTGTTCCATTAAAGAACAACACGAAAGGCCAGGCGCAGTGGCTCACGCCTGTAATCCCAGCACTTTGGGAGGCTGAGGTGGGCAGATCACTTCAGGTCAGGAGTTTGAGACCAGCCTGGCCGACATGGTGAAACCCCATGTCTACTAAAAATACAAAAATTAGCTGGGTGTGATGGTGCATACCTGTAATTCCAGCTACTCCGGAGGCTGAGGCAGAAGAATTGCTTGAACCCTGGAGGCGGAGGTTGCAGTGAGCCGAGGTCATGCCACTATACTCCAGCCTGGGCAATAGAGCAATACTCTGCCTCAAAAACAAACAAACAAAACCATGCAGAGAAAGCCTCAATGCCACAGAGGACACATGGTTGCCACAGAGGACACATGGTTTCCGCAGCTATTGGGCACGCTTCAGGATTTCCATAACTCCCCAGGTTGCTGCAGGGCTGGCCTGCAGGCTGCTCCTAGAAAGAGTGGCTGCCTGGAAAAGGAGACTTCCCTGATGCCCTGCCGACTCTGAATCAGCTCTATGACTTTGGTCTTCTTGGCTCTGAACCCCTAACCCCCACCTGTGAGTGGGCTCATCTGGTCCCCAACATCCCATGGATAAGCTCTGAAGCATTGAGTGACTGCCCAAACCTTGCTTGCCAGTGTCGAATTCCATAATTTTAACAAACGTGGTGATCTGGTCCCAGCCCACCGTGTGCAGGAAACATCAACTAGGAAGTGAAAGCAGATTGCTGCAGGCAAATGCATTGTTAGGAACAAGAAGAACTTCTAGACAGGAAAAAAATGCCTAGCATGTGCAAGAGCCCTCAAAACCAAGCATCTGTGGCCATTTACAGGACAGAGACAAATAACCCTGCATACTTCATTAACTCCTATTACTTTATTAGCCAGCACAGTAGAGTATTATTGTCTATTTTGGTGCATCATGAGGTATGATTTATATTACGTTCTGCATGCTTTAGAGAAAAAAAACCACAAAATATATTTCTGAAATATTCCCATTCAAAATGTTTCCAATAAAATAATTGAGTGCTTCAATATAAATTTCAGGAACATGGAAAATCAGCTTTGTGTTGTGTCCAGTTGCCAAGTTGGCTGTCTATTCCTGTACCACTCCAGTGTCTTTATAATGAATTGCAGCAATGTGTAACTTCATGTGGATGATCTAAACAAGAGGTCGAAAGCCGAAATGCCTACAGGGGCCGAGCAGGGAATGTGAGGGAAGCTGGCTGGATAGGAACTGTGGCAAATGGGAGAACAAATGTCCCTCCTACAGGGAGCAGCTGCTATTCAGCTCAAAAGTCTATTGCCATGCAGAAAAGTAAGCTTAATGAAGCCAGATCCTCCTTTTTTCAAAACGCAAAGGCAGACAGTGAACTATCTGCAAAGGAAGTTAAGAAAAAACAATTCCATTTACAATGACAGCAAAAATAAGATACTTGGAAATACGCTTAACCAAGGAGGCAAAAGTCCTGCATGATGAGAACTACAAAACATTGGTGAAATAATAGAAGGCATAAGGAAATGGAAAAGACATCCTGTGTTCATGGATTGGAAGACATAATATTGCCTAGGTCACTGCCTATCAAATGGAAAATTTTCTCCCTTTTATAATAAATAGCAGAGCCCCTAATGTATCTCAGGTAATCACCTTCATCACATGATTCAGGTAAATTCTGATTAGCTCAAATCAATCATGATGGTCTTATTCCCCTTGCCAGTGATGAATTTAGAAGTGAACATGTGACCCAGTTCTGGCCAATAAGATGCAAGGGAGTATTCTGGAAGGTTTTAAGAAAGGTTTCTTAGCTCTGAAAATGAGACATACAGGGAGAAATGGCCTTATTTCATTTCTGGACATTGGTTCATATCAGGATAAGATGCTGGAGTTGCTGCAGTCATTTTCCAACCAAAAGGAAGCCATAGGCTGACCAGAGAGAGGATGAATCTAAAGTCACTGACATAACCAACAGTGGATGCCTTTTGCCTCCAGATTTCCTGGTATGTGAGATAATACACCCCCTTATGGCTTAAATCATTTTATGTTGCATTTTATCTATATGTAGCTTAAAAGATCATAAATGATACAGACAGAAAAAAGTATAGGTCAAATAAAAGATGTTTGCAGTCAAATATGACCCAGAGGCAGGCAGTTTACCACCCTCAGTGTTTCCCTAGTTACTTGGATTAAACACTATTTCTCACAGAAGTTCTCCCTGCATTATTCAGATCAACTGAGAGCTCCCACCCTCCTTGTTTCTGTAGTTTAGGCCTCAGTAAAGGTACATCGGACTACAGTGATTTCCTCAAAGATTTACTTGGTAACTCTGATGAACAAGGTCGATTATGTCTGCAGTGCCAGGATGCCTGTTTCCGAAGATGCTGCTGCCAGCCCTGTGGCTGACTTTATTTAGCAACTGTTGTCCTTATCCCAATATTTTGTTATCTGAAATCTGCTTTGTCTGATATTAACATAGTCAAACCAGCTTTGTTTTTATTAGCATTAGTGTGGTATATCTTCTTCCATCCTGTTAGTTCAATCTGTATGCTTACATTTAAAGTTAAGTTCCTTATAGCCAGCATATAGTTGAGTCTTGCCTTTTTATATAATCTAACAATCTCTGCCTTTATTTGCAGTAGCCACTTTCTAGTTCACTGTTTCAGAAAAAAAAAAAAACAAGGCAATTTCCTCCTTTACTCTCTGCACCTGGGAATTTATTTTCTTAACAATTTAAAAAGTTATTCCTTACACAAATTTACATGGTGATGGCAAGGGGTTTGGAAATCTGGCAGTGCTTGGCAGGGCATTTGGGAGGTGGGATGCAGGAAATTAGAGATTATGAGAACTTTTGAGTAAGCTCTTGCAGAAGATTAGCTAGTATACATAGGACTTGAACATCAATAAGGACCTCTGAATAAGGTCCTTTGTATTGAAAGGAGAAATATAAATTGGTGACAGATTGGTTCTAGTCACCAAGATTTCTCTTTCCTGGTCTCTGGCTAAGTCTTAGTCACCCTTACCCACCCCCCCACCATATGCAAAGAATAAAACAATTTCAGAGCATCTAAGTTGGTCAGAACTTGGAGCAATTAGTTCCATCTTTTCTTTTATAGTGGAGGAAAAGCAAGTTAGAAAAGTGAAATAATATGCCCCAGGTCCTGCCCCTGGGTAGTGGTAGAGCTTGGACTAGAACTAAGTCCTTTCTGGATTTCCAGAATGATTGAAGAGCCTTATTGGTTTAATGTTAACCTTTGTATTGTAGTTTAAAAGATACAATTTCTACTCTTCCTTCTTGTTTTTGATTTGTGGCCCCATTCAGAATATGAGAAAAAAAAAAGACCCAACAAAATAAGGAAGATCAGGTAAGAACAGAATGAAACACATAGACAGCAACACATATCGATTCACAACACAACTGGGACACAGAGATAAGAGAACACAGTGAAAGAGAATGAGACGACGTAAGAGTCTCTGCGTTGGGGGGAGGGGAGAGGGCTATCTGGAGTGTAGCGTTGTTAGCCCCATCTTGTGGCTTTTTTGGATATTGCCTCTAAGGTTAATTTTTGAACCACTAACCAACCATAGCTGGAGACCCAACAACTTGTTGGGTGAATAGATCTAGGATAATTGCTTTCAAACTTTCTTGCACCTCAGAATCACCTAGCATGCAAGTGAAAATGAAGATTCCTGGGCCTCACTTTCCACAAGAGAGATGAGTAGATTAAAGTGGGCCCAGGAAACTGCTTTTAGAAAACTCCCCAGGTAATTGCAGGAGAACCATGAACCACATTTAAGAAACACTGAAGGCAATTAGAGTTAGTGGTATTCATCCCTTGTCATTGTGAGGAAAGGACTATGCTGAGGAAAAGTGTGGAAAGAAATTATTAAGAACTTTAAAGGTCTGAGATTTTACCCTACTTGCAAGCTAATGTGTGGGCCAAGGGAAAACGTCTCCTTTGCCCCTTGAAGTTTCACTGCAAATCACTGACAAAAAGGTTAAGAAGAGGAAAGGGATAGAAGTTTATTTATTTTTTTGAGACAGGGTCTGGCTCTGTCACCTGGGCTGGAGTGCACTGGCACAATCTCGACTCACTGCCACCTCCCGGATTCAAGCGATTCTCCCACCTCAGCCTCCAGAGTAGCTGGGACTGTTAATGGTGGAGGGTGTCCAGGTTATTGGCATCTTGAACAAAGAATTGGAAAAAACGCACAAACTAAGCAGGGAAGGCATGAAGGGTTTTATGGAAAATGAAAGTAAACTCCACAGTGTGGGAACCGGCCTGAGATAGGGGCTCAAAGGCCCCATTACAGAACTTTTGGGGGTTTAAATACCCTCTGGAGGACTCCATTGGTTACCTGGGGTACGCCCTATGTAAATGGAGAGGATGAAGTAAAGTTACAAAGTTATTTACTTGGCCTACGCCCTATGGGGAGGATATTTGCTGTCGCAGCTGAAGTGTGAATTGGCCTTATGTTCCCTGCCTCCAGACCCTATTTTCCTGCCTCAGGCTATAGGCGCACACCACCACACGCGCCCGTTGTATTTTTTGTAGAGACGGGGTTTTGCTATGTTGCCCAGGCTGGTTTTGAACTTGTGAGCTCAAGGCCTTCTTCGACCTCCCAAAGTGCTGGGGTTACAGGTGTGAGCCACCACTGGCACCTGGCCCGATCCGCCATGCCTGGCCTGATCATAGTTTTATGTGACATGGGAGCCTTCAGAATGAAGACCTAAAGATAGACTGGAAATGGCTCATTTTCATGCTTAGGTTCAGCAAAGTATGAGTAGCTGTGTAGAAATATGATTGAACAAAAGGGTATGAGCTAATGTTAATAAACTGAGTGGGGAACCTAGGCCTGTCTGTCTAGATTTTTCTTGGCCTCTACGAACATGCATTTCTTCCTTCCAGGTATGTTACAGGTAGTTAGACAGGCATGAGCAGGGCAGGAGAGGACTCTACCCTCCCCAATCCCCTCAAGCAAGAATGCCAGGTGATGGTTTCACAGTTATCACACTGCCTTTCTAAAATGGATAATTTGGCAGATGGGCCAGAGAGAGGGAGAGAGACAATTCCCTGATGGTCCACAGCTGTCACTAAAGTGTTACTTGATGTTAATTGATATTAAAGCAGGTGCCAGGCATAGGCAATTTCCCAAACAGATAAAAACACTTGAGATTGGTAATCAGCTTCCAATAAAATTTCAGAAATTGGGTGAGTGAGCTTGGGCATGCACATTAAGAGACAAAATAGTGGAGTATGACCTTCCGGGGGCATTCCACTGGAAAAGGGAAGAAAGCCTCAGATGGGCATGTGTACAAATTCCTAAGCACATGGTGCATGCTCACCTCCCAAGCATAGGGAGGGCACTGTGCATTCGGGCAGCTCACACTGAGGGAAGAATGAAGGGAGAGGGCAGCAAGACTCCAGAAGTGGGCCAGCATATGAAGTCCCAGGATCAGGGTTAAATGCCACACTTGTCCCTCAAGTTGCCCGCTTGGGTCTCTTCCAAGTGTACTTTCTTTTCTGTCCCAAACTTTTTAATAAACTTCCACTCTTGCTCTGAAACTTGCCTCAGTTGCTTTTTCTGCCTTATGCCCTGTATTAGTCCATTTTCACATTGCTATAAAGAACTGCCTTAGACTGACTGGGTAATTTATAAAGGAAAGAGGTTTAATTGACTCACAGTTCCGCATGGCTGGCGAGGCCTCAGAAAACTTACAATCACAGTGGAAGGTGAAGGTGAAGCAAGACACCTCCTTTGCAAGGCTGCAGGAAGGAGAATGAACACAGGAGGAATTACCAAACACTTATAAAACCATCAGATCTCGTGAGAACTCACTCACTATCAGGAGAACAGCATGGGGGGAAAACCACCCCTGTGATTCAATTACCTCCACCTGGTCTCTCCCTTGACACGTGGGAATTATGGGGATTACAATTCAAGATGAGATTTGGGGTGGGGACACAGCCAAACCATATCATGCCCCTCAGTCTAATTCTTTCTTCCAAGGAGGCAAGAATTGAGGTTGCTGCAGACCCATACAGATTCACTGCTGTTAACTCAGACACCTTCTACCCCTAACAGGTATGGGGTAGGACCCTCTCTGGAATCGGGCTCTTATGGCCTACAGTCAAACAAGGTAGGTCAGATAATTTCTTTATGGCCAGTTATTCCACAGAAAGGCAGAGAGAAAGAGTAATATTTTAAGGTTTCAAGACTGGCTTTAGGAAAAAGGGGTTCTGGTTTCTATGACCTGCCTTGGGGAAAAGGAATTCTAATTTCTATGGCTATCCTTGGGGGACTGAGAGATAGGAGGGCAGAGAAAAATTTCTGCTTTTGAGGCCATTTTGGGGTATTGTTTTCTGAGTTTCAACACTAACAAGTTTGCATGCCAAAATTTCATGAATACTGCTAAAAGATGAAACTCCTGGGTCAGAGACAAAGGATAATACTAACAGCAATAATAGTAGTCACAGTATTGTCATTGGGCCAGTTTCTGAGCCCTAATTCTTGCAAGACTATGTGATGAAGGCTACAGTAGGTTGCATTACAGGAGAGGGGCCCCAAGTTTAGGAAACTCACATCTCTTATAATTGGGAATAAGTCTGCCAGATCTTTGGAGAGACAAGAATTCTGTCTTCCAGGGCTATTCAATGCAGAAACATCCTTGAAAAGATAGTTGGAAAAAGGCAGTCAGTGCCTCTGCTCTCTCAAGACATGCAGGAACATGACACATGTGAATTGTCTCCCAATAGAAAAGGAATGAAAGTGCATCGTGTGAAAAGTATTCTGCATCTGGAGGCTGTAAAGTGATCAAACTGAAGCAGGAATGAAGATCTGAAGGAACCATCCAGGCCTACTGTACCTGGCAAGAATTGAGCATGAACTCTAGTTATCTCAGCTAAACTTTGCAGAAGTCCTCAATTTCACTGTTTTAATGGGCACTTGCCCATTAAAACAGTGGTTGTCATGAGCACTTTCCACATTTATTTCACTTTATCCTCACACTTCATGGAAACAGAGCTATTACAGCCATTGTACTCATGAGTAAATGGACTTTGAAACATGATGACCTGTTCACTTTTTCAACCACAGGACAAGAATCAGGTTTTCTCGGAGCTCTTCTGCCGCCACCCCTCTCTTGTTTCTCCTTACCGCGGCGGGCCAGAAGAAGACTGGCCAAAATAAGTAAACGACTAATGCAAGAGTGGCATAGGTCCTCAAAAAGGCGCTGCAAACTTAAGTGGTGATTGCACTCACGGTGCTTTAAGACCCAGCCACTACTTCGGAAGCAGGAAGTTGGCATCTCTGGTTTCTCCCATCCGCGGGCCTGAGGTTCCCGGGGATTGGTTAAGGTAGAGGCTCCTTTTCCCATTTGCAGCCGGAAGTAGGTTTCCAGTAACACGGAAGCCCTACTACGCCGCCTGGGAGACCCTTCCGTGCTACCCCGGCCAGGGACCCGCCCGGACCTGAGGAGGCGGGAACTGCGGGCAGAAGGCCCACCCCGCTCTCCCAAGATTTCCCGCGCACACCGGAAGTGGGTGGGGCTCCTCCGAGCGCCCCCTCCCTCCCCCTCGCCATCCCCCCCGCACGATTGGCCAGCGCCGCTGTCTCTCAGCGTTCCAGGGGAAGGGACTGGGCGATTCCCAGCACTCGGGTCGCGGGCGTTGGCAGCCGGGCGGGTGGGAGGGGCCGGAGCAAAAGTTCCGGGCGCCCGAGCCGGCTGCTCGTGCCATGGAGCGGAGTCCCGACGTGTCCCCCGGGCCTTCCCGCTCCTTCAAGGAGGAGTTGCTCTGCGCCGTCTGCTACGACCCCTTCCGCGACGCAGTCACTCTGCGCTGCGGCCACAACTTCTGCCGCGGGTGCGTGAGCCGCTGCTGGGAGGTGCAGGTGTCGCCCACCTGCCCAGTGTGCAAAGACCGCGCGTCACCCGCCGACCTGCGCACCAACCACACCCTCAACAACCTGGTGGAGAAGCTGCTGCGCGAGGAGGCCGAGGGCGCGCGCTGGACCAGCTACCGCTTCTCGCGTGTCTGCCGCCTGCACCGCGGACAGCTCAGCCTCTTCTGCCTCGAGGACAAGGAGCTGCTGTGCTGCTCCTGCCAGGCCGACCCCCGACACCAGGGGCACCGCGTGCAGCCGGTGAAGGACACTGCCCACGACTTTCGGGTAAGAGCAGCGATTTGCACGAGGCGGCCGAGCCGGGTCTGGAACCCGGAATCCCTTGGCTCTGCGGCTCCCGCCCCTCCTGCCTGCCAGAGCCCAGTGTGCCCGCGTCTCGCTCCCAGCATGCAGGACCCCACCTCTCCGACCCAGGTTCTCAGGGCTGGCTGCTTCTTCAAGGTCGGCCCAGGGGCCCGTGCTGGGAGAAGAGAATGCGAACGGAAAGTGACAGATGAGGTTACATGATGTTCCCAAGACAGCGACACTTGCTTCTGAAGGGCCCAGGCCATGCACCCCTTGTGCCAGCCGGGTGTGGCCCAGGTCCCTTTAAGCGGCACGGATGTGGGTGCAGCCCACGAGCCCTGTAGCTTGGCACACTCAATTTAGAAGTGGAGGAGGAGCCACAGACCTGGCCAGGGGTGTGGAGTCTTAAGATTTCCCCCAAACCAGTCACCTACTTGCCAAGCTGATCCCGCGGTTTGTATTATCTGAGTGAGAGGTCTCTGACCCTGGCTGGCTGGCCTATTCTGGTTTATAAAGCAGCATCTCCATATCTAGAGTTCTAGTGACTATACATAAACCCAGGAGCAACTTACAGGGCAAAACTAACATGGAGAATTCTTTGATATAGGAAGGAAAAATGAATAGAAGATAAGGGTTAGCCTAACTCAGCATTTTCCAAAACGTTTAATCTTAGCCCATAGGAAGCAATGCATTTTCCCTTGTGACCCAGAACATATGTATCAGTTGAAACAAAAGTTTTCTGAACATGTCCATGGCACTCTGATATTTTCTGTTACTTCCCTTTGTTTTTTTTTTTTTTTGAGACCTCTATCGCCCAGGTTAGAGTGCAGTGGCGTGCTCTTAGCTCACTGCAACCTCCGCCTCCTGGGTTCAAGCGATTCTGGTGCCTCAGCCTCCCGAGTAGCTGAGATTACAGGCATGTACCAACACGCCTGGCTAATTTTTTTTTTTTTTTAATTTCTAGTAGAGGCAGGGTTTCACCATGTTGGCCAGGCTGGTCTGGAACTCCTGGCCTCAAGTGATCTGCCCTCCTCTGCCTCCCAAACTACTGGGATTACAGGCGTGAGCCACTCCGCCTGGCCTCTGTTACTTTTAAAAATTACCCAGAATGTGAAACATTGAATTTATTTCATCACCTGCTAATGCATGAGTCAGAGCCCCAATTGGGAGAACACTGGGTAGCTGGCCCGAAGCTGCATGGACTGGAGAGGAGGAGCTGCCCGAGTCCCCTGTGCCTGGTTTCTGGCCCCCTCTGTGGCCCTGCCTTCTTTTTTTGCAATACCTTTTTAAATACGGAAGTCTGTTCCGCTCCAAATGCATTTGACAAAGTTTAATTGAAGGGGAATGTAAGGATGCTGTCAGTACGCATGTCTCAATGAGTAACCCTGTTACTCCTGTCATCTTTTTTGTTTAACATGGGTCCATGTCAATGCTTTTCCTGTTTCCACTGGCAGAAGTGACAGATCCTGATTTGGGACAGCTGGAATAAGTGCTGGCCAGCCAGGGGTCTGGGGCCCAGGTAAAGGAGGGATCATGGTTCAGGTCATGACTGATGCCTATTTGGCTGGCCGAGGTGCTGATCAGGAGATGCTGGGGTCAGGGCTGAGAACACCCAGGCAGAGCCCCCAGGCTGGGGCCAAGCCAGGATTCAAGAGCAGAGAGCCATGCACCAGCAGATGCCTGGTACTGCAAGGTCCCAGGGATACTGCAGGAGACAAGATAGACCATTTCCAGCCTCAAGGAGCTTCCAGCAGAGACCCGAGGGAAGAGGAGGTGTTAGCCAGGTGAAAGAGGGTATTTCAGATAGAGGCAGCAGCATTTGGAAGGGTCCAGAAGTGGGAAAGCCTGACTTTCTAGGCACTGAGGGAATTTAAGGGTAGTTAGAATGAGGAGGGACGTGCAGGAGGATCCAGGAGGCCGGTGGCTCACCCTTGCTGTGAACAGCAGCTGGGGGTTTTAGCAGAAGAATGATGGTGTCAAGTCAGTGGACACTCAGGATGATGTCAGGGGCTGAGTAGTCTAGTCCCAAATGGATCTGAGAAGAATGAGAGCCAGGTGTGGTCAGCCTGATGCAGGGTGCAAATCACTCATTTACTAGACAAATGGGTACTGATGGCTGTTGTGTGCTGTGGCCTCTTCTTAGCTTCATGGAATTCTCATTTGAGCAGGGGGCATAGACAGTCAATAGACAAGATGTAGTTCTGTGTGATTCAAGGTAGGTGGTTGTGGGGGAGCGGTATGGGAAGATTCCCTCCACCACTTGGTAAGAAGGGACTGGGTAAGAAGCTGTGTGCCTCACTGAGGGGGTTTTCCGTTTTGTGCTGTGGGGAGCTCTGAAAGATTCTAAACAGGGGAGTTTGTGATGGGATGTGTGTTTTAGAGAAAGATTACTTTGCCAACTATCTATGTGAGGAACAGCAAAGTCAAAATCATCCCAGCTAACACATTTCAGTGCTCACTGTGTGCTAGATGCTTTTCAGTGTTCACACGTCAACAAATTTAATGCTCACAAAAACGTATTTTCAGGTCCTGTGTTTCCTGTTACTGCGTAATAAATGTGGTGGTTTAAAATAGCACAAGTTTGTTCTCTTATGGTTCTGGAGGTTGGAAGTCCTAAAATCGAGGTGTCTGCAGGGCTACATTCCTTTTGGAGGCTCCAGGGAGAATTTATTTCCTTGCCTTCTCCAGCTTGCAGAGGCCCCTTCTTCCAGCTCTGAAGTGTGTCATTCCGTTCTGCATCTGTTGTCACTTTGACTTCTTTGACCAGTTCTACTACCTCCCTCTCATAAGGACCCTGTGATGACATTGGGCCCACCCAGGTAATCCAGGATAACCTCCCCACAGCAAGATCCTTAATTTAATCATCTGCACAGTCCCTTTTGCCATACAAGATTCTGGGGATTAGAATGGGGACATCTTTTCGGGGAAATAATTATTCAGCTTGCTACAGTTAGGTGCTATTATCCCCATTTTATAGACAATTATAGAATCATAGAGAGGGTAAGAAACTTGTCCAAAGTCACAGAGCAAGTAGCTCTAAAGATCACCTGGAGCCTTGTTCAGTTCACACACTGGTCCTGGACTTTGAGAGAGGTTTCTCTCATCTCAGACTTCAGCGGGCAGCTGACTGTGTGTTAGGGGTTGGAGTGGCTGTTGACCATTGTCAGGGCTGGCAGAAGGTACTGGTTGTGTGCCAGTACTGTGTCCAGGACAGGACCGGACAGTCCTAGACCTTGCCTTTGTGGGCATGGTTGTATCATCTCACTAATAATTACATAGTTTCAGCTCAACATTCCTGTGAAGGACAGTACAGGATGTGGTGGGAGATTGTAAGGGGGAGGCTGCTCTTGTTTGGTGGGGTGTGGGAAGGAGTCTCCAAGGAAGTGATTTCGCTGAGAGGAGCTGATTGAGGGGCGGCGAGCAGTGTGTGTGTGTGGCGGGGGTGTGGCGGCGGGGCACAGCGTGGGGGTGTGCAGTGACTGAGAGATGGTTCACGTGGGGATGAGGAACTGCAGGACAGATCCCACAGGACACAGAGGGCCCTGCTTAGGAGCTGGGATTTTTATCGTAGGTGCAGTGGCGCATGATGGAAGGACTGATGAGATTTGGGAGCCTGGCATCATGTTTACAGCAGAGCTGTAGCAAGGAACAGTGCTTGGAAGGACCTTCAGAAATCCTAGTCTGGCGTTTCTCAAACTTGAACAAGTATGCATTCTTCTTAAAGGAAAAAATAGTCTAGCCAGTGAGAGTTAAATTATGTTATTATTTACATGCATACAAATGCAAACCTGGTATAAATAGCACTTGCTCATGCTACATATAAGCAATAAAACAAAAGGAAGTGAACAGACTGAATACAAAACTATAATCAATAACATTCCACTTAAAATATTAATTCTAAAGTTTTATTTTGCTGGAACAAAATCTCTACTCCTGGCCAAGATACTTCTGATTCTCCCATTACTCTGTTCCAAGTGACTACTTAATCCGCCCAAATTTCTCTGAAGAGCTCTGGAGCTTTCTTGTTACGGGATTGGCCTTCATTTGGGTCCGGCACATTCTTTACCTGCTATGTGTATTTCTCTTCTTTCCTTATCAGGACAAGACGATGAAAGTCATGTCTTGATATCAAGTAAGCTGTTAAGAAAATATGAATGGTGGCCGGGTGTGGTGGCTCATGCCTGTAATCCCAGCACTTTGGGAGGCCGAGGCAGGCAGATCACGAGGTCAGGAGTTCGAGACCAGCCTGGCCAGTATGGTGAAACCCCATCTCTACTAAAAATGCAAAAATTAACCAGGCATGGTGGCAGGTACCTGTAGTCCCAGCTACTTGGGAGGCTGAGGCAGGAGAATCGCTTAAACCCGGGAGATGGAGGTTGCAGTGAGCCGAGATCGTGCCACTGCCCTCCAGCCTGTACGACAGAGCAAGACACTGTCTCAAAAAAAAAAAAAAGAAAGAAAAAAAGAAAATACGAATGCTGATGATGAAGTTGTGAACTGAAAGCATGTGTCAGCGCTGTTTATGTCGTGGCTTGGAGTAGGATTGTCTTAGGTTTGGTTTAGGTTGCCATTAAATGAAAACATCCTCAGACACAGACCGTGCGTCATTCTATTGTGATGGAATGGTTACATCTTGTGAGGAGGTGGTTACATCTAAGTAATGAGAAGTGGATCAAGGCCAGTGTGTTTCATGCCTGTAATCCCAGTGCTTGGGGAGGCTGAGGCAGGAGGATTGCTTGAGGCCAGTAGTTCAAGATCCTGCACCAAAGAAGAAAAAAATTAGCCGGGTGTGGTGGCACATACCTGTAGTCCCAGCTACTCGAGGGGCTGAGATGGGAGGATTGCTTGAGGCCAGGCATTCGAGGGTGCAGTGAGCTATGACTGGGCCACTGCATCCAGCCTGGGCAACAGTGTGAGACCCTGTATCTTACATAAATAAATAAATAAAGTTCTAGGATCAGAACTCAGGTTTCCTGCCTCCCAGTCCAGCACTCTCCAGCTTGCATCTTCTACAGCAGCCCTGTGCTGAGCTGCCTTGTGCAGACCCTTGTCTTATCCATCTTGCAGGACTGGCATGATGACCATTCTTTGCCACCAGCCTCTCCCTGTCCCAGCTCCAGCCCTCTCTCCCCTTCTGGCGTCAACATCTTAGAGTCCATCTGGCTGGATCTAACCCAAGGGTACTCTCGATACCTCTTAAGCCACATTCCAGGTCTTCCCCCTTCCAATGCTTTTCCCCATTTCCTAACCACTCACCCCCATCCTGATCCCCAGCTTCTAGGTGAGGACTTACCAGCTCTTTGGTTGCACCAGAGGACATTGTTGCTTGCTTGCTTGTCCAGGCCTGTGCCCAGTGGTATTGGGAGTGGGGGGTGTCTCACTAGACCCTGCACACTGAGGCTCCTGAGTGATGGCCTCCAGCAGTGGGCTGCATGGCAGACACTTGCTTTGGAAGGAGGTCTGAACACAAAGGGGAAAGACAGATCTGGGAGACTGATTTGGAGTTGCATAAGAAAGCTCCATGCATTTTTACTGTTCATTTAAGAAACCTGGACCATATCCAGCAGGACAGTTAGGTTACCTGGCATGTAGGTGGCACTTAAGAGCTATGCCGAATGCACAGCATGTGCCTGCCACTCTCATGTAAGCATCTTATAGGGATTGATTTGTGGAGTCCTCACAGCAGTCCTTTGAGCTTGGTAGTATTTTTTATCCCTCTTATCCAGATGAGGAAATGGAGGTGCAGAGAAGTGAAGGAACATGTTCAAGATCACCTGCTACTAGGTAGAGGTGCTGGGATTTGAACCTGGTCGGCCAGGTGCCAGAACTCTTGGCTGCTACATCAATCTGCCTGAAAACAAATCGTGAAATTTGGGAGACTGTAGAGACTTCTCTGCTTTCATTTTTAAGGTGAGGAGCCTGATAGCCGAAGAGAGAAGGAACTTTTTACCAACTCACCAGTGGATAGTGACAAAGACAAGGCTCCAAACCAGCTCTCCTAACCTTCAGTCCAGGAGGCAAGGTATATAGCAGAAAAAACACAGGCATTCCATGTACTCATTGACTGGGCAGGTGGTTAACTGAACATCTACTTTGTGCAGGGACTTGGACATGCAGGGGACAAAACAAAGTCTCTCACCTTGCAGAGCAAGCATTCCTTCTGCAGAAGTGTACCGAGCACCACTATGCAAGGTAGAGAGGACCTGGAGGTTAAGACCTGCCCTCAGGAAAGAGAAGCTATTACCCTGGATAGTGAGTGCTGAGACAGAGGTGGCCAGGGTGCTGTGATGCCCTGGAATGGAACCTGAGCTGGCAAGATCGGGGGGCTTCCTGGAGGAAATGAGGGGTACTAGAGCCGAGTTTTCAAGGTGATGTTGGGTTAGTTGGGGGAAGCAGGTGGGAACCAGGCAGAGCAACAGTGTGTATCAAGTCTCACAAGACAGAAAACCTGGCTCAGGCCAGACAGAGCTGGTTTCACATGCAACTCTAGCACTTTGGTAAGTCCTTGCAAAGAGGCTATGAAGACCTTGTGCAATGAAATTCATTCTTTCCCTTGCCCCTACCTTCCTGCTTCCAGCTATACCACAGAGCACCTGTCCTGTTAATGAAAATTGTGGGTAACGTGATTTTGTAAAGTGCTTAAGATCTTCAATATGCAATTGAAATTTGTTGCTTAAGGAATCAACTTGTCATTTTTGGGAAATCATGTAGTCTATATGATCACATTCTGGATCCTTTAGTATGAATAAAAACCTATTTTGTGTGTGTTTATAACTAATCTTTAACGTAGGCTGGACGCGGTGGCTCATGCCTGTAATCCCAGCATTTTGGGATGCCGAGGCGGGCGGATCACCTGAGATCAGGAGTTCAAGACCAGCCTGGCCAACATGGTGAAACCCTGTCTCTACTAAAAATACAAAAATTAGTTGGGCATGGCGGCAGGCACTTGTAATCCTAGCTACTTGGGAGGCTGAGGCAAGAGAATTGCTTGAATCTGGGAGACAGAGGTTGCAGTGAGCCGAGATTGCGCCACTGCACTCTAGCCTGGACAAGAAGAATGAGACTCTATCTCAAAAAAGTAAAAAATATAAAATAAATAAATAAAAAATCTTAATGTTATAATGTGATGCTAACATCGAAGCTTGTTTGCTCTCCTGAGCTTGGGCTGGGGGATGCTCCAGATCTGTTGTGGGCCCCTGCTACTGCCCATCTCTGCTCATTCATGTGCTCCTTGGGCTACAGGCAGGCCCCTTGAGTGGTAGTTCTATTTGTAATCTAAGCATATTTAGGGTTAAAATTAATACCAAAAGCAAACAAAATAATATTGTTTAGATGCATTCAAATTCACACTTCTTACATGTCATATTTCCTAGGTGAACCACTAGATGCACAGAAGGGGAAAATGGAATAAAAAATGTGTAGTAAATTTTAAAAAAGGAAAGGAAGAAAAAGAAAAATAGAATAAGCAAGACAAATAGCTCAGAACAAGGTGGCAGATTTAAATGCAAACATATCGGTAATTATGTGTTAAATACTCCAGTTAAATGAAAATGTTGATCTGACTGGATAAGAAAACGAAACCTAATTCTGTGTTGCTTAATATAATTATCTCAGTGAGAAAACATTTGATAAAATTTACCATCTTTTTGTGTTTAAAAAAACAGGAAACTAGAAATGGAAGGAATTTCATTAGTTTGATTAAGTATATCTAGCAAAAAAACTTACAGCAAATATCACATTTAATGGCAAAACATTGAAAGCTTTCTTATTGAGATCAAGAAAAAGACAGGAATGCGCATTATGACCAACTCTATTCAGTTTTGTGTGGGATAGCCTTGTCAATGAAGTAAGCCAATAATTATAAATAAAAGATGTAAGGTTTGGAAAGAAGGGAAGCAAAACTGGCATGTGTAGATAATATGGTTGCATATTTTTGCACTGAGATTTCTATGTGTAGAAAATAAAGATTCTACAGTTAAATCATAAGTATTAATAAGTTTAGGTGAATGCTGAATCCAAAATCAAGATGCAAAACCAGTTGTATTTCTATGTATCACTAGCAAATAGAAAATAAAATATAGGCAGGGAGTTTTACACCTGTAATCCCAGCACTTTGGGAGGCTGAGGCAGGAGGATCGTTTGAGCCAAGGAGTTTCAGACCAGCTTGCACAACATAGTCCAGCCTGTCTCTACAAAAAGTTAAAACAAATTAGCCAGGTGTGGTGGTGCATGCTTGTAGTCCCAGCTACTTGGGAGGCTGAGGTGGTGGGAGGATCACTTGAGCACAGGAGGCTGCAGTGAGCTATGATTGTGCTACTACTGCACTGCAGCCTGGGTGACAGAGGGGGACCCTGTTTTGGGTTTTTTTAATTTAAAAATATGTTTACAATAATATAAAAAATAAGATAACTAGGAAGAAATTAATAAAAGATACGCAAAACTCTGATAGGGAAAAATATACTTCGTTGAGAGCTATCAAAGAACATTAAGTAACTGGTGTGATATATTATGTTCGTGGATTAGTAAAGTCAGTATTTAAGCCTTTCAGTTTTCCCCAAATTGATCTATAGAGACAATATTGTACTAATCTAAATCTCAACATGATTATTTTTATGCAACTTCACAGATTCTAAAATTTATATGACCCTCAAAGGGCCAAAAATTGCCAAGACATTCTTGAAGAGAAACCTATCAGAAATCCTCTCTTTTTTACAGCTATAGAAATTATGGCTGTGTGATGTTGGCACAAGGATAAACAGATGGGCCAGAGAAACAGATGGAGAGAACCAAAAAACAGATCTGTGTCTGATTTAAGACAGAGGTGGCTCTGCAGACCAGTGGGCAGTAATGGTCTTTTTAAATAATGGTGCTGAGACAATGAGCTACCTGGTCACACCATGTGCAAAAATAAACTCCAGGTATCCACATCAGACCTAAATGTGAAAGGAAAGCTATAAAGCTTTGAGAAAATACTACAGAGCTATACAATAATAATGCAAAGCTATAAAGCTTTGAGGAAATAATACGATTGTTTTTGTGATCTCAGTGTAGGGAGGTGTTTCTTAAAACTAGTATACTAATCCTAAAGGAAAAGACTAATAAATTTGGCCATATTTCAATTAAGAAAGATAAATGATGAAGTAGAAAATATTCATTACACCTCTAACTAATCAAGGACATACATTGTGTATATATAATAAATTCCCACAAACCAGTTAGGAAAATGGCAGGCAACGCAATGGAAAAATGGACAATACTTTACTGAGTACTTAAAAATAAACATTGAAGTGGTCAATAAACATTTTCTATTAACATTGCTCTTGCTGTAAAAATTGGTACCACTGCTTTGGAAAACAATTTGGCATTACGCAGTAAAGTGAAGACACATATGGTGGCCCAGCAGTTTTATCCCCAGGAATATATTATGAAGAAACGAGTTCCCATGTGTCCCCAGGAGACATGTACAAGAAGGTTACCTCCTCTGGGTCTAACTTGATCCTCTGTATAATGGGACTCACAGTGCTTAACCTTATAGGGAGAATTCGAATTAAATAATTGAATTAAATAGAATGTTTGTAAAGTGCATAATTTAGTGCCTTGTGTCTAGTACATGCTTAATAGTAACTGCTTGCTAGCAATAGTAATATAATTGTTGGTTAGTCTCATCAGCTGACATCTCAGAGAAGGGCCATTTTAGGATTGGTCTTTTCTGAAGGAAACCAGAACTCTCCAAGTGATTGAAAAGTTTGAGAAGATCAAGGGACTATCCCCTTCCCATCCTTATTGTCCCATAAATTCCTAAGGGCCAGGGTTGAAGGGCAGGGGCTGAACTGTGTTGTTTTGGGGCCTGCACACCTTTGGGTAATGCGTATGGACAGCTGCTTCACTCCTGTCACTTAACTAATTTGGCAAATCACTAAATTTTCCTTTTGAACTGTATTACATGATTTTGTATCAAAAATCTCATTCTATAAAATAAAACATTGGAATGACATTTCAGTGGTTTTGTGGGGGCACTCATGCAAATTAGAGATGATATACTACAGAAAACAAAGTTTAAAAATCTTAAATATTGTCACTTAAGATTAAAAGATCAAAATGAGTTGAAAATAAAACAGAACTGCAGAAAATGAAATCAGTAACCATTTTGTTTTCTGTAGTGAAAGACTTAAAGGAATGGGCTACTGAGTGGGACAAATGGGCTAGTTCTCTATTTCCTAGCAAATTGCCCCAAAACTTAGTGCCTTAAAACAAACATTAATTATCTTTGAGTTTCTTTGGGTCAGGAATTGGGCCTGCCTTAGCTCTGGGTGCCTCTGCCTCAAGGTGTCTCATGAGGGGCTGCAGTCAGGGTTCTGTGGGCTAGTTCTAACCAATGGGCTAGTTCTCTATTTCCTAGCAAATTGCCCAAAACTTAGTGCCTTAAAACAAACATTTATTATCTTTGAGTTTCTGTGGGTCAGGAATTGGGCCTGCCTTAGCTCTGGGTGCCTCTGCCTCAAGGTCTGTCATGAGGGGCTGTAGGTATGGAGCTGTGGTCTCATCTGAAGGCTCAGCTAGGGCAGGATCCTTATTTACACTCACATTTGTAGTTGTTGGCAGGATTCAGGTCTTCACGGGCTGTTAGCCTGAGAGCCTGAGTCCCTCACTGGCTGTAGGTCAGAAGCCACTCTCAGTTTCTTGCCCCAGCAGTCACTCCCAGGGCAAATTACCACATGGGCAGCTGGCTACCATCCCAGTGAGCAAGCTAGAGAGAGGAAGGCAGGGTGTACACAGCCTTTGTCGCCTAACCTCAGAGGTGACTTAGTATCACTTGCCACATTCTTTTGGTTAGAAACAAGTCACCCACAGAGGAGGGGATTTCACAAGAGCATGAGTATCAGGAGGTGAGGGTCACTGGGGCCACTTTAGAGGCTGCCTGCCTGAATCTGTCCTTTGCCCCATAAGGAGTCATGTCCCTCCCACATGCAAAATGCACTGGCCCTCTCCCAAGCTCTCCAAACATCTCATCCCTTTACAGCATCAGCCCAAAGTCCAGATTTGTCATCTAAATCAGGTCCAGATGGGAATGAGGCTTTGGGCGACACATCTGTATAATTTATTGCTGCATATCCAGTCACCCCGACATTTAGCAGCTTAAAACACTCTCATCTCACAGGAGGGAGGGATCACTGGGTGCTGTCTCAGCAGCTGCCTCCATAGCTGTCCAGGTTCACGTCCTTCCACATACTAGCTGTGTGCCCTTGGGCTGGTCATTTCCCTTCTGTGCCTCACTTTCTCATCTATAAATGGGGCCAATAATATTACTTATCTACTAGGGAGAAGTAATGATTAAATGACATAATTTCTCAAGTAATTGGTGTTGTCCCTGGCACAGAGTAAGTACTGAATAAATGATAACCATTTATAATTATTTGAATTATTTTTCTTAAGAAAAAACTTGAGAAGCTTTCTGAGAATGTAGATCGAAAAGGATAATGAGGGAGAAAAAATGATAGGCCTAAGATACAAGAGGCAGGAATCCAACCTAAAACACTCTAGTGGTTCTTCAAGTTGTCCAAGGACATCAGAAACAATCATTAAAGTTTAAGAAACAAAAACTACTAAACCAAAAGTATTTGTGCCTGCTGATTAAAGTATTCCGTGCGATACAAGCAGTGTTAGAATGTCAGGATGCAGGAGGGGTATGGAGGGGCATGTTGGGCATGTTGAGGTGAGGCCTCATGGGAGGTAACTGAACCCCGTGGGAAATGACTGGCTCCACCCCCATTGTCAGTCACCTCACATTAGAGATTGCAGACCCATTCAGTTTAGGAAACTGCAGAGGGAACCTATGACCACACTGTCTGCAGTTGTCCACACAGCTCAGGGATTCAGACCCAGCATGAACCAGCTTTTGGCCCACATGGGACACTCTTCTGGCCTGTGCTGTGACCAACATGAGAGAGAGCAGCTTGCTTCTTCTCAGCCCCATCTCCCAGTCTGTACCAGGCTGGGCTACAGGATGTCTGAGGGCTCTTTATCCCATGGATGTCTGATTCAGGATCAGGACCTTACTTACCATTTGTGCCCAGAGCACTTGGCATGGATGGGGTTAGGCAAATGCAGTTGAGTTACACTTGTGTTGAAGTGGAGTCCCAGTTGTAAATGTGATGTGTCTGCCCTCTCTGCCCAGCCTCCAGCCCTAACCTGTCTTCCTCCCTCTCTCTCATTCCCATGTCAGGCCAAGTGCAGGAACATGGAGCATGCACTGCGGGAGAAGGCCAAGGCCTTCTGGGCCATGCGGCGCTCCTATGAGGCCATCGCCAAGCACAATCAGGTGAGCGAACGATGGGGCCAAGTGGGAAGATTGGGTCCACTCAGGGCAGTCTGGGGAGGAGTGAAGATGTGTCAGCCGTGGCTTTGGCTCACATAACCCGCTGGGTAGAGGTCGGCTGCCTTACCTCTGATGGTCCTGTGCAGCCACGTCCTGGATGCTGACTGTGGCTTCTCTGCCTTGGCCCCTCTAAAGACCCAGGCGTGGTCATGCCAGCAGCCACAGGAGTGACTTAAAAAGCTACCAACACCATCTGCACTATGGCACATGCATCATATCACTGCCACCTGTGTGTTCAATGATGACCTGGGACTCATGTACTTTCTTGTTTTCTTTCAGTTCCCACATCCACTCCATCAGCAATCCTATTCCCCTATCTCCAAAGTATGTTATTTCTGTAAAACCCTCCACCTTTTGGTCCAGGTCATCATCATCTCTCACTGGGCCTCCTGCCTAGGGCCTCATGCTTTCATTCTTGTGCATTCTCCTTTCCATGGACTGGGGTGATCGTTTAGAAAAAAACACCAGCCGTGCCCCTCCTCTGCTTAAAACTGCCAGTGGCTTCCAGTCACCCTCAGTACCACCCAGATTCCTTACCATGGCCTCCAAGGCCATCTCCTGACCCTGCCTATCCTCAACCTCATTTACTTCTCTGCCTCACCTTCTTTCTGTCCCTTAAGCAAACTAAGTCTTCTCCCCAGAACACATGCCCAGCATCTTTGCCATTAAAATCTCAGCTCAGATGTTCTCTTAAAGAAGCTTTTCCTGATCATCCTCCTCTTTTACTCGATGGCATAATTTCCTGGTTTATTTTCTTAATGACACTTCATTACCTGTAATTACCTTTTGTTTTCTATTTGCTTTTTATCCCTTCCTGTCAAAATATAATGAAAACAGGGCACACTATTGCCAGTTATCTAGAGGAGTTCTTGGCACACAATAGGTGACCAATAAAAATTGTTGATTGAATGAGTGAAGTGGGTAGGTGACCAATAACTGTTAATCAAATGAATGAGTGGGCTCCCTCTGTCCCCATTCTGGTTGTTCTGCCTGGCACCCTCTCTTCCTCCAGGTCCTGTGTGGATTGGCAACCTTGTTTCTGACTGTTGATCTTGGCTCTGGTCTTTGGCTTTCTGAAGTGGTTGCTTCTAGTAATTACCACTCTGTTAGACTCATCTTAGCCACAGCTGAGCCATGCCTGGTCCAGGTTGCTGGGCGCTGTCCTCAGGAGCCTGCGGTCCCCTCCACCATGTGTCCATAGGTGAGGATTAGTCCCAGGAAAGAGCCTCATTAACATTTGGCTGTGGAGTTTACCCTGAGCCACAGAGCTGGTGGAACAGTGTGGAAGAAAGGATTATGTGACACACTGGGTGCCAGGGCAGTAACCGCAAAGCAGACCTATTTCCAAATCTAAGCCCAGTTCCCCAGCAAATCCCTCAACCCCCTCCAAGCTAATCCCCTCCTCTGTAAAAAGAGGGCAATTCCCTTTTACTAGGGTTTTTAAAAAAAAATTTAGATAAGATAATGCATACAAGTGCCCAACAGAGACAAGTCCTTAACATTTCTGATGTCTAATAGACCAACAAACTGGTGGGAGAGAGTTTTCACTTTGTTCAGTAGATTATTTTGTCATCCGATGTCAGAGCCATAAATACATGTTGAAATTCCAACTCCAAATAGCGATTACGAACCTGCTGTTGCTGGAGTTTGTTGAGTTGTTTTTCCAGTAGTCATCGTGGAGTCATGTAGCTTTATCATTGTTCTCTTACTTGGTTTCCTTCTGTGGCTAAAGCCATATGACTGGCTTGCCTTGTACAGGACTGGGTTGGGGATACTTAGGGAGTATCTGTCTGTCTGTGTGGTGGCACTGCCTGCCCATCCCAGGGAGTGTAGGAGTCCTGAGCTTTTTGCTGAGGCTAAGGGTAATGAGGTCACATGGGAAGCCCCTAGAATTCCAGCCTGATTAGTACTTTTTCTATTAAATTCAGTTATCAGGTCGATGAGGAAAGTGAAAGTTCTGGTGTTTGTTCCTTTACAGTGAGGCCGTCATTGCCCACGGTGAGTGGGCAGGAGTTGACCTTGCACTTGCTGGTTTTTCCTGCCATGCTGTGTTCTTGATGTTTTTGTGTGATAAGAATTACTGGGGAGAGGGAGAGCATCAGGATAAATAGCTAATGCATGCGGGGCTTAATGCCTAGGTGATGGGTTGACAGGTGCAGCAGACCACCATGGCGCACATTTACCTATGTAACAAACCTGCATGTCCTGCACATGTATCCTGGAACTTAAATGTAAAAAAAAAAAAAAAAAAAGAGAATCACCCTGGATTCTACTCTCTCCAATGCAGACATTATCAGTCTTTTCAGCCTGATAGGTTAACCATGCTGTTTGTCCTCATTTGCATTTCTTTGATTATTGGTAAGTTTGTACATCTTTTCACAAGCATAATAGTCATTTATGCTTCTTCTGTGAATGCTAATTCACATTCTTTTTTTCCCTTGGAATATTTGTCTTTTCTCTTAGTGGATTTGTAAGAGTGCTTTGTACATTAATAATAATAGCCATTTGTCATAAATGTTGCAAATATATTTCCTAGTTTGTCATTTCTTTTTGAGTGGATCATTCTCAATTTTTTTGGCCATTTTCATTTTTTCAGTGAATCCTTTTCGTATATTTTCAGAGCTGTAAACATACACACAGTCCCTGGCTTATGATTTTTTGACTTTACTGTGGTACGAAAGCAATATGCATTCAGTAGAAACTGTACTTTGAGTACCCATACAACCATTCTGTTTTTCCCCTTCAGTACAGTATTCAATAAATTACATGAGACACTCAGTGCTTTATTATGACATAGGCTTTGTGTTGGATGATTCTGCCCAAGTGTAGGCTAATGTGAGTGTCCTGGGCACGTTTAAGGTAGGCTAGGCTAACCTATGATGTTTTTAGTAGGTTAGGTGTATTCATTGCTTTGACTTAACTATTTTTCAACTTATGATGGGTTTATTGGGATGTAACCCCATCATAACTTGAGGAGCATCTGTATTTAACTTTCAGTCCAAAGATGAGTTTACTAACCTGCCATTGCCACAGCACACATTTTGAATGGTTTTTCCAACAGTTGTCATGGAATTGTATTTTTGTCTTTAACTTTATGATAGTCTCTTGCCATACACACCTCTTATTTTTCTGTGTATTCAGTTATCTCATTCTTTCTTCAAGGCTTCTCAGTTTCATACTGTGCCGAGGAATGTCTTTCTTATTCCAAGCTGAGAAATATTTATTTGCTTTTTCTTTCATTACATTTATGGTTTTATCTTCCCTTTTAAAAAACTTTTTGTGAGGCTGGGCACAGTGGCTCACGCTTGTAATCCCAGCACTTTGGGAGGCCGAGGCGGGCAGATCACCTTAAGTCAGGAGTTTGAGACCAGCCTGACCAACGTGGCAAAACCCCATCTCTACTAAAAAATACAAAAATTAGCTGGGCGTGGTGGCGTGTGCCTGTAGTCCCAGCTACTCGGGAGGCTGAGGCAGGGAAAATTGCTTGAACCCAGGAGGCAGAGGTTGCAGTGAGCCAAGATCACACCACTGCACTCCAGCCTAGGTGAAAGAGCGAGACTTAGTCTCAAAAAGAAAAAAAAAAACAAACTTTTTGTGGTTGTGATTTGGAGTGTGTATATTATTTTAATGATTGTTTTAAAATGAATGCTTCCTACTGCTCTTTTGGTAAAGCCTCTGGATCAGACAAATTTTAAGTCCTAAGATTGGAAGGTAAATACTTAAAAAAAAATCATTGCTATTCGCAGCCATTCATTTCTATGATTCAGGACTTCCCTTGTTATGGTGCAACCTAAAGAAGGAACTGAACATTGTATGTAGATGAGGTTATAGTACTACAGTTGCCATCTATATAAGCTGTGATTTTATTTTTAAAAACCCTGTCAAAACAATCTAATATTAGGTTGTTGGACTTTCCCATTTGAAATCGGAACTTAGAAATTTGTGCTTATAAACTATTATGTTGATATTTTATCTGTAGGGGTTCTATACATGATTTATTTGAACATAAATTTCCTTTGCTAAAAATGGGAAAGTTGCTGGGCTATGGATGTCCTCTCCACATCTGACCCCTGACTCCTCCTGCTGTCTTCCGTAGGTGGAGGCTGCATGGCTGGAAGGCCGGATCCGGCAGGAGTTTGATAAGCTTCGCGAGTTCTTGAGAGTGGAGGAGCAGGCCATTCTGGATGCCATGGCCGAGGAGACAAGGCAGAAGCAACTTCTGGCCGACGAGAAGATGAAGCAGCTCACAGAGGAGACGGAGGTGCTGGCACATGAGATCGAGCGGCTGCAGATGGAGATGAAGGAGGACGACGTTTCTTTTCTCATGGTAAGGAGCTCAGCGTCTGGATTCAGTGACAGGGCCACATGTTCCAGGACCAGCTGGGAGCCATAGCCCACCAGCCCTGGCCAACGTCATCTTCCTGGAGCTTCCTGGGTACTGGCCTGGAGGAGCTCACAAGTAACCTGCTCTGCTTGTGTCATGAAACTAAAAAGACTTATCAGGGCGGAGTTCCTTGAAACCCTGTTATTTCTTCCTCGCTCTTCTTTTTTTTAGAGACAGGGTCTTGCTGTATCACCCAGGCTGGAGTACAGTGGGTGATTATAGCTCAGTGTAACCTCAAACTCATGGGCTCAAGTGATCCTCTCTCCTTAGCCTCCTGAGTAGCTGGGACTACAGGCACGAGCCACCATGCCCAACTAATTTTTTTCATTTTTTACCAGTCAGGTAGGGGTGAGGGGGGTCTCACTATGTTGCCCAAGCTGGTCTTGAATCCCTGGCCTCAAGTGATGCTTCCACCTTGGCCTCCCAGGTAGTTGGACTACTGGCGCACCACTGTGCCCAGCTCCTGTCTCTTCTTTCTTCCTTTCTCTTGCCCTCTCTCTTACTCTCATTTTTTTTCCGGTCTCTACCTTTTAATAAGATGAATTCTTTTAAAATCATTCAATTATTTAAATTTTTTATTTAAATATAATGCCTTGGCTTTCTGTCTTCTTAAGAAAAGGATGATTCCATTCTCTCTTTAAAAAAACAGTATTATTCATTTTTTTTTCCTTTTATTGATTTATTTCCTCCCCATGAGCCAGTGGTCCTTACAAATTTCCTACAGGGAAATTTCTGGGCTCGAAAGCTGGTCTGTAAACTGGCCAGGGTGGTGAGGTGTCTCTTGTACCTGGAAAACAGCTGACTGCTGTGGAAGGGGTGTCGCTGTAGAGTGGAGTGGGAGGCGACAGGGACAGTTATCTGTTCAGGCAGTGTCATCTCCTGGGTGGGTCCTTTAGGAGTTCTCCACCTCACTCAAAGCCTGGAACCATGAAGTCTCCTGTCTCAAAAATGTCCCTGATTATGAAATCATTCTGTGTTCAGAGCTGTCTCTAAAAAGAAAAATGAAGAAAAAAAAAAAAGAAAAAGAAAAATCATTTTGTGGGATCTAAAAGCTGTGTGTCTCGAGGATTCTGTTTAGGGAATTGGGAGTATTGTCTGCCCAGTACTCAGAGTGCTTTCAGGGATGATTTTGGTTTGTGACTCTTTTTTATTTTTTATTAACAACTTTATTGAGATATAATTTACATGCTAAACAATTCACCCATTTAAAATGTACCACTCAGTGATTTTTAGTATATACAGAGTTGTGCAACCATCACGACAATTTTAGAACATTTCATGCCTCCAAAAGCAGCCCTGCTTTAGCTGTCACTCCCCAGTTCCTCCTCCCACATAAAAACTGCTACCGAAATTGAGTCTAACAGAGTGGTAATTACTAGAATTAGCAGCCCCTGGCAACCACTAGTCTACATACTATCTATATGGATTTACCTGTTGTAGACATTTCAAATGCATGGAATTATATAACATGTAACCTTTTGTGACTGCCTTCTTTCAGTCAGCATATTTTGAAACATCATTCATGTTGTAGCATCTATCAGTACTTCATTCTTTTTTATGGCTGAATAATATTCCATGGCATAGATATATAATCATGCACTTCTTAGTGATGGGGATATGTTCTGAGAAATGTATTATTAGGCAGTTTCTTCATTATGCAAGTGTCATGGAGTGTGCTTACAGAAGCCTACATGGTGTAGCCTACTGCACACCTAGATTATATGGAATAGCCTTTTGCTCCTAGGCTACAAACCTGTACAGCACGTTGCTGCACTGAATACTGTAGGCAACTGGAGCCCACTGTTAAGTATTTGTATATCTAAACATAGAAAAAGTACAGTAAAAAACAGTGATATAATCTCATGGGACCATACCATAGTCATATATGTGGTTCCTTGTTGACTGAAACATCGTTACGTTGCACATGGCTATATTATATTTTATTGATTGATTTATCAATTGGTGGTTGCTGTGGTTTAAATATGTTCCCCAAAATTTATGTGTTACAAACTTAATCCCCAATGCAACAGTGTTGGGTGGTGGAGCCTAATAAGAAGTGATTGGGTCATGAGAGCCCTCATGAATGGGTTAATGTTGTTACTGGCAGAGTGGGTTAGTTATTGAGAGAGTGGGCTTGTTATAAAAGTGAGTTTGGGCCCCTCTTGCTCTCTTGCTCTTGGTCTTATGTGTAGTCTCTTGCCCTTCTTCCTTCTGCCATGGGATGACACAGCATGAGGGCTCTCATCAGATGCTGGTGCCATGCTCTTGGACTTTCCAGCTTCAGAACCACGAGTGAAATAAACTATTGTTTATAAATTACCCAGTCTGTGGTATTTTGTTACAGCAACACAAAATGAACTAAGACAGTGGTCATTTGGGTTGTTTCTATTTTGGCTATTATGAATAATATGACTATAAACATTCAGGTAGCAATTTTTATGTGGACATGTTTTCATTTTTCTTGGAAATATGTCTGGGAGTAGATTTGCTGGATCAAATGGTAACTCTAGGTTTAACTATTGGAAGAACTGCTAGGCCATTATTCAGAGCAACTGTATCATTTTATATTCCCATCAGGAGTGTATGTGGATTCCAGTTTCTCCATATTTTTGCCAAAATTTGTTTTTTAAAAATTATAACCATCCTTGTAGGTGTGAAGTGGTATCTCCTTGTGTATTGCATGTCATCACATCCCTGATGGCTAATGACTTGGAACATCTTTTCATGGGCTTTTTGATCATTAGTAGATCTTCCTTGGACAAATGTCTATTCACATCCTTTGCCCATTTTTAATGTGGGTTGTCTTTTTATTGTTGAGTTGTAAGAGTTCTTTATATAGTCTAGATACAAGTTTTTTATCGGTTTTAGCTCTTCATGTAGGTCTTTGATGCATTTTGAGTTTTTTTTTTGTATATGGTATAGTAAGGGTTAGTCCAACTTCACTTTTTTTTTTTTTTTTTTTTTGCATGTCAACATACAGTTTTCCCAGTACCATTTGTTGGAAAGACTATTCCTCCATTAAATCATCTTGGCACTATTGTAAATAATTGATTGATGGTAAATATGAGGGTTTATTTCTGGACTTTCAATTCTATTCCATTGATCTCAGTGCCTGTTTTTATATTAGTACCATACTATCTTGATTACTGTTGATTTGTAGTAAGTCTTGAAATTGGAGATTATGAGTCTTCCAATGTTCTTCTTTTTCAAGATGGTTTTGGCTATTCTGGGTTCCTTGAAATTTTGTGTGAATTTTAGGATCAGTTTTTTAGTTTCTGCAAAGAAGCCAGCTAGGATAAGGGATTGCACTGAATCAGTAGATCAACTTAAGGAGTCTCTTCTTATGTTTTCTGTTGCTATGACAGAATATCACAGACTGGGTAAATTATAAAACAATACAAGTTTATTCAGCTCAGTGTTCTGGGTGAGGCCAGGAAGTCCAGGAGCATGATGGCTCTGGCATTTGGTGTGGGTCATCTCATGGCAGAAGGAGGAAATGAGTGCAAGACAGAGTAGTTGCTCATTGCTTTATAGCAACCCAGTCTCATGACAACTAAACCACTTCACAATAACGGTATTAATCCATTTGTGAGGGCTCTGCCCTCATGACCCAATCACCTCTTTTTAGGCCTTTCCTCCCAACACTGTCGCATTGGGGATTCAGTGTTCAACACATGAACTTTTGGATAATATGTTCAAATCATAGCAGGGATGTTATTGTTAACATCTTGACAATATTAAGACTTATGATCCATGGAATGCATGACTTCTTTTGAGGTCAGAAACATATACATTTCCTCTACATCTGTGTCTCTGTGTTATTTTTTTATTTTTATTTTTTCAGAAACACAAGAGCCGAAAACGCCGGTAAGTTGCCAAAGCTGGTGGAGGGGAGGGGAAGAGTGGGCAGAAATACCAGGGGTGCAAACTCCAGTGGCCCCGGGGCAAGCAGGTAACAACCAGCTGGGTGCACCAGCACACATGAGCTACTGGCCCTGGTTTTAGAGGGAGAGGTGGACAATGGCCAGGTGGAGAGAGCCCTCTCACAGCATCCAGTTCAAGTTGGCTCTGGGGCAGTGTTGTTCTCCTGAGTGTGGAGGGTCCCCACCTGCCGTGCAGGGAAGGAGAACACTATCCTGCATGTGGCTTGCATTTCTCGGGGCCAGTCAATGTCAGGCTTGTTTCTTGATCAGCCCCCTCCCTCTGAGAGCCTTAGGCCATGGTGGTTTGTGTTGATGGTTGTTGGGTTCACAGGGATGAATGAGGAAGAGCTGTGTCCCAGTCAGAGCTGTGCAAAGATGGAATAGAGTGCTTTTGGAGGGAGTGAGTTCCCTGTGCTCACTTCCCACTGGCAGTGTGCAAGCAAAGGCTGGAGGACACCTTGGGATTGTTGGACTAGAGCATCCTTAGGGTCCCTTCCAACTCAGACATCCCATGAGCCGGATGTGTAAGTGTGATTTCTGCCTGCAAGGATGGCAGCCATGTTGGAGAACCTCCTGTTTGTATTTCTCCTAGTTGGGGCAGGGTGAGCCCTCGGATTGAATGCTGAAGGGAGATGGCAGCCCTGTTGGCCTTGGCCCATCTCCCATCGTAGCCCAGTCCAGTCTTGTCTTGGAGAAGGTGGCCAGGAAACTTGGGCCTGAGGGAAGGGAACAAGTCCTGTTGCTGGTTTCCAGTTGGCCCAGTTCGGCCCAGGTTGCATGGCTCTGGCCCTGCCCACCATACCCATTGTACTTTTCCAGACTCTTCTGCACCATGGAGCCAGAGCCAGTCCAGCCCGGCATGCTTATCGATGTCTGCAAGTACCTGGGCTCCCTGCAGTACCGCGTCTGGAAGAAGATGCTTGCATCTGTGGAATCTGGTGAGCGGGGGTGCCGGCAGGTGTCCCAAGCATGGGTGGAAGCCCTTCATGTTAGCAAAGAGGCACCAGGGCTGGTCTCTGCCGGGCCCACCTCCCACCTCCTCAGAGCTCCCCTCCTCTCTCAGCTGATCCCTCTGCCAGTCCCTCGCAGGCAGGTTCCTGTACCCTGGTCTTTTCCACTCTGCCCAACACCTCCAACCCTCCTGGTAGAATGCCTTCTCTCAGGGTCCTGACACTTGGTCCCTTCTTCAGAGAGGGAAACTGGCTTTCTTGCCTATTCAGAACTGTGTTTTGTATGATAAAAGACCTCCTGCATCTGGGCTTGCCTCTCCTAAGGCGACTGCAGCCCACATGAGCCACAGTGTCCTGGTTTTACGGGGAGGAATATCACTGACTCAGGGAATGGGCCGTGCTGTCCTAACATCCCTTGGTCGTGTGAGTGTTAAGAGTCTCTGCCTGTATGAGTTCCTGTGGCTGCCATAACGAAGGACCACAAACTAGAAAATGACAGAAGTTGACTCTCTCACAGTTCTGGAGGGTAGAAATCCAAAATCCAGATGTTGGAAGGACCAGGCCCCCTCTGAAACCTGTAGAGGAGAGTCTTCATTTCCTCTTCCGTCTCCTGGTGTCTCCTGGCCATTCTTGGCCTTATTGGCTCCCCCTCAGCACTTTGATCCTCACCTCCGCCATCACACAGCATTCTCCCCTGTGTATCTGTGTCTGTCTCCTCTTTATTTTAAGGACACAGGTCATATTGGATTGGGGACCCTCCTCCAGTCTTCATCTTAACTAATATGTGTACAACCACCCCATTCCCAAATAAGGTCACACTCGGAGGTACCAGGGGTTGGGACTGCCGCATATCTTCTGGGGGATACAGCCCAACCCCTGCCACCACTCCAGCCCTGGGCCACTCCTTGCATGGACTTGGGGCCAGGTGTGACACAGTGGTTGGTTTGTGGGGCTGGAGATATCCACGTGTGGCCTAAGGGACCTCAGGTTTGCTGATTCCCCATTTCCGCCTCTGCTTGCAGTACCCTTCAGCTTTGACCCCAACACCGCAGCTGGCTGGCTCTCCGTGTCTGACGACCTCACCAGCGTCACCAACCATGGCTACCGCGTGCAGGTGGAGAACCCGGAACGCTTCTCCTCGGCGCCCTGCCTGCTGGGCTCCCGTGTCTTCTCACAGGGCTCGCACGCCTGGGAGGTGGCCCTTGGGGGGCTGCAGAGCTGGAGGGTGGGCGTGGTACGTGTGCGCCAGGACTCGGGCGCTGAGGGCCACTCACACAGCTGCTACCACGACACACGCTCGGGCTTCTGGTATGTCTGCCGCACGCAGGGCGTGGAGGGGGACCACTGCGTGACCTCGGACCCAGCCACGTCGCCCCTGGTCCTGGCCATCCCACGCCGCCTGCGTGTGGAGCTGGAGTGTGAGGAGGGCGAGCTGTCTTTCTATGACGCGGAGCGCCACTGCCACCTGTACACCTTCCACGCCCGCTTTGGGGAGGTTCGCCCCTACTTCTACCTGGGGGGTGCACGGGGCGCCGGGCCTCCAGAGCCTTTGCGCATCTGCCCCTTGCACATCAGTGTCAAGGAAGAACTGGATGGCTGAGCTGGCCCGGGGCTGCCCCGGTCTTGTGCCACAGCACTGTTTTCTTTCTGCCCTCTTCCTAATGCCCACACTGCTTGGGCACTATTGCGCCCCTGCCTCCTTGCCAGGCTCTTCCTCCTGTCCTGCCTGGTCCTTTTCCATGACTCCAGGCTGTGCCTCTCTCCATGTTTGGTCCCTTCTGTGCCCATGGTCAGGAGCTATTCGGGTGGCACCTCGCTGGCCAGGCTCTCCCGAGTCGTGGCACCTCCACAATGTGAATTTTCTGAATCCCTATTCCAGGATTTCTGGGAATAATGTTTACTTCTAGAATGGGCCTGTTGTAAACCATCTCATCGAGGTGTGGTAAAGCCATTGGATGAGGAGGGGACTGCCATGGAAAGGAGAGTTTGTTACTTACGGTTCTGAGAGGAGGGGCCACATAGGAAAGCCCCACGGTGGGTCAGAAGGCGGAAGGAGGGAGGGGAACGTGTGGGCAAGAGACTTCCTCTGGTTTCCTCAGGAGGAAATGGGCAAGGCAGAGTAAGCAGGGGAGACAGGTTTAAGGGTAGCTGGCTTGAGTAATTTCAGTGGCTCTCAGGATAGGGGCTGCCCTTTTTGTCTGATACCTGGCCCCGGGATAGTCAGGACAGGTGAATGTTGGCCTGGGGTGTGACAGCCCTGGGAGAGCCATGTGAAGGAGGCAGCTGGCGCCATCGCTCCGGATTAGTTGGTTTCCATAGGAAAGGCATGCTTTCAGCCAGATGCTTGCCATCTCTAGGGATTGGGGGATTGGCTAGCCTGGGAGGATCAGTCTGTCCAGGTCAGCGAGGCCCCAGATACCAGAGCATCAAGAGTACAGGAAATACAGTTAATGCAGGGCCTCTGTGTGGCTGGATCCTCCGTCTCCATCAGATCAGCTCTGATTGATCTATTCTTGCACGATTTCCTCTGAACACAGGGTTCCAGAGTACTTAAACACAACATTTTTTAAATCGTGATTTCGGCCTATTTCCTTGCCAGGCCTGTTTCCCCACCAGGAAATGAGATAGGAGGACTGGATGAGGATGTCCTGTTATAGTTGCTGTGGAGGAAGTTCCTCTGGTTAATTCTCATCAGCGTCTGCAGAAAAGAAGGAAAGAGGGCACCCTTTTCAGTTGGGAAGAAAGGAGAGGGGTGGCGCCATGGACGTGGCCCTAAACGCTGTGGGAGAGGGAAGAGGAGGCTGGGCCTCGCTGCCCTCTTGTCTCTGCTGACTTCAGCCTGGTCATGCTTGCTCTGCCACTTGCGATTTCATCCCTAATTTCTTCCTCCACCATGCCTGCAGACTTTTCCCTGGGCTTGTTTTTTCTCGCACATCTCTGAAGAGTTTTTAATCTTCAGCTCATCATGTCCCAGGAAGTGGCATCATAAAAGGAAATATTTTTTTTTCCTAGGAGCAGTGTTAAAATCTGGGTCACATTCCTGACCAAGGACAGCATCCTGCCTTCTGCCCATCCCCTTCAGTTCACAAAAGCTGACATTTTAAACAAATCATGACTCACACGTATTAATTGGTTATAAATATGTTGTGTACACTGGTTAGATAAAACTTAAGGCCACAAGGAGGGCCCAGGTAGGCGATGTCAGTGTGTGAAGGGGCTGGATTGGGCGTGGTGAGGATGTTGGCAAACCAGTGCATGCACCTGGTTGGAAGATGCTCAGCCTCACAAAAGCTCCAAGCCCTTTGGGAGCCAAAGTGTCTGAGAGTGTGACCCTCTCCTGTAAAGTATTTATCCCACCCATTAATATAATTTCTGTATAATAAACTTGACCTGAAATTATTTCATTCTTTATATTAAACTTTTAAAAATGTTTTTTATTTTCACCTTAGATATGGGAAGAGTTTTTTTTTTTTTTTTTTTTTTAACAGGATAACTTGAGCAGGCTAGGCCTCTTAAAAAAAAATTTGAGCTAAAACTCATTTTTCTTTTGGCATTTTCTTTTCAATGTTCTTATAAGCAAAGTTCATCCATGTTGTAGCATGTGTTCAACTTTATTTTTTCATCGGGTAATATTCCATTGTATGGAATGGTAGTACTACATTTTATTTATCATGCATCGATTGGTGGACATTTGGATCGTTTCTACTTCTTGACTATTATACATAATGCTGCTAGGAACTTTTGTGTATGAGTTTTTGTGTGGACATATGTTTTCATTTCTCTTTGGTATATGCCTGGGAGCAGATTTGCTGGATCATATGAAACTCTATTTAACCCTTGAGGGACTCCCAAACTGTTTTCCAATGTGGTGACACAATTTTATATCCCATCAACAGGGCATGAGGGTTCTGATGACTCCACATCCCTCAGTGCTTTTTATTATCTATCTTTTAACTTAGCCATCCTAGTAGGGGTAATGTGGCATCTCATTGTGATTTTGGTTTGCATTTCCCTGATGGCGAATGATATTGAGCATCTTTTCATGAGCTTATTGGCCATTTGCATATCTTCTTAGGACAGCTATCTTTAGATCACTTGCTCATTTTTTAATTGGGTTATTTGTCTTTTTATTATTGAGTTGTAAGAGTCCTTTTATAGCCTGGCACAAGTCCCTTTAACTGGTATATGATTATAAAATTTTTCTCCGTGAGCTGTTTCATTTCCTTGATGATGTCCTTTGAAATACTAAAGCTTTTAATTTTGATGATGTCCAATTTTTATTTATTTTTTCTTTTGTTGTACATGTATCCTAGAAATCTCACTTTTGATACTGCCCTTAGGTCCATGTAAGTTCGGGGTTTTGGCTCAGGGATGGGGCAGTTATTCTGTTGGCAGGAAGCGCTAGTCCACGAGTTCATTAATTCTTCCCTGAAGCCCCTCTCCTGCCCTTGCCTTCCACTCACCCCGTCACTCTCCTTCTCATTACTGTGTCCAGGCTCAAAGCAGCAGCTCTCTGGGAAGGCCCCCGTTCTCCAGTTTCTCCCACTTTTGCATCCATTCCACATGCACCATCGTTCATGTTCCCATCACCTGGAGAGACCCCATTTCCAACCCGCTGCAGTGCATTTCTCCAGGGCAGCTCTCAGGGCACATTGTCACTGCACTCTGCCTTTATACCCGGAGTCTTCTCAGTCCCGTCACACATGGCTCCAGCCGGACCAGGCTCCTGTTTACCCTTGAAATAGGCCACCTGCCCTCACCAGGGGCCCGTTGTCACTGGAATGTCCTGACCTTGGTTGCTCTGGCTCTCCTGATCATATTGGCTCTGCCGCTTACGTGATATCTCCTGGGGCACACACTGCCTGCCTGATCTTATTTTCTCATCTGTAGAAGTGGGGCCCCTCCCCACCTCCTGAATGTCTGAGCAGTGTGAGCACCTCAGAAACTGGAGTCTCAGAGCACACGAGAGCCTCAGTAACCTCCAGGCTCCCAGTCATGTCCACGTCAGCCACCAGGTATCAGTTGGTCAGAATTAGGTGCACAGGGGCCATTTCCTTTTTTGCTTCCTCTTGCTTGTGGGGGATGAAATTTCTCTCAACAGTATTTGATTGCTCAATATCACAATAGTGGAAGTCTTTCGTGACCCTTGTGGTGAGTGATGGGGCAGTGGCGGGAGTTTTCCCACCTCCAGAGTGACATTCGAGACCCCTCCCCGGCTGACTCCTGCAACCACGGTCACCACTGTTTACAAAGACCCTGCCCAGCCTTCCTGGGTGCAGGGTCCCATTGTTCCTCCTGCCTGCAGCGCCTGTCGCCCTCCCTTTATTGTCGCTCAGTCCCCCTTGTCAGCTCGGAGGTGCCTTCCCAGACCTGCCCGGGGCTCCCTGGGCTGCCACTGCATGCCGCCTGTTTTGTGGAAGAGCACCTCGCTGTCTTTTCTGCTTGCAGACCTGGGAGTGCAGGAAGCATGTCATCTTCCTCTTTCAGGCCCCAAATCTGTGGATGTTGCTGGACCATAATAAATGATTGTTGAGGCCGGGTGCGGTGGCTCACGCCTGTAATCCCAGCACTTTGGGAGGCCGAGGTGGGTGGATCACCTGAGGTTGGGAGTTTGAGGCCAGCCTGACCAACATGGTGAAACTCCGTCTCTACTAAATACAAAGTTAGCCATGCGTGGTGGCGCATGCCTGTAATCCCAGCTACTTGGGAGGCTGAGGAAGGAGAATCACTTGAACCCAGGAGGTGGAGGTTGCGGTGAGCCAAGATTGTGCCATTGCACTCCAACCTGGGCAACAAGAGTGAAACTCCGTCTCAATAAAAAATCATAATAAAAAAATAAATAAATGATTGTTGAGTGCATGTATGGTTAGAGACGTGCACTGTGGGGCAGGAAAGCTGCCTTTGAAAGTGCCACAGACCAACTGGTGGCATTTTGGTAAGGAGAAAGTGGCATGAAGCCCACAGTCCAGATTCTGGATCCAGATGCAAGCCCTGTGATTTCTGGGCTGCCTGAATCTTCTGACCCTCTGCTCCCTTACACAGAACGAAGATGACAATATCTACCTCAGGCACTTGTGGGGATTCGATGAGGAAAATGACGGTAAAAATGCCAAGTATTGTGTTCTAAACCTAGGATAGGATTAATACACATTGGTGAATTCTTCAGAAATGGGAGATTCTGAATATATAAATTGTGATTCCCAATAATGACAAATCCCAAAGAAAAGTGAGAGATTGAGAAATAGAAGTTACCTGTTTTGGGAGTCTTCCGATTTCTTCAGATTTTTAACAAGAACGTTTGCATAAAACTCATGTTCATGAAAAACTTTCAGTAGCATGAGAAAATGGTTATGTTGTAAGAACCAAAAAAATAGGATTCAAAGCAGTAAGTACAGGCATGCAGCGTACTCACAACAAGACAAGCAGGAGCCTGTCTTTAATTTGTGTTGTTTGATTAGATAATCTGTTTACATGGCTGTGAATTCCAAAGGTACAAAATGTACTAGAACAGTCTGTCTCCTTTTTCTGCCCAAACACTCAGCAACCCCCCTGGTAGGCAATATATATTACTAGTTTTTTTCAAACTTCCCAGAGATATTTTATGCATAGCACATATCCTGTTGATGGGTATATTCTGTTCACCCCAATACATTATAATTTAGAGCAGACAACTCTAGCTCTCATCCCTAAGCAACCCAACCAAGAGGCAAAAACCCCAAAGATGTTACTAAAATCCTTTTCTCTCAAGGGGGAGGTTTGTACGATGTTTTCATTCAGTCCATTCAGTGGATAGATTTTACTTTTTGTTCGTGTTTAAATATTTCACCTTAAGGTTTTAAAACAAAGAGAAAAAGCCAAGCAGAAACCTTAAAGCTGAGACCTCAATATACATGTCGCCCAGGCTGAAGTGCAATGGTGTGATCTCAGCTCACTGCAACCCCCGCCTCCCAGGTTCGAGCAATTCTCCTGTCTCAGCCTCCTGAGTAGCTGGGATGCATGTGCCACCACACTTGGCTACTTTTTGTATTTTTAGTAGAGATGGGGTTTCGCCAGGCTGATCTCAAATCCCTGACCTCAGGTGATCCGCCTGCCTTGGCTTCCCAAAGTGCTGGGATTACAGGCATGAGCCACTGTGCCCGGCCTCAATGTGCATTTTTAAAATCTCAATTCATTAGAACCCTTACAAAGGTTTCTAGTGGTTAAGAGGCTGGGATACCAGATTGGACAACCTGGACCTAAACCCTGACTGAACCACTGTCTGACCTTGGGGGAGTTACTTAACCTCTCTGTGCCTTAGTTTCATCGTGAGGAAAATGAAGATAGTAAGAGTTCCTACCTCACAGGGTGGATATGAGGTTAAATGAGCAAATGTGTGAAACACTTAGAAGAGGATCTGGCACAGTTGAGAGTTTACTGTTGTCTTACCCTGGCTCTGCTAATTAAATAGCTGCAGGATATAGCCATTGAAGTATTTTTCTGTAAACAGGGAAACTTGGGCATTTGCATGTGTTTTCCAGGTCATTCCAATTCTAGCATCCTGTGATTCATAATTTATGTCACTAGCAAAAGCCTATGTCTTGTGCACAGTAGGGATTGCTGACTCAGGGTGCTGCTGCCGGCCAATATTCCAGAACTTGGGATTGGGAGCAGAAACTTTTGTCTCACGTTTTGACTCTAGCAAAAAAAAAAAAAAAAAGACTAATGAGTCATAATGTTTTAGGCATAAGACAGGTTATTCTGGAGAGGAGTGAGATCTTTAAAAAATGTTCATAAAATTAGTAATTGACTATGCACAATGAAATCATGTCATTATGTTCCAGAGATGACATATGTACTCGTATGTATGAGATTAAAGATGATGACAAATACTGACTCATGTCCACTGTGAAGGTGATCTTAACTTCCAGTAGCAGTGGAGCTGTTTGGGTTGGACAAAAATGATTGTTAGCGATGTGAGATGCTGGGATTACAGCATCTCCCTTCCAGATTTCAAAACGAAAATGCAGCTGCTTACACTGGCCTGTGCCACTCACTCCTCCTCCCAGCCATGCCTGGAGAACCTGACAAATGCCTTCAGGACCTGCTGAACAATAAGTACTGAAGTCTGATGGCCCAGGGCAGGGGGAAGCTCCCCTTCTCTAGGGTGCTGTTTGTCCTTGTTTGTGGGTGTCACCTGGGTGGGATTCTCCTGCCAGGGAATAAGCTGAGGAAGATGGGAGATTCTGGTTTCTATGGATACTGGACTAGCTGGGATTTGCATAACAGTTCAGAGAACAGACAGTCTGGGAACAATGTGGACCCAGGAGGAACATAAATGCACATGGAAACGAGTTGGAGGGTCTGGGCAGCCGGGTTGCATACAGCCCCCTACTAGGGACACGAATCCGTATCTTCCCCTGCTCTCTGGATAGGCAGCAGTGTGGAGCCCTGAGGATGGAGGGAGGTGGTGTGTGAGAAGTGCCCCAACCAGGGTATGGTACATACTTGGGGCTCAACAAATATTGGTGCTTTTTACTCTCTATCCCCTCTTAAGTTGGCTATAGGCGTGCAAAACCTCCCTTGTTTACTTAATAAAGCACCTCATGTAGGCTCTGTTTTAATCCCTACTACCTGAGCACTGTGTGAGATAGGCTTAAAAAAGAGGTCAGGGGGCTTGTTCAAGGTCACAGGACTAATCAGTGACAGAGCTGAACCTCAGACCCTAGTCTCCTGGTGTTACTGTCCCTAGATCTCAAAACATCTGGGTTTGCAGCAGTAAATGTGGTATAATCCAGGCAGTTCAGTTGATGAGGGGCTGAACTAAGATGGGGGTGTGGGGGTAAGGCAGGGGGTGTGGGGAGAAGTGGGCGATTAGAAATCCTGGAGGAGGTGGGATTACCAGGCAGACTGTGTACAGACTGGACCAGGTGAAGAAAGGGGGCTGCCAGGTTTTTGGCCTGAATGACTGGTGCTGGTCACTGCGGCGTGGTGAGGTCAGTGCCGTGTTTGAGGACATTGGGTGGAAGCACAGGGAAGGCCATTAGAGAGCTCAAGGCCATTAGAGAGCTCTGGAGTCCAGGATCTGCACGGGAGATACGGAGTCGTGTGGCACGGGCACATTTTAGAGGGGGGCTGAAGATTCAGGTTAAAGACTTACGAGGAGTGAATAGAGGCAGAATTGCAACCAAAGGAAGGCGGCGTAACAGATGCAAATACAAATACGTTGAACAGTGGTGTCAAAAGACCCCGAATTCAGATGTAAGGGGGATGGAAAGTAACATATTGACTCGTTTAAGATGGCATACAGCCTGCAGCCCCCAGCATGGCTTTGCCCAGTACCAGGGAAGACAGAAGCAAAGACGAAAACACCGATGACCAACAAAAAGTGATGGATGACCAGCCTACTGGCAGAAATTGGGGAGGATTTCCCCTATAAAGCCCATGGAGCCTGAGTTTCAGCAGCCACCCAGACACATGGAAAGCTTCTTTGTCCCTTCCTCCCTCTCCCCTGTCTACACCCTGAGGATCAGATGCCACTGAGGTTCCGATGTTGGACCTTTGGGGTCCAAAGAGGTGATCTGGGTGCTGCAGAGTCGTGCTCCTGGGTTACTCCTTGCAGCATGCCCTTTTGCTCTCTGAGAGCTGGGTCTCAGCTGTAGGAATTAAGGGAGGACTCCCACTCTGGGGCTCCAGGAACATCTGCAGCATGTGACAGGGGCACTTACTGAGCTTGACATTTGTTGAGTGAATGCCTAAACAATTGAATCAACCCCCAGGGAGAAAGTGAATTTGGGAAATGTGAAAGGGAAATAAATCTTGGGGCCCCCAAACCACCAAGCTAAAGGGAAAAGTCTAGCTGGGAACTGCTTATGGCCAACCTGCCTCACACTCCATTCAAAGTCATCCCTCTGCTCACTTAGATAAATGCGTATCTGATTGCCTTCTTTGGAGAGGCTAGTCAGAAACTCAAAAGAATGCAGCTGTTTGTCTCTCATCTACCCGTGACCTGGAAGCCCCCTCCCTGCTTGAGTTGTCCCGCCTTTTGGGACAGAACCAATGTACACCTTACATACATTGATTGATGTCTTATATCTCCCTAAAATGGATAAAACCAAGCTGTGCCCTGACCACCTTGGGCACATATCGTCAGGACCTCTTGAGGCTGTGTCACAGGCGCACATCCTCAACCTTGGCAAAATAAGCTTTTAAATTAACTGAGACCTGTCTCAGATTTTCGGGGTTCACAGAAACAAAAATTGAGCTGTGGGATCTAGCCATTCTCCTGAGCATCAGGGCATTATTTTAATTAAGGGAGTTTTCTGACATGTCCTAACTCTTTACTGTTCTCCAGCTGCTTTTTGAAGTGACCAGGAATCCTGTTTTCTTCTGTCCTTCATCCTGCAGCACCATCCTAGCGACTGCAAGCTCCAGGAAGCAACTGGGCAGAGAGAAGGGGGAACTGGTGGCAACATGGTGCATCCTGGGAGGTGGAATTCCTACAGGACAGTGCGGCAGGGATAGGAAGCACCTTTTCTGGTGTGCATGTGGGTTTTTTAGTTTATTGTTCTGTGCTTTTGTCAGTCCTCATTTTCATAGTTTCAGGAGTGCTATAGGCATAGAAGATTTTGCCTCCAGACAGCAGAGCCACCCGCTTTGATGCTGAGAGAGGCTGGGAGAGTGCTGGCAGCTGGGTTACCCCAACTGCTATTCATTGTACCCGTCTCATCTCTTGTGTGAGTTTTATGTGGAGCTGAGGGAATCTAGGATTTAGATTTCACCTCCTTTGGTGTTGAGTCTATTCATTAAAAACAACAGGCTGGGCGCAGTGGCTCACAACTGTAATGCCAACACCTTGGGAGGGCCAAGGAGGGAGGATCACTTGAGCCCAGGCATTCCAGACCAACCTGGGCAACAAGTGAGACCCCGTCTCTCCAAAAAATTTTTTAAAAATTAGCTGGGCATGGGCCGGGTGCAGTGGCTCATGCCTGTAATCCCAGCACTTTGGGAGGCCGAGGTGGGCGGATCACAAGGTCAAGAGATCGAGACCGTCCTGGCTAACACGGTGAAACCCCGTCCCTACTAAAAATACAAAAAAATTAGCTGGGCATGGTGGCGGGCACCTGTAGTCCCAGGTACTCGGGAGGCTGAGGCAGGAGAATGGTGTGAACCCTGGAGGCGGAGCTTGCAGTGAGCCAAGATCGCGCCACTGCACTCTGTCTCCAAAAAAAAAAAAAAAAAAATTAGCTGGGCATGGTGGTGTGTGTCTGTAGTCCCAGCTACATGAGAGGCTGAGGTGGGAGGATCTCTTGAGCCCAGGAGTTCGAGGCTGCAGTGAACTGTGATTACACCACTGGACTCCAGCCTGGGCGACAGTGAGACTCTGTCTCTTAACATAAATAAAATAAAAACAACATGGGGGCATGACAAAATACCACAGAGCAAAGGGGAGGAATTATCCTGAAGATTCTGTGGAAGAAAATAATCTCTTTAAAAGGCCATCTGCAGTACCTGGAAGGAAGCTTTGGCATCCTTAATAAGGAGTCGTCTCTTTAAGCAGGAACAGAGGGAGGAAGAGGACAGGAGGCTGAGTATGAGAAGGGAGTGAGTGAGATAGAGCAAAACTGCAAGGAAACTGAGAAGAACACAGTGGACTTGAAACTCATAGAAGAGAGAGTCAAGAACAGAGCTGTAACCAAGATTGAGAAAAATGGAGTAAGCAACATGGAAGACAAATTTGAGAAACATTCCCAGAAGACAGGGAGAGGGGAAAAAGAAAGAGGAGGGGAGGGAAGGGGAGGAGAGAGAGGGGAGGGGGAGGATTAAAGTCTAACAAAAATTATAAGAAAAAAATAACAAATTAAAACTGAAATGACTGATAGAATTGAAGATTGGAAGTGCTTGTCACATTCCAAACAAATTCATGGCAAATACTTTGAATTATAGGATACAAAATAAATTGTAATAACATCCAGGGCTACAAAGCAAAACAACACAATAAAAACCTAGCAATTACCAAGGAATAAAAATCAGTCTGCTTTGCCAAAAGACAAATAATGGGAAAATATGTACAGGATTTTGAGCAAAGATTGTGAATCATCTGGAATTTTATATCCAGACAAGTTGTGCAAAGGTAAAATAAATGACATTTTCAAAATGCAAGGATTCAGAAAATATGCCATAAATGAACCCCACTTGGAATAATTTGATTGAATAAGTGTTATATTGCAAATGTCAAAAGTTTTTCTTGGAAGAGATGATATATAATGTTAAATAGAATTTAATAACAGTGATCATGTTATATAACTCCAGATTATAGTAACCAAACCCAGAAAATTTGGAGGCAAGGGAAGTAAAGTTTCTTAAATCCCCATATGGAGGAAAAGAGGTGGGAAGCAACAGAATTCTTTTTAAAATACTGTTTTATTATGTATTTCTGATATTGAAACAAGTATATGTTGAAAGCTTGCTTTCAGGGATCACTAAAACACTGGAGACTTTTAAAACAGCGTACATACTTTTCTTCCAAAACATGAAAAAATAGAGAAGGAAAAAAGTCTATGCAGAAAGAATGACAACAAATGAAATAGTCACCAAAGAAAATGTCGTCATTGCTATCCAGCAGATACACATTATCTAAATATTCTTATTAAAAACTAAGATTCTCAAATTTTAAAAACCCGATAATCAGCTTCTGATAAAAAATATCTCAAAATAATGACCAACGGAATCACAGTACCAAGGAGTCTGGTTTCTAACAAAACAGATCCAAACAGAAAACAGGATGGTGATAATTTCAGGCAGGAGTTCAAAGGAAAAGGGTAAAATGAGATATAAAGAGATTTTTTTTCCTGGAAAAAAAAAAAGCCATCAAATACATAAGGCAAGTTCTTTGACATACACTGAAAGTTTGGTGGTATAATGATTACCTAAAAACTCAAAAGAATCAACTGATAAATAATAAAAGACTTGGTGAAGTGAATTCAAATGACATTAATTTATAAATAGGAACACTCTTGATATCAGTAATATCCAGGAAGAAAATATACTGGAAATAAGACTCCATTCATAATAGCAACTGAAATATAAAACTACCTTGAGTTAAAATTTAAAACAGAACTATGAAACTTTACTGAAATCTAAAAAACTAATTAGAATAAGCAGACAGTTATAACTCAAAATACCTAGAGGTCTGGTTTTGAAATTAGACAAAGTGATTTTTATTTAATTTGGAATAACAAGAAAAATGTTAAGCAAGGTATTTTTAGGAAAACAAAATGATAATTTCACTAAGATTTATCTTAAGGAAATATTCAGATATTAGGACAAGAAAATATGTACAAAAGATCCATCGTTCATCATGGAATTATTTAAAATAGAAAATAGTTGAACATAATCTAAATATACAACAATAGGGGAAGAGTTCAGTACATTATTCCATATGCTGGAATGCTACGAAGCCGCTTAAAAAACAGACACATGCACACATATGTTTATTGCAGCACTATTCACAATAGCAAAGACTTGGAACCAACCCAAATGTCCAACAATGATAGACTGGATTAAGAAAATGTGGCACATATACACCATGGAATACTATGCAGCCATAAAAAATGATGAGTTCATGTCCTTTGTAGAGACATGGATGAAATTGGAAATCATCATTCTCAGTAAACTATCACAAGGACAAAAAACCAAACACCGCATGTTCTCACTCATAGATGGGAGTTGAACAATGAGAACACATGGACACAGGAAGGGGAACATCACACTCTGGGGACTGTTGTGGGGTGGGGGGATGGGGGAGGGATGGCATTAGGAGATATACCTAATGCTAAATGACGAGTTAATGGGTGCAGCACACCAGCATGGCACACGTATACATATGTAACCAACCGGCACATTGTGCACATGTACCCTAAAACTTAAAAGTATAATAATAATTTAAAAACAACATAAAATTTAAAAAAATTAAAAAAATAGAGAATATTTAAAGAGAGGAGGAAATGCTCACTTGACTAAAGCCAAACCTAAAACTATAGTCAGTGCGATGCCAAATTTGTAAATCTATCATATTTTAGATATTGTAAGCCATGGATATCTTTGGATGCTGTTTGCACGGTTGTTGACCCCTACCCCCAGACTCCGACTCCTCTGTTTTCTAGAATGAGAAGCGTGACATTTATAGTGAGAAAGGGTCGCGGTATGAAAACGCCAGTCTGTTAGGTTTGGTTTAGTAGGTGCTTCTTGGTGCCCTGGACACAGGGTTTTCTTTTAAGAGTTGCGAGGCTATGAGGAAGCCTCACCACAAGCGAGAGCGGGCGTAACCCCTGAGCAGAGTCCCAAGAGAGAGGAAGAGAAAAATATGGGGACAAAGGAAAGTCGCTGCCTTGACTCATTAGCAGGACGCAGTCACCTCCTGAGAAACAAGTGGCGAAGTTCCCCGGAGAGAAACTGGTGACGCCCCAGAAGAGAGGGGCTGGGGGAGGAACTAGAGTGGGAAGGGGCCCTCGCTAGGCACAGCCCAGAAGGTCCGGGTATGCAGGACGGGCGCCCGAGGAGCTCAGCCGGCTGCGTACAGAACGGCAACTACTACTACCCAGCGGGTGCAGGAGGCTCATTAAGGCATCCGGGGCTTAAGAAACTTCAGCGGCAGGGGCGCTGCTATTGGCTCCCGCGACTGGCATGATGTCACTGTCATCCAATCTGAACTCAGTTGCTCCTCCTAGTCTAATGCGTTAATTAGGAGTTAATTAACTCTTCCTAAGCCATAGGGGCAACAAAAACAACCCTCCTCAACTCTTTCGCTATGCTTTGCCGGACAGAGGAGTAAGAAGGTGGAAATGGAAATAAACTGAGTAAGAGCAGACGGGCAGGTTTTATAGATATAGGTATATATATATATACACACACACACGTGTGTATATGTGCACATATATACATATATATACCTTAAATCTATATAAATGTATTTGTACATGGTGTACATAAATATATTTACATATATACATATATAAATTTATATAAATATATTTACGTATGCCATATATAAATTTACATATAATTTCTATAAATATATTTAACTATATGAGTATTGTTAAATATACATACTATATAAACCATATATAAAAAATATACCATATACCATATATACATCATAATATACCATATATAATATAGACCATATATTTATACATAATGTATGTTGATTCAGAAATATGTATAAGGAATCACCCAGAATTCCACCATCCAGAGTTAATACTAGTAAACATTTTTATGCAGTTTCTTTTTATATGTTTAAACTCAAAAGTGTGAGATTTGTACAGAAATTAGATCACACTACATTTTTGTAGCCCTTTTTATTCACTTACTGTTTTCTTTGCTATTAAATATCTTCAAATGTATAGGATTTAGCAGATGTAAACCTTTTCAACTAAATAGACATTCCATAAGTGTACAATTTTCCTTTATGGAAATCTATGGCATCAGTTTTACTGGTTCCAATGATTTGTGCTGAAGTATATCATAATTGACTTCTAAAATTTCCAGGACAAGTCTGGGTACAGTGGCTCACACCTGTAATCCCAGCACTTTGGGAGGCTGAGGCAGGTGGATCACTTGAGGGCAGGAGTTCGAGACCAGCCTGGCCAACATGGTGAAACCCCATCTCTACTAAAAATACAAAAATTAGCTGGGCATGATGACATGTGCCTGTAATCCCAGCTCCTTGGGAAGCTGAGGCAGGAGAATCGCTTGAACCTGGGAGGTGGAGGTGGCAGTGAGCTGAGATTGTGCTACTGCACTCCAGCCTGGGTGACAAAGCAACATCCCATCTCAAAAAAAAAAAAAAAAAAAAATCCCCAGGTCACTATTATAAGCAATACTGCAATGGACACACTTACACACTTGTATATACATTGTATTTTAGGAGTCCTGTTCAATTACGATAAATTCCTAGAAAGAAAACTCCTGTGTTAAAGATGAAAATAAATGTTAGGCCCTTCTGTCCAAGATGGTAGACTGCACCCAGGTTTCCCTCCTCTTTCTGAGACACCATAACAATGTTAGTAAAGTTATAAACCCACAACAACAAAGTCAGTGGACCATGATGGGGAAGAAATTTGACAATGCCTTTTTCTGATTCTGGTCAATTTTCATAATCTCCCTAAGAAACAGAGACCCAACATGAAATAGGTCCTCAGCACTGTAGGGTCCTCCTCTACAGAATCCTGTATAACCTCCCTCAGAGTCCATGAAGGTGGATCTTAAATTACAGTGGTCTGGGTTCTAACAGTTCATCTGGGGGATAAGTGTTCAAAACTTGAAATGCATTACCCAGGAAATAGTAAGTTTGATTCTATATTACTGCAGAGTAACTCCATCTACAGCTTTTGTCCCCAAGAGTACTCTTCTTTGTTTCCTTCTTCCTGGGATGTTTCCTACATTCTGGGCTCAGAACCTGCTGGGTGAATCCCCGATACCTGCACTGCACGTGGGTTTCTGTTGAAATGCTCCACCCAGTCCAAGGAAAAAACTGAAGCAGACAGAGACAATGCACTGTCTTCCTTCTTCTCTTTGGACTTTTGAAGAGCTATGGTGGTCGTCCTTGAAAGGGGCCTTTGATATGATTAGCCCCGTCATCTTACAGTCTGGGAGCATGAAACCCACTTCCTTTCTCCATCCCAGACAACACCTAGGACATCAAGTTCTGCAGCCAAATCCTCAGGCCCAGGTTGGGATAGCCAAGGGCAGTCTCTTTCCTGTTTATTTATTTGTTTGTTTGTGTTTTTTTCTTTTTTCATGACTTCTCACATTTCACTGTGTTTGAGCCTCTGCCAGGCACTGAGATACATGCAGAGGATAAGAGGATAACAGGACATGGTCCTCGAACTTGAGAAGCTCATAGTCTAATGGGAGTAAAATATATTGTGCAAGTGCAGGGACAACATTCAGTTCAAGAACTGAAAGGAGCAGTGGGGTGGGGTGGGGAAGGCGGGGCTTCCTGTGAGGAGGAAGGCAGGATGAGTAGAAGAGAAGGAGCATGGGGGTAATGTCTGCCCCATCTAGACTGTACACTCCTTGAAGGCTGAACAAAACCGTGGATTTTACTTTCATAATATCAACCGACGTAAAGTATTTGCTCCTGGGTCCAGCGCAACATAGAGTCTTGCAGTCAGAAAACTCCAGTTCATCATTTACCCCCACCATATAGCCATGTGACCTTGGCCAAGTTAGTTAACCTCCCTGAGGCTCAGCTTCCTTATCTATAAACTGGTAATAGTCATTCCCACCAGATAGGTTTATTGTGGAAAATCTTTGTCAAGAACTTACCAGAGGACCTGGCCTGTGCAAGAATCGGTGTCTAACAGCTATTGTTGTTATTGTTTCAGGCTAAGATTCTAAGAAAACAGGGCCCACCTCTCCTACAGTCTAAAGTGAGGAGTGGGAACCCAAAGCAGGGTATCCAAGGAAGCTGACAGCCTGTTTTGCAAACCTCAGTGGACTTTCCTCCTTCAGCCTATAAGAAGTTGGAAAATCAAAGGCAGAGCTGAGGTTAGAGGGCAGATTTCTTTTCTTTTCTGTTTTTTTTTGAGATGGAGTCTCACTCTGTCTCCCAGGCTGGAGTGCAATGGTGCGATCTTGGCTCACTGCAACCTCTGCCTACAGGGTTCAAGCAATTCTCCTACTTCAGCCTCCTGAGTAGCTGGGATTACAGGCACACACCACCAAGCCCAGCTAATTTTTGTATTTGTAGTAGAGATGGGGTTTCATCATGTTGGCCAGGCTGGTCTTGAACTCCTGACCTCAGGTGATCTGCCTGCTTCGGTCTTCCAAAGTGCTGGGATTATAGGCGTGAGCCACCGTGCCCGGCGAGGGTGTTGTTGGTATGCTGTGATCCCACCCTTCCTCCCAATCTCACCATTCCAATTCCTTCCCACCCCAAGCCCAAGCTTCCGCAGCCATGGAGAATGAAGGACATGTCTTTCTCTTCCTCCAACATGAATGAACTACCGGAATACTTGCTATGTGACCCCTGGAGCTGGGAGGTCACAGTGGGCCACCATCTGACCATTGCTTGAGGAATTCAACAGAGAGCGTCCACGCTTGGCTGACTGCTCTGATGGCAGAGGAAAGGGAGGCTGCTGCATCAGGGACAGTCTGCCAGTCTGCCACAAATGGCATGTGACAATGCCCTGAGGACCAGATGTGGCTTGTGTGTAATCCCAGCAATTTGGGAGGTTGAGGTGGGAGGATCACTTGAGCCCAGGAGTTCGAGGCTACAGTGAGTGGTGATCACACCACTGCACTCTAGCCTGCATGATAGTGCGAGACCCTGTCTCTAAAAAAATTTTTTTTAAGTAAATAAAAATAAGAAATGGGTGGCAGGTGGAGGGAGGCTCTTTGAAGAACTCTCCAAAGTACTACAAGAGGAAAAGTAAGCTCTAAACACCTACAAGGCCCAGAGAACGCCAAGGGGTCATCATCATGACCATCACAGCCTTAGTCGACCTTTCTTTCCCTCACTTTCCTCCCTTTCTCCTGTATCCCCATTCTGGCAGATTGGGCAGGAGGGGCAGAAAAAAGGAGCTGACCCAGCCCCAAACATACCTAGGCTGGAGGGGGGCCAGAGTGGTAACATCAAAGTGGAAAGTTTCCATGGGACATATTAATCATTGAACTGAAGCTGTCTGGGGGACTGAAAAAAGGATATTCTATTATTTGAGTGAAACAAGAAGAGTCAGGCAGGCCAGGCATGGTGGCTCACTCCTATAGTCCCAACATTCTGGGAGGCCAAGGCAGGAGGATTGCTTTAACCCAGCAGTTGAAGACTAGCCTAGGCAACTAAGTGGGACCCTGTCTCTACAAAAAATACAAAAATTGGCCGGGCGCGGTGGCTCACGCCTGTAGTCCCAGCACTTTGCGAGGCCGAGGCGGGCGGATCACGAGGTCAGGAGATCAAGATCATCCTGGCTAACAGGATGAAACCCCGTCTCTACTAAAAATACAAAAAATTAGCCGGGCGTGGTGGCGGGCACCTGTAGTACCAGCTACTCAGGAGGCTGAGGCAGGAGAATGGCGTGAACCCGGGAGGCCAAGCTTGCAGTGAGCCGAGATCGCACCACTGCACTCTAGCCTGGGAGACAGAGCGAGACTCTGTCTAAAAAAAAAAAATACAAAAATTAGCTGGGCATGGTGGTGTGCACTTGTAGTCCCAGCTACTTGAGAGACTGAGGCAGGAGGCTTGCCTGAGCCCAGGAGGTCGAGACTGCAATGAGCGTGATCCTGCCACTGCACTTCAGCCTGGGCAACAGAGCAAGAGACTCTGTCTCAAAAAAAAAAAAAAAAAAATTGCTGTGCTTGAATTTGGTGTATGTATGTCTGAAATTGGTTTTGAGCCCATCGAGTAGAATGAGGCCGACCCTAAACTACAAAGGAAGAGGCATGGGAGTCACAGCAGCGTTTTCTTAGCAGCCGCAGAGGACTGTATGCATTTCTTCCCATTCCACCCCTTTTTAAAACCTACTTTATGATTTTTCAAGTCCCTACTGTCCTTAAATCTAAATTCTAGGGGGCTGGGGAAGGTGGGCCAGTCCAGCCCCTTCCTCATCAATCTCTGTGTGCTCCTGAGTGCAGCAGGGAGGGAATGTGCAGGGTGACTCCAGAGCTGATTCCAGCTCCCTGTTTCCAGCACCTTTGGCACACAAAAGCATGCAGCAGATAGAACTGGACAGCTGGGGAAGAGGTGGCCCCCTTTCCTTCCCTCCCAGTCTCTGGCCCTTTTGACAACCCATGTTAAAAGACTCATTTGTTCACACCCTGCTCTGACATCTCTAGGGATGTTCAGCCCCTGGGGATTCTGCAGTAGGGAGAGGCAGCTGTGGTGCTAGAGGTCAGGATACTCACAAGGCAAATCGTTTTCCCATCCCCAGCTTGCCTAACCCAATTAAAATGTTCCACCACTGGCAATGAACTTAGGTTCAGGCATTTTTGTAATGAACACAATATTATTTTTTGCTTGTTACTTGCTGACCCTGATGGAGCACACATGTGGGGTGTCTGCTGGGCTCTCCATTAACCTCCCCGCAGAAGAGGACCCCTACCCCATACAGATTTGCACAATGCAGTCCACCCTCTGGTCAAAATCCTTGGCACCAGACACACACACCTGACCTGAAGTGAGCCAGACGGATTCTCTTGCCTGGACATTCTGAAATCAGGATGGAGAGAAGGCTAGTCTGTCTCTCTGTTACCCCAAGAATCGTGGGCTGGCCACTGCTTGGAAGCAGAGAGGGGGTCTGTCTTGGAGATGGGAGATGCAGATGCAGAATAAGGTGGGGGTGAGAGAAAGAGAGAGAGAGAGACAGACTTCCCAGGTGCTGCTGCTGCTGATTCCTGGTTCCAGCCAGCTGTCTTTTTGTGATGGTTTCTTTGTGATATCTTTCTAAACTTGAATGAATTTCCTGTTTTTGCTTATGGTAATCTGGAGTAGATTCCTGTTAATTTGCAGCCAAATGAACTCTAAATAAGATGCAACCTGGTACTAGGAAATGAAGCCACACATAACCACATAACTGACCCGTTTCAGGGCATGGAGACAATGGGATCCCATCATTCTGGGATTGGGGAAGCTGGCTGCCTGTCAGTGATATACAAACAGAAACAGCTGGTGAAATCAGTGTTGCTGGTTTTTGGAACTTGGACAGTTTTTCTACTGAGACTGAGGCTTTAGGGGATTGTAAGGCCATCTTGAAGGACGTCAGGCCATGCTGTTGACTCTCTGGGATTTCAGTAAAGTGCATGGGGTCAAGTCTGAGGCTGTTGGGCTTAAAGTGGATGGGAAAAACAGGAAAACTAGGTCAGTTGTGCAAACCCTGCTCCTGAAGTCCTTTCTGCTCATAGTATAGGATCTGAGACCACTTAGAGTCAATTCTCGAAGTTAATCACAGGACTTACAGAGCTGCAGCAGTTACACTCTGCAGCAACCTACATCGAGAACTAAATTTGGTGCACCAATTATGAAACAGCGAGGTTCTGGCACTTGGAATAAGGACATTCAGGAAAGGCCAGGGGAGCTGGGAAACCCTGAATCTTCCAAACTTCTTCCGGTCCATTTTTCTGCACCCTCTTGCTGGACAAGATGGGGGGTGCCTCCCACTGTGAAGCACCCTTTGGAACCAGGTTTGGGATGATCTACAAATTAACAAGGTGAAGGTGGACTTTCTCAACTGCCCTGCGCACCCTAAGGCGAAATCCGTTAAGCAGAGAACCAGAGCCCTCGGGCTTCCTTCTAAGAAACTGCAGCCCCACAGGCAGGGCCCAGCTCAGCTGCTCAGCTTCACAAGCTGTCTAGAAACAGCTTTCAACAAATGCAGTCTCCCTAAATTAAATCGACAGGCTGCCAGTTAAGGTTTTATAGGTGCTGTGCTGCCAAAAAAAACCTCAAGCCTGGAGAACAGGGTCTTTAGATCAACACAAACCAACCACACACAGGGCATCTTCATCCCTCAGGCAAGCTGTGGGCCAAGCCAGAAGACTGCCAGCTGCCTTCAGAAGACGTCACATGACCACAGTCAGTTTCTTCTCAGGCTCCTTCCGAGGTGGGCCGGGAGGACCCTGGACAAGGGCAATATCCCTGTGGGCAGAGCCTAAAGTGGTTTACTGGCTCACCAAGGAACTCTCTTGGGTGTCAGCTGGAGTCACCATGCAGGGGGCCACAAGCTTCATCGTGTGTCCCATGGGAGGCAGCCCACACTTTACACTGTAACCGCCTGATGAGTTCTTCCTTCCCAATGCACAGACAAAAGCAATTGATGGAGACCATGGAGTTTAATTGACATGAGGCCTGTCATGCCATGGGGGAGACAGAGTTATTACTCAAATCAATCTTCCTGAGCATTTAGAGGCTAGGGTTTATCAAAGACAGTTTGAAGGAAGGGGTGGAGGTAGCGAGGCAATGGGTGGTTGCTGCTGATTGGTTGGGGGCACAATCATGGGGCATGGGAAGTGTTCCTCCTGCACACTGAGTTGCTTCTGGGTGGGGCCACAGGAGCAGTTGGAGGGCCCAGATGGAGCCACTGGTCATCAAACATGCAAAAAACCTGAAGAGATATCTCAAATGGCCAATCTTAGGTTCTTCAATAGTGATGTTACTTGCAGGAGTGACTGGGGACATTGCATATCGTGTGACCTCCAAAATAATGGCTGGCAGTTGTTTATGTCTGCACCTTAGCCGAATTCAGCCTCCTCTCCTCCTCCTAGCCTGGCAATCTCTCATTAACTTTACAAAGGCTAAAGCTTTGGGGAAGGGCTATTATTAAACTTTATTTATTATTTATTGATTATTATTTAAACTATAAATTAAATCTCTCCTAAAGTTAGCTTGTCCTAAACCCAGAAATAATTAAGGGCAGCTTGAAGGCCAAAGGCAAGATGGGGTTTGGCTAGATCAGATCTCTCCCACTGCCATCATTTTCTCAGTGTGTAATTTTTGGAAAGGTGGTTTCAACACCAGTAGCCTGCCCAGGGGCTTCTGTCTTGAGGGTCCTTCCTTCTTTGTGTTTAAGTGGGAAAGCTTTATGGCTACTGGCCAGCCTTTCTCCCAGTGTTCTCTATCAGGTGGACTATAGATGGTGGGTTTTTGTCATTTGCTTTATAGACCCATCCATCTGGGACTGATCTGGAGGAGAAAGGGGCATTTCCTGGGATCAGGACCTCACCTCTGTGTAGAAAGGAGGAAGCGTCCATATTCCCGGAGGCAGTTACATCTGTACTGTGCGACCCCACTGCCATGGGAAGAGGCATGGACTCCAGGCTCAGGCAGGGTTAGTGGATTTTGTTTTCCTGAGAGCTTTAAACTGAATCTAAGAGAGGGCTAATGGGTTTCTCTGTGTGGCCCAACTACAACGAACACTAGCACCACCAAAAAGCACTGGCATCCTTCATGGCTGTGAGGCAGCCACATGCATGAGCAGCACAGAAGGTGGTCTGCAAAGATGAATGACGCAGCTTTGCAGAGAGAGGAGAGAGACACAGAGAAATAAAGAGGGAGAGAGAGAGAAGGAGAAAGAGAAAGAAATGGAGAGAGAGAGAAAGAGGGAGAGAGAGAAAGAGGGAGAGAGAGAAAGAGGGAGAGAGAGAGAGGGAAAGAGAGAAAGAGGGAGAGAGAAAGAGGGAGAGAGAGAAACGGAGAGAGAGAAAGAAAGAGGGAGAGAGAGAAAGAGAGGGAGAGAGAAAGAGGGAGAGAGAGAAAGAGGGAGAGAGAGAAAGGGAGAGAGAAAGAGGGAGAGAGAGAAAGAGGGGAGAGATAGGCAGAGAGAGAAAGAGAGGGAGAGAGAAAGAGGGAGAGAGAAAGAGAGGAAGAGAGAAAGAGGGAGAGAGAGAAAGAGAGGGAGAGAGAAAAAGGGAGAGAGAAAGGGAGAGAGAAAGAGAGAGAGAGAAAGGGAGAGAGAAAGAGGGAGAGAGAGAAAGAGGGAGAGAAAGAGAAAGAGGGAGAGAGAGAAAGAGAAAGAGGGAGAGAGAAAGAGGGAGAGAGAGAGAGGGAGAGAAAGAGAAAGAGGGAGAGAGAGAAAGAAAGAAAGAGGGAGAGAGAAAGAGGGAGAGAAAGAGAAAGAGCAAGAGAGAAAGAGGGAGAGAGAGAAAGAAAGAGGGAAAGAGAAAGGGAGAGGGAGAAAGAGGGTGAGAAAGAAGGAAAGGGAGGGAGAGAGAAAGAGGGAGAGAGAACAAAAGAGGGAGAGAGAAAGAACTGACTTGTGATTGCTTTCCTGACTCTTCTTTTTTGGGAGGAATCCTCCGTTTTGGGTTAAATAAAGAATTCCCAACTCCTCTTTTCTCCCCTTTTCTAGTAACTGTTTATTTTGAAATAATTACAGATTTGGAAGTTGCAAAGATAGTATAATAGAGAGGTCCCACCTACCCTCTACTCAGTTCCTCCCGTGGTTACACTTTACATAACTGTGGTACTATATCAAACCAGGAAATGGGTGCAATGTGTGTCTATAGTTCTATGTCATTTTATCCCATGTGTAGACTGGTGTAACTACCACCACAATCAAGACACACAACTGTTCCATCCCACAAAGGTTTTCTTCTTGCCACCCCTTTTAGAGTGATCCTTCCTTCTTTCCACCACTCCTAGCTCCTGGCAACTACCAGTCTGTTCTCCATCTCTATAGTCTTGTCCTTTTGTGAATATTCTATCAATGGAATCATACACTTTGTGACCTTTTGAGACTGGCTTTTTTTTTCTCAGCGTGATTCCCTTGAGATCCACTCAAGTTGCTGTGTGTATCAGCAGTTCATCCTTTTTTATTACCAAATAGCATTCCATGGTACGGATGAACCACAGTTTGTTTATCCATTCGCCTATTGAGGGACATGTTGGTTGTTTCCAGTTTGGGGTTATTATGAATAAAACTGTGATGAATATTTGTGTACAAGATTTTTGTGTGAATACATTTTCATTTCTCTTGGAATCACGCCCAGGAATGCAATTGCTTGGTGATCTGGCAAGTATATGTTTAGTTAAGAAACCCCCAAATGACTTTCCAGAATGGTTGTACCATTTTCCATTGCCACCAGCAATGCAGGAGCTATCTAGTTTCTGTGCATTCTCACCAGCATTCGGTATTGTCATTATTGTTTTTTCTTTTAATGAATAGAGACAGGGGTCTCACTATGTTGCCCAGGCTGGTCTTGAACTCCTGAGATCAAATGATCCGCCTGCCTAGGCCTCCCAAAGTGCTGGGATGACAGGATGACAGGTGTGAACCACCACACTTGGCCTACTGTTTTTTTGTTTGTTTGTTTGTTTTTTGTTTTTTGTTTTCTTTGAGACTGAGTCTTGTCTGTCTCTCAGGCTGGAGTGCAGTGGCATAATGTTGGCTCACTGCAACCTCTGACTCCTAGTTTCAAGCGATTCTCCTGCCTCAGCCTCCCAATTAGCTGAGGTTATAGGCACGTGCCACCACACCTGGTTACTTTTTTATTTTTAGTAGAGATGGGGTTTTGCCATGTTGGCCAGGCTGGTCTCATACTCCTGACCTCAAGTGATCCAGCCCACCTTGACCTCCCAAAGTGCTGGGATTACAGGTGTGAGTTCACTGCGCCTGGCCTACTGTTTTTTAGTTTAGCTTTTTTCACAGGTGTGTACTAAGGCCTCATCATGGTCTTAAATTGCACTTGCCTTATCATACTAATGTTGAATATTTTGTCATGCATATGTTTGCTATCTGTATATCCTCATTGGTGAAACATCTCTTCATATCTTTTGTCCCTTTTCTAATTGGATTGAATGGGTTTTGTTTGTTTGTTTGTTTTTGTGAACCAAATTTTTTTAAATTTTTTTTTTGTTAAATATTTTTGTTGTTGTTGAGATGGGGTCCTTGCTATGTTGCCCAGGCTGGTCTTGAACTCCTGGGCTCAGCAGTCCTCCCCCTTTGGCCTCCCAAAGTGCTTGGATTATAGGTGAGAGCCTAGTGAGTATTTAAAATTTGTTTTACTCTTAGATTTTAATATAAATTGTCTTTTTTTTTTTTAAATAAACAATCTTGGAATGTGCTTCTGTTACTTGCAAACCTAAGACTCATTCACAGTCTGCTCTTGTATTTAATGACATCATAATAATAGCTAACATTTACTGAGCCCATACTTTGTGCCAGGCAATGTTCTAAGTGATTTACAGGTTTTAGCTCACTTGATAAATATTGCTTTTATAAACATCATATGTTGTGGTTATAAATATTAACCACCATTACAATTTAGTTAACAAATCTAATCAGGGACATAAACAAACAGCTCTAGCAATCCAGCTTTGCTTGGATTCAAATCGATTGAATTGATTTGTGTTTTAATTTGTTGAAGGAAAATCTAAGCCACTAGTGACTCCAGAGCATGTGAGTCAGGACAGCCACTCTTCAGGTGAAATAAGAGTTCACATTTTTAAAATGACATAGTGCAAACATGTTTTTACTTGTTTCAAGTCAATAACTGATAATGTTCAATTCAACAAATTCTACAGAAGAAAATCCCACAAACTGCAATTTCCCATTGATAAATTCCCATTGATGTTCTATAGTTTTTACAAACCACATTGGTGTGAGTGGAAGAGACATGCATGTATGGATTAGATATTCTGAATTCCCATGTGAGACTAGGTCCACTTTTTCTGAGGGTTGGGAAGAGATCCCAGGCTCCATGAGGGTCCCCAGGGTGACTTCCCAGCTGGTCCTATGATAGAACTACCTCTGAGAAGGGCAGGGGCCCCTTCCTTTGTGCCTGAGAGGCTGTGAGTGTGAGTTATTATATGGTGAGTCAAGTCACCAAGCAGTGGCTGCCCTGGGATTCCTGGGCAGAGATATAGGAATCGGGTCCGCATGGTGCAGCCAGGCAATGCGTGGGGATTCAGGGAATGGCCACACACACTCCATCCTAGTATTGTTGCTGTAGTGCAACTTGGGCTGTGAGAGGTGGTGTCTGCAGAGGGGCGTTGTGGGCCCCATGCCCCTTTGGCTAAAGTCCAGCATTTGGGTAGATTGATCACAAGCAACAGGTCTAACCCAAAGTTGACTTGGCAGGTCCAGGGCCAGCCCACATTTCTCAACAAGGCTCACAGGGGCTTTCCATATTGCGGTGTGAGGAACAGAGCGCCCACCTCGCCTTCCCCTCCACCTGCTCCCTGATCGCCATCCTGTCCTTCTGAGCCTCCTAGTTTTGACCTTGCTGATTTCTTTTCTGATTTTGGTCTCTCCTCGCCCTTTGTTCTATGGACTTGGTGTTTGGTACATTTTCTTACCATTTCTGTGTTTCTTGTTTTATCAACATATTGCTTTATGCCATCTCAGGGAAGTCCCAGGGACTCTCCCACCCAGTAGGTCTTTGGGGCCGTGGCTCTACCCTGCTTACCTTACTCACTCTCTCGCCAGTGTCTCCCGCATCCCGTTCCCCAGAGTTCAAATCCAGGCCTCGCTGCATAACAGGTAGGCTGTTTGAGGTTACCTTTCCTATTGGAGTCTGTTTCTTTTATAAATGGGGTGGGTAATCCCTTTCTCACAGGGCAGTTGTGAGATGTACTGAGTGTGTGTGTGTGTGTGTGTGTGTAACCATCACAACCTAGTACCAAATGGAAACTAGGTAATCCTAGAAATAGAGCCACCCTCCCCATGACCCTTCTCCCCGACCTTGGTCTCTGCTGTCAGGCAGTGATGTCCTGTCTCTTTCTCCCCCTGTTCCAGCTCCACCCTCCTTCACAGTCAGTGAGGGGGACTCAGACCGAACTTGCTCCTCCCCTAGCAGCAGAGGATCTCTGATTGGCTGCCATCACCATGGCAACCTACTGCCTTCTCTCCCCATCCCTCACTTTCCAGAGCCAGCAGATTTGTGGAGTTCCAGACTTCTCAGGGCTGGGAGGGAAGATACTAGGGGAGGACAGAGAGGCCCCCTTCACAGCTAGGATAGCCATGCATTTGGGGTTTGCTTGGACTCCAAATTCCAGCCTGGTATGCAGTGTGGCCTCTCCTGTCTCCACATGTTGAGGGAATGACTTTCTGATATCCTTAGTTGTCCTGATTCCCACTGAAAAGGCTCAGCTTGATGGCTGAGGGTCCTGGGTTGGTGGCATGTGGCATGAATGATAAGTGTGTTGTTCAGTGATACTCACTGAATGTCAAACAGCACAGTGTTCGTCCTGCCGTCCTTGCAGCCCTGCTGAAAGGATTACACCATAGATTCAGCTCTGGTGTGCTTTGAAAACCCCAAAGGCTGTCAGGGCTCATTCCTCATCCTGGCCACCGCTTGGCCAGGGGCTGGCAGCCTAACTGGAGCCCTCCCCTCTGGATGTGAAGTGGGGGCTTGGAGATGTGTGTCTACATGGGGCCTCCTGGAGAACCACACGGGGTGCTGTGGTGAGATGCCAGCTTGCAGGTCCTGGCAGTGGGGTGCAGGTCAGGGGTTCATGCCAGGGCTTGAGAATCTACTTAATCCCCAGCACAGTCTGCAGGGTGAACATGTGACATCCATGCATTAACTATGATTTTCAAATGCTCATTGATGCTACTGTAGTTTAAAAATAATAACTTCAAAGCATGGGCTGAATTCAAGGCAACTTTTGTCATTATTCGTGTTCTCAGTCAATAGGGGTTTGGTGGTAGAGGGTGAACAAACCCTCCTAAAATAGGGTGAGGTGCCAGGCGTGGTGGTTCATGCCTATAATCCCAGCACTTTGGGAGGCCAAGGCAGGTGGGAGCCCAGGAGTTTGAGACCAGCCTGGGCAACATGGTGAAAACCTGATTCTATAAAAAATTAGCTGGGTGTGGTGGCACATGCCTGTAGTCCCAGCTACTGGGGAGGCTGAGGTGGGAGTATCACTTGAGTCTGGGAGGCAGAGGTTGCAGTAAGCCATGATCACATCACTGCACTCCAGCCTCAATGACAAAGCAAGACTTTGTAAAAAAAAAAAAAAAAAAAAAAGGAGGGAGGAGCAAGGTGATGGAATTATCACACATGCTACAACATGGATGCTCCTTGAAGACATGCCAAGAGAATGAAGCCAGATACAAAAGGACAATACTATTTGATTTCACTGATACGAGGTGCCTAGAATAGGCAAATTCATAGAGACAGAAAGTAGTTTGGGGTTAGCTGGAAAGGAGTGTTATTGCTTACTGGTTACATATGAATATTGGGGAACATGCCAAAGTTCTGGAGATGGAAAGCTGTGATGGCTACACAGCAATGCGTGTGCACTTGAGGCCAGTGAGCTATACACTTCAAAATAGTGAAAATGGTGAGCGTTATGTTGGACATGTTCAGCCTCAATAAAATTACCCCTCCCCGGCTGGGCGTGGTGGCTCATGCCTATAATCCCAGCACTTTGGGAGGCTGAGGCAGGCAGATCACGAGGTCAGGAGTTCAAGTCCAGACTGACCAATATGGTGAAACCCCATCTCTACTAAAAATACAAAAATTAGCCAGGTGTGGTGGTGCGTGCCTGTAGTTCCAGTGACTCAGGAGGCTGAGGCGGGAGAATCTCTTGAATTCGGGAGGTGGAGGTTGCAGTGAGCCGAGATCACGCCATTGCACTCCACCCTGGGTGACAGAGCGAGACTCTGTCTCAAAAAAAAAAGAAAAAAAATTACCCCTCCCCACCAAGAAGAACACATGAGGCAAGGCTGGACGGTGGAATGTGGGGATGATGGACACATCTTGGGGGGATTTAATCTGGAGAGGTGTTCTGGAGGAGGGGGTCTCGCTCCACAGCTGCCTGGCTCCTCTCCTGCCTCACCCTGCCCTCTCCAGCTCACTGGCTGAGGGCAGCAGCCTGTGAAGGTTATGTTAGTGGCTCCCTCATTCCCTGAGGGAACTACAGAAGCCACCATCGCTGACCCGTCACCCCCCCTCAAGATTCCACCATATGGAAATGTAAACTAGTACAGTCACTATGGAAAACAGTGTGAAAAATTTTTAAAGAACTAAAAGTAAATCTACCATTTGATCCACCAATCCTACTCCTGGGTATCTACCCAGAGAAAAAGAAGTTATTGTACAAAAAAGATACTTGCACATGCATGCTTATAGCAGCATGATTCGCAATTGCAAAAATATAGAACCAGCCCAAATGCCCACCAATTAACAAGTGGATAAAGAAAATGTAATACACACACACACACACACACACACACACACACACACACACACCGTGGAATACTACTCAGCCATAAAAAGCAATGAAATAATGGCATTTGCAGCAACCTGGGTGGAATTGGAGACCATTATTCTAAGTGAAGTAACTCAGGAATGGAAAACCAAACATCATATGTTCTCACTCATAAGTGGGAGCTAAGCTAGGAGGGCGCGAAGGCATAAGAATGATACAAGGGACTTAGGAGACTTGGGGGAAAGAGTGGGAGGAGAGTGAGGGATAAAAGACTACTCACTGGGGACAGCGTACACTGCTCGGGTGATGGTGCACCAAAATCTCAGAAATCACCACTAAAGAACTTATTCATGTAACCAAACACCACCTGTTTCCCAAAAACTTACTGAAAATTTTAAAAAATCCACCATATTTGGGAATCACCAGTGTAATGACCAGTCCATCTTCCTACCTGTGGCTCCCTCTGGAAGGCCCAGGAGGGCTGGATGGGAGGGGCAGTGAGGACCCACTAGTGTCAGCAGAGATGTGGCTGATACCTTTGCAAAGGTGGCCAGAGGGAAGCCTTATTCTCCAGAGACTCCAGTGCAGGGCCCTCATCAGCTCCCAATCCTGGGGTTTTTGCAGTCCCCGCAACCCCCCGCCTTCTGAGTCATCGTTCAAACCCACCAGCCCTTCTGACAGAGCTGGAAACAGGCACCAAGCCCTCCAGGAAGCTATTTTTAGGGTTCATCTGTTCTTTTTTATTTCTTCTCTGGATTCCATATTCTCTCACCCCCAAATTTAAAGGACCTAAAGATCCTGGAAATCATTCATTATACCCCCAGCTCGCAAGCTGTGGCTTCTCCCCAACCTTCTCTGTACCACTCCCTCTTTCTTTCTTCCTCTCCGCCCTCACCCCTCTGGTTCTCCAGCTCCACAGGCAGCAGAGAAAGCAGGCTCTTTGTCTGACATCATCTTTCACTCCCTGGCCTGCTAAGAGTTACTCACTCAGGCAATCCCTGCTCCACCAGAGGAGACTGTCCAATTGCCAAGCAACCCACTGCTGGCCAATCACAGAGCTTGGAGGTGATGTCATGGCAAGAGCGAGCAGTGGTGCTGATGTTGAGAGAAGCCCAGGGTACCACTAATTGAGGGAGTGAGGAAGAGAGCAGCTCGCTTCTAACTGGACTGCACGTAAGTAGAAATAAAATGCAACTAATTTGAGGCTTTTCAGGCAAAAGAAAAAACAAGACAGCAGCTACAGTGGGGAGAAGCGAGGGGCCTAGCACCTATTGTGTCACCTTTGGTTCTACTCAATCATTTAAACTTTGTCAGATCTTGGGGGAAAGGGGGTGAGGCAGAAAGAATGGCGCTCGGCCAAGGGGTGAGGGTGGGCTCCGGGTGCCACTTTTATTCCAGAGCTCAGGAGAGGCAGGATGGGTGGGAATTGTCAGATGCTATGGTGAGCTATTTCTGCATAAAAATGTTTTGTTGCTTAAGGAGAAAGGTTTTGTGCTGAGTCTGGCTGCCCCTGCAGCTGGCTGTGACCTGAAGATCCCTTTCAAGTGGGAAGCTCTCCTGTGTTTTTACCTTTTCTTCCTCAGACACAGCTTTTCTTGTCTCCCATTCCCATTTTGATCACACATCTTTTCCTTCGGCTCTATGCACGGGTTACTTTTTTCTCTTGGTTCTAAGGATGCAATGAGATCATCACCTCCTCTTGGCCCCGCCCCACCCTGAGGTCAGCCTAATCCTACCTGGCCAGAGGTGGCTGGCTCCAAAGCTGAAAACTGCAGACACCCAGAACTGCCACGCCCTGGTCCTTGACTGGGGCCCTGGCCAGTCCCCCTCCTTATTCAGCCCACCACACTTGCCAGGAGTTTAGGCATCATTCATTTCTCATCCTGGGACCCAGGGTTTTGATGTCCAGCAGTCAGCTGTCCCCACGTGGCGGTGCTGTCTTTGTTTTATTTCTCCCAGGAAGACACAATCAGGTGTGGTGGAGTCTTGTTGTCCTGAACATGAGCAGGTCTCCAGAATGCTGTGTGTGTGTGTGTGTGTGTGTGTGTGTGTGTGTGTGTGTGTTTGTATGGGGGTCGGAGGGAGAGGTCAGGAATGTTCAGGCACCCTTATCTGAATGCCCTGGGAAGGGATACCCCCTGTCTTAAGACCAAGAGAATACAAGGTGGGATGGCCAGAGGTGGCCTGCTGAGGCTCGAGGGATGGGTGGGAGGTTGAGAGGGAATATGAGGGAATCTGTCTCCACCTGAGGCTGAGCCCCCGCCTCCCAGGGGGAGGAAACCTCTCCCACAGGCGGGTGCTAGGGGAATGAGATCATCCTTCAGATGAGGAAATAATCATAGTGCTGGAGCAGTGAGAAGGCAGAGGGGAAAAGGTCTGATCTGCAGCTCCACAGAAGGAAGCCAGAGTCTCCCAGCAATGCTGCCCTAGTCTCTGGCTCACCCCAACCCTCCGCTTTGCTGCTAGGAGCTGTACTTTCACCCCTCTTGGAAACCACTGAGCACCTGTCAGCTGGTCCCAGCCCTCCTGGCATTCTCAGCTCCACCCAGGCCACTCCTGGAACAGCTCTGGAGTGAGCAGGATCTGCAAGTGCTAGATGGGACTACCATAGAGCATGCTGCCCTGTAGGGAGTGAGTTCCCTGTCACTGAAGGCATTCAAGCAGAAGTTGGATGGCCACCCAGCAGGGAGGCTTTAGAGGAGATTTTTGCATTATGTTAGGGATTGGTCTAGGTTAGTGTTTTAACTGAAGGCTGAGACCCATTAGTACATTGTGAAATCAACTTATGGATTGTAAATGGTATTTTGTTTTAATAAAATGGAATAAGAGTAGAAAATAATTAGAGCACATCTCATGTAATGGGATAATTAATGCTTCCTATGCTGTCTTTAGTTACATATCAGTTATGTGTATATTTGTGTGTACAAATGTACATATATGTCTGTATCTGTAATCATATATGTGTGTATATGTCCATATCATGACAAATACATACTGGATCATAATATAAAATGTAGCACCTTTTGTGAGCTTCAGTCAAAAAAGTTTGAGAAACATTAGGCTAAGTGACTTCTAATTACCTCTCCTAACCCTAAGACTACAAGCCTATGAAAAACTCCCAATAGATAGTCAACCTTTTTTTTTTAATTTTTAACTGCGGTAAATACACATAACATAAAATTTGCCATTCTATTTTTAAGTGTACAAATCAGTAGTATTAAGATTTACATTGCTGTGCATGCAATCTTCAGAACTCTTTTCATTTGGCAAAACTGAAACTCCATACCCATTAGACACTAACTTCCCATTCTCCTGTGCCCCAGCCCCTGGAAAATCCCATCCTACATTCTTTCTCTATAAATTTAACTCCTCTAGGTACCTCAGATAAGTGGAATCATACAGTACTTGTCTTTTTATGATTGGCTTATTTCGCTGAGTGTAATGTCCTCAAGGCTCATCCATGTTGTACACTGTGTGTCCCTATTCCCAAGTAAAAAATAAGTGCCTTTAAGTTGTAATTAAATCTAAATATTTTTTTTTATGGGAAGCTGTCCTTCTTTAGTGAGTTACTTCATTCTAAAGGACCTATCAAAGACGGAGAAGTTTGGTCTCATATTGTCCATAGTGGCCAGGTTGTCGACTAGAGGTGGAGGGACGGTGAAAGTGTCCTGCATTTTTGCTTGGATGGCTGCTTAATAGCTAGATTTCACTTTGGTTCAATAAAAGAAACCCAAATTCCAAGTGGCTATCTTCTTTTACTGGACTAGGCCATTTTTAACCACATTTTTCCTGTAGGGGGATGTGGGCTGATTGATAACTTTTAAAATAGAGCAACAAAGATTGACAAACTGAGGTTCAGAGAATAGGGTATTTGAGCAGGAAAAAGGAACATGGGGCAAATAAATTAGGAAGGTAAGAGAGAGATAAAGAAAGGAGGAGAATTGTGTCTATATTAAACCAACTGTATAGACGGATTGGAAAAATTCAGATATTTTGTGTTCTTGCTTTTAAATAATAGGATATTTAAGTATCAAGATCATAATCAAAGAAAGGCTTAATTTTTCAAGAATGCTTCAGACTGTCTCCCCTGCCCCCTCTGATATCTTTATATTATTTCATACTTACCTGGAGATTCTCATTTGGAAACATAGAGTTCCCGGAGATTTTGAAGACACAGATGGGGAGAAATGAAACTGCTTTTGTGGGAGGAGAGATAGAAATTTTGGGGAATTATACAACATGTAAAGTGTAATTTTCGTAACGCCACTCAGGGAACAAATCCATTTTTTTTAAGCTTGAGAAATAAACATACATCATGTATAATTCGATTTGCTTATTAAATTAGCATTTGCTATATTTAGAGATGTGACAGCCTGGGAAAGGTTGCTTTTTCTGTTTTTCTTTAGAGAGGGATGGATACCAAAAATTCTTCCCTGCCATTTAAAAATTGTTTTTTTTTTCAGAGTTTTACATCTCTAGTCCCTCTAGGAAGACAAATGAATACATGCACACCTGCGCCCTTCCCACCTACATATGCATGCACACACATGAACCCCCACATCTGAACACTCCCACTCCATCCCCTACACACACGAGTGCTCCCACTCCATCCCCTACACACACATGTGAATGCTCCCACTCCATCCCCTACACACACATATATGAGTGCTCCCACTCCATCCCCTACACACACATGAACCCCCACATCTGAACACTCCCACCCCACCCCACCCCCTACACACAGATGTGAGTGCTCCCACTCCATCCCCTACACACACATATATGAGTGCTCCCACTCCATCCCCTACACACACATATATGAGTGCTCCCACTCCATCCCCTACACACACATGAACCCCCACATCTGAACACTCCCACCCCACCCCCTACACACATGTGAGTGCTCCCACTCCATCCCCTACACACACATAGGCATACCTATCCCTCCCCACCGAAGCCCAAAGCTTGCTGGCCTTTCCATCAATTAAAACTGAGAGCTGCGTGTCCACTCCCCTAGGGTCCTGCTGTCAGAGGCGGGTGGAGGGAGGCAGGAGAACAGAACAGATCAGAAAAGGCGGGAGCCTGGGGCTGGATGGCCTGATTCATGATGGGCTTTAGGCAACTCGAGAGTTTGGATAACAAACTGGAGAATATGAATCCAGAGAAAGGAGCTGAGCGCAGATCTAGGATGAAAGACCCAGAGTGGGAGGATGAGCAGAGTGTCAGTGGACCATGTGGGAGTCTGTGCCTAGACAGCCAGACTAGAGGGAGAAAAGTTCACACTGAGCATGCAGAAAGAGTTGGTCAGGGAGTAGCACCTTTCAGGCAGACTCTGTGTGCCCACACACAAACACAATTCAACTATTGATCCTGGAGAGGGTTGTCTAGCATCTGCACCTGCCATCAAACCAGATGTGTAAGGACTTAAGAAACATACCATGGGCCGGGCACGATGGCTCACACCTGTAATCCCAACACTTTGGGAGGCTGAGGTGGGCAAATCGTTTGAGGTCGGGAATTCAAGACCAGCCTGGCCAATATGGTGAAATTTCATCTCTACTGCAAATGCAAAAGTTAGCTGGGCATGGTGGTGCACGCATGTAATTCCAGCTCCTCGGGAGGCTGAGGCAGGAGAATCGCTTGAACCCGGGAGGCGGAGGTTGCAGTGAGCCAAGATTGCACCACTGAACTCCACCCTGGGTGACAGAGCAAGACTCCGTCTTAAAAAAAAAAACAATTCCTTTCTGAAAAACAATTACTCCAAGAAGTACTCTAGCTAATCAAAAAAAAAATCAAATTAAAGAAATCAAATACAAAAAAAAATGGTATCAATGATGGTCACAAGTAAAGAAAACACCAGAATTTAGAGCCATTGTCTAGTTATAATTGGCATATTTATAAAGCTAAATGCAAATGTCAAACATCTTGAGGCTAGGGGATGTGTTTGTAAGATCATCACTGGATCCCTAGTGCTTTGCATAATGCACATAGTAGATCCTCAATAAATATTTGTTGAATGAATAATGTAAGAAAGAACTCAATAACGATAATCCAGAACTGAAAATCCAGATCATTCTGACAAAACCAGGTTTGTACAGAGAGGTTTGTTGCTAAACCTCTCATCTCACACAAATAAAATCATTAGATACTCTTTTATTCTTAATGTTCTTAATGTAGTGAAATATAGACATAAAAGATTTTAACATAAAGCTAAAATTAAAAGTAATATGTAAAATTTACAAAGCATTGGAGAATGAAAGAATAAAGAAAACAAGAGCAATATTGCAAAAGATAAGGAATTTCTTTCAGCGTAGTTCAATGTGGGCCAGAAGCTTGGCTCTGTTCTCTCTGAGACCTCAGGCAAGGCACTTCTTGGGCTCCTTGTCTCCTCCTCTGAAAAGAGGTAGGAATGGAAACTCTAGAGAGCTCCATGGCTGCTACTAACTCTGGGACTGCAGAATGGGCAGAGAGCTTGACCTCTGGGAATTTCTACAAGGTTCATTGGTTGTCCTCTGCTGATATGAAAATGAGTTAATTTAGTACACTTGATAGGTCAGTTGTGTGCATTTTAACAGGGACTCTCTGAGGCAATGCCTGAGCTGAAGGATAGATATAATGGTGAGAATTTTAAGCATGGAATGCACCCATAGAAGGGAGGCTGATATGGGGTATTTGCCTGCCCTTCAATCACATGCCATCAGCAATCATCCATTGCATTTACATCTAGGGTAGTCTTGGATATGAGGACATAACATGGAGCTTTATCAGAAATTGCATGGGCTTTGATATAAGAAGATTTCAATTCAAATCCCATGTTTACCACTTTCTACTTGTATGACTTTGGGCAAATCAAGTCACTTACCTAAATTGATGATCTATTAAGTGTGTATAAGATTTGGTGTGCAGAATAAAATGATAAAATATGTATGCCCTGGCCAGGCACGGTGGCTCATGCCTGTCATTCTAGCACTTTGGGAGACTGAGGCCAAAGGATCACTTAAGCACAGGAGCTTGAGGCTAACCTGGGCAACACAGTGAGACCCCATCTCTACCTTAAAAAATTTTTTTTGATGGGGTTGTTTGTTTTTTTCTTGTAAATTTGTTTGAGTTCATTGTAGATTCTGGATATTAGCCCTTTGTGGCGATTCCTCAGGGATCTATAACTGGAAATACCATTTGACCCAGCCATCCCATTACTGGGTATATACCCAAAGGACTATAAATCATGCTGCTATAAAGACACATGGACACGTATGTTTATTGCGGCATTATTCACGATAGCAAAGACTTGGAACCAACCCAAATGTCCAACAATGATAGACTGGATTAAGAAAATGTGGCACATATACACCATGGAATACTATGCAGCCATAAAAAATGATGAGTTCGTGTCCTTTGTAGGGACATGGATGAAATTGGAAATCATCATTCTCAGTAAACTATCACAAGGACAAAAAACCAAACACTGCATATTCTCACTCATAGGTGGGAATTGAACAACGAGATCACATGGACACAGGAAGGGGAATATCACACTCTGGGGACTGTTGTGGAATGGGGGAAGGGGGGAGGGATAGCATTGGGAGATATACCTAATGCTAGATGACGAGTTAGTGGGTGCAGCACACCAGCATGGCACATGTATACATATGTAACTAACCTGCACAATGTGCACACGTACCCTAAAACTTAAAGTATAATAATAAAAAAAAAAAGAAAAAAAAAGATGGCAAAAAAGAAATTTTTTTTAAATGTAGATTCCCTTGCTTTTGTAAAAGCCCTGGTTTCTGGCTTATGTAAAAATAGTAGACAGAGGGGAAAAAACCTAGAAGAAAATGCCAATAGCATAAAGTAGCAAGACTACAAGGATTTATTTTCTTTTTTTCTGTTACATAGAATTTCCAAAATATAATGTGAATATGTTTGTAATTAAAGCATTATTTATAAGATGCACATATGCCTATAGATGTAATCATAAAGCAATATTCAATCACATTGTTGTTATTGGGAGTAAGATTAAAAGGGCTTGCCCTGTATATTGATGGCTTCATGTGCTTTTAACCCAGGACCTCACAGAACTCCTGGGTCACATGCCTTGCACACTCTCCAGCAGCCCAGAATGGAAGTCCATGCCCCTGAACTTGACTTCTGTGATGCTGATTCTTCTGCATATGTATATATATAATATATATACACGTATATACGTATATATATAATATTATATGTATATATATATACGTATATACGTGTATATATATATATTTATTTTTTGAGATGAAGTCTCACTCTTTCACCCAGGCTGAAGTGCAGTGGCATGATCTCAGCTCACTGCAACCTCCACTTCCTGTGTTCAAGTGATTCTCCTGCCACAGCCTCCCGAGTAGCTGGGACTGAGACTACAGGCATGCACCACCACGCTGGGCTAATTTTTGTATTTTTAGTAGAGATGGGGTTTCACCATGTTGGCCAGGCTGGTCTCGAACTCCTGACCTCATGATTTGCCTGCCTCAGCCTCCCAAAGTGTTGGGATTACAGGCATGAGCCATCGCACTCAGCCGCTTCTGCATATATTAAATTGGAAATAAAAATTGCCCAGAAAATCCCATCATTGTGGATTATTTGGGGCTGTCACTTTTCCAGTTTAATTTTCCTTCTCTGACTTGCCTCTTAACATAGCTGTTAGTGCTAAGAAGGACTCCTCAGATTCAGGCCTTCAGAGTTCTGCTTTTGTCATAGGTGCTTATTTCCTAGAAGCCTAAGCCTGTTGGGTACCCTCTGGGAGTTGCCCTTGTCCAGGTCCCCATCATCTCTTCCTCTAGATGCTGTTGGAAGCAAGAGCCTAAGAGGTGATTAAACAATGCCAGTTTCCCCAGACCCAGTGAATCACACACTGTTCTGTTTTGCCCAGTTTCCCTCTGTAGGTCTCGCTGGTTCCTTCTTGGTCTGCACTCTAATTCCCACTCCTTCTCCCTTTATGGCATGGTCCACATTATCGCGGAAGACCATGCTGAGGCCCGCAGAGCATCTGCAGAGCCTCCAAAGGCTCCAATGGCTCTAGATACCCATCCAGGGACCTGTTTTACTTTTCCACCAACAAAAACTCCTGTGGTTATTTTAGGATCTAGCAGAGGGCTTGGCACATAATTAAATACTCAGTAAATATTGTAGAAAGAATGAAAACCACATTTATGAAAAAATAATTTATCTCCTTTTGATTTTAAACCCAAAGAAGACACATGGCTGCCAATCAGAGCCTTTTGATCAGCATGAAATAACCAGGGCCACTGTTCTGAGCTGACATGATTCATCCCAAAGCAAATAAATGTGGCATTTAGATAGCTTATGCAGCTAATTTTGGGTAAATATATGACCTCAACTGGATTTTGAAGAAGATTGGCAATAGGGCACAGACTTAAAGAACCACCTTCCTGTACTGCTTGTGGTTAGAGGACCTCAGGCAGAATTCATTGCCCCCACAACCATGAGGTATTCATCCTGATTCTTGGCCAGAGTTTCTAGATTTGTCTTCCGAAACCCTTGCCAGGTACAACTCTGTTCAAGCCACTGGGACATGCATTATCTGCTCATCCCTCAAAAATAGTCCAGATGGAATTTGACACATCCTGCAAGCATTCTTGGGGCATTTCTTACAGTGACCAATAAAATGCTTGTTCATTCTGTCGTATGGGCAGTCAGAGGCACTAAGAGGTCAGGCATACACCCAGTAGGTGGCCACGTGTCATCTGAGAACTTGGTGCTTTTCTGTTTGCCCCCTGGACATCAGCTGAATTACGGAAAGCCTGGAAGTGTGGGTTGCATGAAAGTGCCCTGCTGGGGTCTCCCTTCTGTGTATCCATCTTCTCATTCAGAGCTGCTCTGGTGACCATGTGGGCTGTCCCCTCTCATCCAGGATGGTGTTTGGGGACAGAGAAGGAGCAAGTATAAAGGAGAAGGGCATTGACACTGGAATCCATCCAATCTCTGCCAGGAGTTCTCTGCGTGACCTCAGAATCTTTGGTCCCCAAGTAGGAGGCTATTGGCATTTTGGAAGGGACAGTTGTTTATCGTGTGGGACTGATGTATACAATGCAAGACATTTAGACTCGCCAGCCTCTGCCCACTAAATGCCTGTAGCATCCTCAGTTTCATGACCATTGAAAAGTCCCATGTAGTTCCCGGGAGTGAGACTGCACTGAGTCGAGAACCATGGGCTTGTGATTGCCTGTTCTCTCCATCTCTGACATTCAAATGTTCTGGGTGAAATCGAGGGCTCTGATCTCTTCACTTTAACCACCTTTTTCTCCCCACTGTCCCACCGTGAGATCCCTCCTCAGTCAACAGCCTACAACTTCACTCTCAGCCACGTCTGCCTCCAATCAAAACTTACTCATTCTGTGTTTCCTTACGGCTGGCTCTGTGCTTGGGGGGGGTTATCACCCACTAATTTATTTCTTAACAATTATGCTAATGGTTCAAGCCATCAACAAAAAGCTCTGGTTCCTTGCTTTTCTGTACAGACTCTTAGATGCTGGTGCTGGGGGAAATGTATGGATCAGTTTGTAAATGGAAAAATAGTGCTGGGTGAGATGTGAAAACTTCAGAGTGGAACTCAATCCAGCAGGTCCAACCCACACTTTGTACCCAGACTGCTATTTGGCTTCCAGCCTATCCCTCCTAATTTTTCCCCAAACGAATGTTGCCAGATGAATCTTTTTACACTCGCAGCAGAACCTAAAGACAGAGAGGCTTTCCAATGAAACACATGAGGACTCAAATCCCAGCTCTGCCCCTACCTACCTGTGTGACGACGGTATAACTTACTTAACTGCTGAGATTCAATGTCCTCATTCTCAAAGAACCTAATAGAAAAATGAGATAACAGCCGTGCTTTTCCTGCCCAAGAATGGTAGTTGTTATTATTGCTATTATTATCAGCATCACTGTTCTCTTCTCCCCTCATTCAAAAGATGTCAGTGGCTTCCTACTGGGTGGGAGATAAAGCACAAAGTCCTTCACTGGTCCAGAGGTCTCTGCAATTTTCCAGTTCCTATTCTAGCATTCTGTCCCACTGCACCCTGCATGCAGCCCAGTGGGCCTCCTGTGTTCCTGAGTAAACCCAGTCCACATCCCTGGCACACAGTCAGGTTCACAGTCATTGCAAGGTGATAGGCACTGCAGAACCTCAATTGCATAGTAACCTCATCACAGTCTGGGATGAGGCCACACTCGAATCTTTGCCATCTGAAGATCTAGCAGAGGGCTTGGCACAGAATTATATACTAAATAAATAAATAAATAAATAAATAGAGTCCTCTCTCTACCTGCTCCACTGGATCAATCCCTGCCAGCACAGGGGCTCAGCTGCCCAGGGAGGCCTTGGCTCTTGACCAACCAGTTTGTGTCCATCAGAAGTGCTTGACAGTGACCACCAGGCAGGAGCTGGAGGGCCTGCCATCCTGAGCTCTAGCTCTGGTTCTGGATATTGGCTGAATGACTGCCACATTGACCTTCTGTCTGGGGCTCCTTTGATCTTTGTTGCTGCTGGATGCAATGAATTTCCTGGTCTTCCTTAGGGGCAATAGAAGGGCTAGGATTGGCTCTCACCTAACAGAAAACACATAAGGAACCTCTGAGGGATGGGGATGGAGGTTTGCTTCTGCACTGGGTTTTGCCTTCCATTGCTCTGCTGGCTGACGTCTTGGATAGAATCTCCCATTGAGGATTTGCACTCCTTGCCTCATGCTTCCTATGGCCTCTATTGTCTCTTCATCTTCATCATGCCACCTGAATCCCTGGCACTCTGTGTGCTCTGACCTTGGGCATAACACCTTTACTGTCCTTCTTTGACAGTTCCAGGAGAGGTTTGGTGGCCCTCGCTCCCTTGCAGGCTGTATATTGCTGTGGCATGATAACATGACCATGGCCATTTAACAAACCCCACAAGACAACCTAGCATCACACAACCAGGCCAGGTGCTGGGGAGGGACATGTGACTGGCCCCACTGGGCGCAGATGCCACAGGTTATTAGGGATAAAGTTGGGTTTCCTGCCATGGCTGGCGCCACCCAGTGGCAAAGACTCCTTTCATCTCTGTGCCCTCTGCTTCCCACCTTTTTATCTTCTGTGTCCTTTCTCAGAATGTCCCCTGGGCATATCTTTTGGGTCTTGAGTGCAAAAGAAATGATGTGACTGTTGGCATGAGGATTTATAAGGGCCCTATGGACCCACAGGCACAAGTAAATAGATCATCTTTTTTTTTTTTTTTTTTTGAGACAAAGTCTCACTCTCTCACCCAGGCTGGAGTTCAGTGGCGCGATCTCGGCTCACTGCAACCTTCGCCTGCCAGGCTCAAGTGATTCTCCTACCTCAGCTTCCCTAGTAGCTGAGATTACAGGCATGCGCCACCATGCCGGGCTAATTTTTGTATTTTTAGTAGAGATGGGGTTTCACCATGTTGGCCAGGCTGGTCTCAAACTCCTGACCTCAAAGTGATCTGCCCACCTCAGCCTCCCAAAGTGCTGGGATTACAGCATGAGGCACCACGCCTGGCCACATAGATCATTTTGAGGAATAAATCAGCCCATGTATGAATGCTGGTACCTGAGGTGAAAAAAACCATGGGTTTGAGCCCTGGCTTTGTCACTTCCTGAGGACATTAGTTTCCCCGGGGCTACTGCATCACTTTACCACTAACCGGGAGGCTGGAAGTTCAAAGCTGAGATGTCAGTGGACTGAACTCTGCTGAAGACTCCAGGGGAGGATCTGTCCTTGTCTCTTGCAGGTTCTGGCGGCCCCAAAGGTTCCTTGGCTTGTGGCTGCCTTACTCCCATCTCTGCCTCCGTCTGCACATGGCCTTTTCTCTCAGTCTCTCTTATAAGGACACTTGCCATTGGGTTTAAGGCTTTCTCAGGCAAGCAGGAATGTCTCTTCTTGAGATCCTTCATTAAGCCCTTCTTTCCAAATAAGCTCATATTCACAGGTTGTAGGAGTTAGGATGAGCATGTATGCATGTAGGGGACATTATTTAACCTACTGTACTGAATGGCCTTGAAAAGGCACTTAGCTTCCCTGAGCCTCGATTTCATTCTCTATAAAATGGGGATAGTAATTCCTGCCTTACGAGGCTATTACGAAAATTAAAGTGAGTTTGTCACATAGCAGCTGCTCAGTAAGCACACATTTTTAACACTGAGAGGTCTCCATTGCAAATCCCTTGATCATGACCATGCATACCTCTGCCCACCTCTACAACATCTCGTTTCTTGCCCTGGTTTTCCTTTTCTGGCTTTCTGACCTTCTCTGTGTTCCTAAAACTCCTAGCCCATTTCCTTCCATGTAGAAAGCACTTACCACATATTTTAAAGTTAACTCATATCCCCAGGCCAGGCTGGCTTTCTGTGAGTCCTCAGGACCATAGAGAAAGCATTAGTGAGTATCTAGTTCTTCCACTGGTTACAATGGAAGAGCTTACAAGTCGAGAGACCTGGAGACTAGACCCAGCTCTGCACCCTTAGAGCTGTGTGACCTTAAGCAAGCGTCTGAACTTCTCCAAACCCCAGGTTCTTCATCTGAAAGCAAAGCTGATGATGCCTGTCTTGTCAGCCTAAGCCAGCTTCATGCAAAGTTAGACTAGGATAATGTGGTGGGTGTCGAGTGCCCCCTGAGCACAGGGTCCTATCATCATTTCTAGCTCGGGCTGGAGGCACATTCCATAACTCCAACTGCCTGCTCCTACTCCATCTGCCTTCTTTCTCAGGCATCCCTCTCTGCCTCCCCTCCACCTATTCAGGCTTCCACTTCTGATCCTTTCCCCAGGTAGAAGTCCAAGGCCACTGCCACTCTGGCAAGGGCTTACTAACTCTGCCAGTGACTTGTCAGTCAGCCTGGCCATGAGCAGAGACTGCGGGATGGGGTGTCATGACCAGGGAAGTCGCATGCAGGCACCAGGCCTGCCTCTCTGTTCAGGGACTCACTGGTGCCGTCAGGACCAGCTTAGTTCTGCAGAGAGAAGACCCATTGTGCTGCAATGACAGGGGCCTCTGGCTCCAAAGCACAACAACAAGAACAAGGAGAACAAAGCAGTTTAAGTCCAGCTGGACCTCGGTTCAAATGGGCACTCTAACTTGCTAGCTGCATTGCCCTGAGCAGGCACATAAACCCTCTGAGCCTCAGTTTCCCCATCCGCACATGGCAACAACAGTCCTTACTTGTGGGTCCAGAGGTAATGGCTCTGAAGCAGGCATGTGGCACCTGATAGCTGTCCTGATGCAAAAGACAGGGCAAAGAGACTAACATTTATTCAGTGCTTCCTGTCTGCTGGATGCTATGCATGGGTTTTTCTCATTTAATTTGTACAGCTCTGTGCAGGATTAAGATGGAGAAAGAGACTAGCGAGAGCTGGTAAGAGAGGTGATACTTGTATTTGACCCCACACTGGTCTAGCCCTAAAGCCAGAGCTGAGTTCACTGCCCCATTACCTCCTCCTGCCAGTCTCCAGCCAGCACAGAAAGGCAAGGGGTTTGAAGTGGGTCTCAGAGTCTCTTTGGCTGGCAAGGATGTAGGCAGTGAGCCTGCTGGCTCTCGCCACCCTCCCCTGGCACAGTGACCACAGAGGGTGACCGAGGATCAAATGGTCCTGAGGATGGCCACTCACTGCTGGCTGCTCCTCACTCTCTTTGTAGTAGCCTTCATGGGCTCCCATCACCTCCACCCCTCTGATCCTCCCAGATCTGCTCCTTCCCTGACTCTCCTGTTTTGTCTCCTGCCCCGCCCCCTCCTCTTTCCACTTTCTGATCTAGCGTCAACTAGCTTGACCTGATCCCACGGACACTGAGTGGCGTTCTCACCCCGACCCTTGGCCGTGATGTTCCCTTGCACAATGCCCTCCTGCCAGCTCCTGTCTGATTCTAACTCATCCTTCAAGGCACTGCTCAGGTGCTACCGACACCAGGGACACCTCCCAGGCTCCCTGGCAAATGCTGGGGGTGTGGAGCCCTATTTCTGTGTCCCACAGCAATTCCTCATGCTGATTTCTGGTGGTGTGGAGCCCTATCTCTGTGTCCCACAGCAATTCCTCACGCTGATTTCTGGTGGTGTGCTGGCTGGCCCTGTGATGACGACATGATTCCTTAATGTTTTTCTTTCCTGTGTCCCGGATTGTCTTAAATAGGGTCAAACACAGCTTAGGTCAGTCGTCTTGGGAAAGGGAAGGTGAGAGGCATCTGAAGAGGCCTGTTAACATCCTATGTCCAATTCCCTCTCTTCCCATATCAGAATTGGCCCAAAGACTTCTGGGGCATGTGCGGGGAGAAGTCCAGGACACACAGTTATTTTATGAATGCCTCCCAGCTGATTCTGCAGGAGGATTTGCTTCTCACCCTAACCCTTGAATTGGGCCAGGTTCTTGAGCTATGGAGGGAGACAGATGAGCACCCCTTGATCCATACGTTTTTGGGAAACCCACGCTTGCATGTGCTAGGGGGCTTGAGACTGGAAAGCCAATTATGAAGTATCATTAGTTCATGGAATCTGAGCTTGTTTAGCATCATTGTGGGAGGGAGGTCGGGGTAGGGGACCCCCAGGGAGAGTTGGTGGGGAGAGGGCCTGGAGGAAGAGCAAATGAGGTACCCCTGAGATTCCCTCCCCAGTGTATAAAGACCTTTCTTATGAGAATAACCTGTCTAATCCATCGATGGTAAAATCCTGTCCTCCCCTTTTCTCAGGTTGGTGACAGCGTCCCAAGCTGGTGACAGACCCACTCTGTAACTTTCAGCTAGATTCAGCCACCAGATCCCAGAAACATGACCCTTGCTGGTAGGTACAAAAACCATGTGTTAAGGGGCGTAGGCTATTCCCCCTGCCCTCACCCAACATGGACTCACAGAAGCAGGGAAGAACACAGCTGGCAGGAAGCACACGGGGTGTGTGGGGGGGTGCAGGTAGTGATGGGAGGCTTGGGGGCATGCAGGCAGTGGCGGGAGGCACACCACTGCCTGTCACCACAGGCGACAAGTTGAACAAGTGGTGGGGGGTGTGTCACAGCTGAGATTTTCTTCCTTTTGCTCATCTGTATATGTGTGTTTTTTTTTAAGTTTTTATGATGCCTATATATTATTTTTGCAGTTACACGTATTTTCAAATCTGTAAAAGGAAGCCAGGTATAGTGGCATATGCCTATAGTCCCCAGTATCAGGAGTCTGAGGCACAAGGATCGCTTGAGCCCAGGAGTTTGAGTCCAGCCTGGGCAACATATTGAGACCCTCATCTCAACAAAAAATTGTACAAGCAAATGAGGATGGGGGCAACACCTGCGCTGTGCTAGGGGTCAGCTAAGGGCTGCAACCTGAGCAGCCAGACACACGGGCCCCAAGGCGGTGAGGAGAGGGACTTTCAGGAGCCAGGACAGCTCTGGCCCCTGACATCCCAAACACAGATAGACTAGAGGGTGGCGGGGATATGCTCCAGCTTTTGGGGACACCAGCGACCCCCAGGCTCTGTGCACTGTGTTGGAAAGGTCAGAGAAGGCTTATAGCCTGACCTTGTGAGGGGCAGACCAGAGGGATGGTGGTGAGGACGGTCCCCTCCTATCCAGCTCCTTAACCCTGCAGGCCAGCGCTGCCAGGTATTTGGAGTAGAATGGAGTGTGGGTCTCCTGTGTCCTGGAGAAAAAGAATCGGAATGTCCTGGGGCAGATGTTGGGGGATGGAGAGCTGAGGCACTGGTGCTTGGGACCTTTCCATGAGGGCATTTTGCTTTCTGGTCTGGAAGGGGAGGAGACATACTGTGGAGAAGGATCTGATGCTCTGGAAGGCTTAGGTTTCCACAGGAGACAGGAGTGGGTTCGAATCCCACACAGGGATCCTGAACAGCACGGCTCAGGGCGAAAGGCCTGGATCCCCAGGCTTGGCGTGTGCCTGCGTGGTTTGAGTGCCTTTATGGAACCCTGGGCTGCTCAGAGCCCCAGACCCGTGAGGACGCTGACTTCTGAGGCTAGGAGAGGCGCCATCCTCACCTGACTGGGTGTTTCCGCAGCCTACAAAGAGAAGATGAAGGAGCTCCCGCTGGTGTCCTTGTTCTGCTCCTGCTTCCTGGCCGATCCCCTGAATAAGTCGTCCTACAAATATGAAGGTCAGTGAAGGCTCAGCCAGGAAAGTGAGGGGCGGGGGGGCCCTGTGTCCTGTCCTCATAGGTCCTGCACCCCGACCCCAGTCCCGTGAATCTCTCCTCCCGAGACAGTTTCCTTCCCAGTGCCGATGAAATCACAGCGGGTGAGCCCGAGGGTCTGAGCTGCAGTGGTCCAGCCTGGGCACTAGGGGGAGGCCATGAAGGTCTGCATCAGGCGCCCCCCAGAGTGCACTCGATCTTGTCACCTCTGTGCATGCATCCAGCAAATCGAGACTGGGGGGTATGCAAAGGTGAGCCAGACAGATATTCTACCTGTGGGGAACATCTAGACCAGAAGAGAAGATGAGACGATGTGAGTCAGTTTCCAGGTCAACAGGTCTCCTCTGGGAAGGGTAGAGAATGCTCTGGGAGAGTCCAGAGGTGGGAAGAGGAGGTTCTGTGGCAGCCATGCTGTGTGGGGCCTGTAGCCGGGACAGCCCCAAGACACCAGCAGGGAGCACTGGGTGGCCACGTCCTCACCAGGGGTGCTCGGGGACCAGGTCACCTCCTAATGTCCTGGTTAGAAGCAGAGATGGGTTTGGTTTGGTCTGGCACCAAGGAACAGGCATGCTCGGATGACCTGAGGTTGTTTTTTCTGTCTAGGCTGGTGTGGGAGACAGTGTAGGAGGAAGGATGAAAGCCAGCGGAAAGACAGTGCTGACTGGAGAGAAAGAAGAGCTCAGGGTAGGAGGGAGGCAGCGGAGGGATTCCGCAGGCCGAGCGTCAGATGGGCTGTGGCCGGGGGTGGGCGGGGGCTGAAACGCACCCCTGCCTGTCACCACGGACGACAAATTGAGCAGCTCAGCAGTCAGAGGAGGCTGGTGGGGGAAGCAAAGGCAAAAGCAGCCAGTGTCGTAGGAAATCACATTGCCTGGGGCCCCCTATTCTTGCAGGCTGAAGCCTCACTGTTGCTACAAACTCCTTCAGCCCCGTCAGAGGCCATTGCCCTTAGGTACTAGGGTGTAGGACTAAGCCAGACCCCAGTCTCCAGCTTGCTTGGGGCCCCAGTTCTCCCACTCCCGTGTGCATGCGCCGCATGCTTGCTGGGTGCCTGTGCATTCTTCAGGACGTGAGCAGCCCCTTCTCTGCCCTCTGTAGCAGACACGGTGGACCTGAATTGGTGCGTCATTTCCGACATGGAAGTCATCGAGCTGAACAAATGCACCTCGGGCCAATCCTTTGAAGTCATCCTGAAGCCACCCTCCTTTGATGGGGTTCCCGAGTTCAACGCCTCCCTGCCAAGGCGGCGAGACCCATCCCTGGAAGAGATCCAGAAGAAACTAGAAGCGGCTGAGGAGCGAAGGAAGGTAAATGCTGACCCTTCCTTCTTTCCTCCCTCTCAGCATAAAGGGGAGGGAGGTGGAGAAGACAGGTGGTGGACCTGAGCTGGGATAAGCTCATCACCAATCTGCAATATTTAGGGAGCATCTCCCGAGTGTGCGGTGGAGAATGAGACACCATTGAGGGAAACAAAGAACTAAACACCCTTGGCCTCTTGCAGCTCACAGTTTGGTTAGGGGGATAGGACATTGCTATGTTCCTCCAAGAGGTGGCCCTATATGCATGGTGGCAAAAATAAGACTGACAAATACTAAGGATTTAGGGAAAGGCTAGGGAATTAAGGAAAGAGCTTCTTCGTTGGAGGAGGGAGAGAAGATCATGGTGTAGTGCATCTCGAGGCCCGGGATGCCTTCTATGGATTCTCATGGCTTGATTCTGATACCGTCTTCTATGTGTAACTTTTCTTTATCTTTCAAAAAGAAAATAATCCCCTATCATGAATTCCTTCAGTGCATCCTGTCTACACCTTAGGGCATATGTCTACACTAGTCTGGATTTTAGTGATGTATATATGTCTTACCTCTGTGAGACTTTTTTTTACCCCAAGCTGTTAGACCAGTGCCTGGCACATAGTATAAGATCATTTAGTGTTTGTGAATGAATGAATGAATGATGGCAATGAGCAAAAGGGCCATGAAGGTATTTAGGAAAAGGCTGGGAAAAAAAATCAAAGAATGTGGAAGGCTCTGAAAGTGGTGGGGGGAATTTAGGAAGTGTCCTTGTTTCCTGCTAATGGTCTGGGGACCAGGCCCAGGGAGGTGAGTGTTCTGAGTGTGCAGCTTTTCAGCCACGATGGTGAAAATAAACCCTGGCACACTCACTGTGAAGGGCCTCCTTCTGCCTTTATGCTTCCCCAGTACCAGGAAGCGGAGCTCCTGAAACACCTAGCAGAGAAACGGGAACATGAGAGAGAGGTGATCCAAAAGGCCATTGAGGAAAACAACAACTTCATCAAGATGGCTAAGGAAAAACTGGCCCAGAAGATGGAATCCAACAAGGAGAACAGGGAGGCCCACCTCGCCGCCATGTTGGAACGGCTGCAAGAGAAGGTGAGGGGTCCCTGGCTAGAGAGGAGTTTCCTGGGACATGCTGTTTTCCTTCTGCAGCAAGTATGCGGGGACCTGCTGATCATCTCAGGGAGGAAGCAGCCTCAGGCAAAAATCAGGATCTTTTTCTTAGGCAGGATCTTTAGAGAGTTCCGAAGGATGATCAGGGAAGTCAGAGGCAAGAAATAGGAACCAGACTCAGGGTTTCCTTGGGGGATATTCTGCACAGTTACACAATTAAAATCCTTCATTGCCTTAGGGAGCATATATGTCTGATTTTCTAGAAGAAGCCTGTCTAATACAAAGGAGTAGAGATAGACAAGCAGGTATGCATTCCTAGCTTCATCCCTGAATGGATTGATTTGATGGAAGGAAAGATGCTTTCTTGAGCTCTTGGCTCTAAGTCACGGGTATGATGAGCTGAGATTCCCACTGAGCAGGAAACATGATTCTCTCTAAACCTCTTGACACAGACCCAGTGAGTCACAGGTCTTTCCAATATGTTGCCTTTTGTCAATAAATGGAACGGTGTCACCTAAATATGAGAAACATGAGGCCGGGGTTGGTTCTGTGTGTCAGCAGAATACCGGCCCGTTCTGCTGAGAACACGCTGGCCTCATTTCCTGAGTCTCAAGGCCGCCCCAGTTTCTCCTGCAGCTCCTGGGAGAGCTCCAGCTCTGTGTTTTATTTCCAGGAACCGCCTGCTGCGCGGTGACTCCCGGGACCTGATCGGTGGCCTCGTCCCATGGTGAGCAGCGTGGTCCCCGCTCCTTCCTGCCCATCCACCTAGAGTCTCAGGCCCTTGGCAACAGGTCCTAGAAGGATCTGGTTTCTTCACAAGGTGTCTGAATGTTGCGTAGGCCCTGGAGCTGGCCAGCACGAGGCAGCCCCTGTGCTCTGATGCACCAGCCTGCAAAGCTTGGCAGGGCCTCCACCAAGTGTCACATGGGAGGGAGGTGATCTGGGTCGGCCCTCAGGCTTCTCCAGTTATGGAGGGATGACTTGGAGCAAACTCTTAACAAAAACCTGGGGTTGGGCTAAGATGGGCATGGCCCTGAGGCCAGACCCAAAACAAATCACTGAGGCTCGACCCAGGATATAGCACTTGAGAGACTCTTTGCAAAATACTTTCATTTCCTCTCGCCACTATCCTCACAACAAGTCCCTGAGGCAAGCTGGACAGGTGTTATCCTTATTTTGCAGATGAGAAAAACATGTCAACAAAGGTCAAATGACTTACCCAGGGTCACGAAACTAATAAGCAGTGGAGCTAGGACTAGCACCCAGATCTTTGGCTCCAAGTCCAAGTGGTTCAGGGAGACCAGCCTGTGATTGTCCTGCCAGCCTTTTGTCATCAAGAGAGACTTTGGAGGCCGAGGAAAGGGAGTGCAGAACTTAGGGCTCTGCCCAGTGAGCTCACCCAAGAATGGAGGTAGATTCAGAGGCAGAGAGATCGGTAGATTCAGAGGCAGAGAGACTGGAAAGGTCCATATTGTAGAGTGATGGCTGTGGAGGTCGGGTAGACTCAAAGAGGTGTGAGGTCAGAGCAGACATTTGAGGGGGCAGCATCCCTTTGGGACCTCGGCCCCTGCTCCCCTTTACCCACTGGTGGAGGCGGGAGGTTGGGTGAGAGTTGGGTGTATGTTTTCTGCCCTGTCCACCTGTGCACCAGGCCAGGGACACCTTCAACAATGCCTGCTGTGCCAGTGTTTGTGTGGGTCACTGACCCTGTGTACCAGACTCACTTGGTATAAAATTAAAAAATACAGATACTTGGAACCTTCCCCAGAACACTAATCCTGGCTGTCTAGGGATGGTGCTTCCTAGGTCATGCTGATACATACCAAAGTTTGGGAACCCCTGCCCTGTGCACACCACTCCTCACTCCTAGGCCACAGAAAGTTCTAGGGTGTCTGCAGGGACAGATTCGTAGTTTATAGTTTATCCTGAAAACCTGGGGGCCTCCGTGGGTCTACTTCAGGCTGATTCTGTCATCTGGATGTGACAGTGCCAGGCTCTGGGAGGGACAACATTGGTTGAGTGCTTGCCATGTGTAAGGCACCATAGTAGAAAAGATAATGTGGTCCCTACCCACAGGAAAGTCACCGTCTAATAGAGAACTGTCTAATAGAGAATCTGCACAGTGAGCAGGTGAACACTAAACATCACAACTTGAGGGGTGAAAGACCACCTGTCTATGCCCTTCTCTTTAAAGATCAGAGAACTGAGGCCTGGTTGGAGAAGTGAGCCAGCCAAGATCCTCCTGCAGATGGGCCTTGGAAGGCAGATGCTATCTTTTGGCTGCACTACCCTGTGAAATAAAAGAAGGTTCTCTTATAATAGGTGTAAGAAAGTCCACTTTTTGGAGTTGGGCAACATTTTCAAAATTCTTCTGTCGATTTGCACTTTAAGAGTCCACACCTGGGCACGGTGGCTCACATCTGTAATCCCAGCACGTTGGGAGACAGAGGTGGGAGGGTCATTTGAGGCCAGGAGTTAGAGGACAGCCTGGGCAACATAGCAAGATCCCATCTCTATTTTTGTTTAAATAATAACAAAGGAAAATCAAAGAATCCTCATCTTTCACCAAGAGGGTTAAGGCAATTCTCACAAAGGAGATGGATGAGAACTAGAAGCAGCAGGCAGGTGCATGTGATTTGTAGGGGATGCTTGTAGTGAGGCCTGTCTGTTCTGCCTGCTCCTCTGGCACAAATTACCCCCAGCAGCTCCTTATATTAAGTCAAGCCATATGATCTAATCCAAACCACAGAATGGCCAGGTGAGGGAGGGGGAGGCTGCGTGGCCCATGGTCACTGTAAGGTGGGCCCCTGCTGCAGTTTGACACCCACAGGACCCTGAGCTCCCTGGGGCAGCACCAGTAGGCTTGCCCCCTGCCTCCTGCCAGCCTCACCTGCCACCTTCTGCCCCTCTCGGGATGCCTTTGCAGACAGAGCTCTTCGCTGCCTGTGGTGGCCACTCTTTGCTTTTGGTTCTCTTGCCCCTTGGCCTCCCTTTTTGTCCCCGGGCAGCCTTGTGTGACCTGCCCTTTTCCCTCCCTTCCTTTCCAGGACAAGCACGCCGAGGAGGTGCGGAAAAACAAGGAGCTGAAGGAAGAGGCCTCCAGGTAAAGCCTAGAGGCCAAAGAACTTTCCAGGTCAGCCGGACAGCTCCAGCAGCTCCACGTTCCAGGCAGCCTCGCCCGCCGGCTGCGCTCCCAGCACTGGGGTTTGGGGGGAGGGGGGTGGCCAAGGGGCGTTTCCTCTGCTTTTGGTGTTTGTACATGTTAAGAATTGACCAGTGAAGCCATCCTATTTGTTTCCGGGGAACAATGACGGGGTGGGAGAGGGGAGAGGAGAGAGTTTGGGAAAGGGAGATGGAGAAGAACTCAAGGACATTGCAACCCTGCCCGGCGCAGATCTGATTTTCACATCTCTACCTGGACATTGAGCCTCCAGGCACCATGTTGAGGAGAGATGAAAACCAGGGCGGTAGAACTTCAGGGTGAAGGACAGAGTCCTGGGTGGGGCAGCGGCTGCAGGGCGCACCAGAGAACCCAGCCAGAGGGGTTGTGAGTACCAGTGGTGTTGCTTCCACCCTGCAGCAGGTGGGATGAGGTCTGTGTGTGTGTGTGAACCATCATTTTTTGATCATCATGACCAATGAAACATTGACTCCAAGTGTCCAGTTCTTTATTTCCCAAATGTGTCCTTTGGGTAATTGTTAAAAAGTTCTCGAAACCTGGCTTTCATCCATCTGATGGCAGATGCCCCTTTGCTTCCTTAATTCTGCCATTCAAGCATCTGGAGCCTGGGTGAGGTGGGTTGAATCAGGCCAGCCTTTGGCATAATTGAAAGGTTTTCTCTTCTGTTTTTTAAAATCCCCTCTGTGGGCTAATCTTTATTGGATAGCATGCACTAAATTGATGAGAAAAGAAACTCAATCTTCCTTTCAATGAACTGACATCCTAATATGGTCCCCAAGATGCACTGTAAGAAGGAATTTGTCTTAGTCACAACCGTTCAGACTGCTGTAACAAAATACCTTAGACTAAGTAATTGATAACAGAAATTGATTGCTCACAGTTTTGGAGGCTGGGAAGTCCAATATCAAGGTGCCAGCAGATTCAGTGTCTGGTGAGGGCTTGCCATCTGCTTCAAAGATGATGCCTTTTTGCTGCATCCTCACATGGCAGAAGGGAAGGGCAAAAGGGCTTCCTTGAGCCTTTTCTTTAAGGCACTAATCCCATTCATGAAGGTGGAGTCCTCATGATCTCACCTCTTAAGGCCCTATCTCTTAATTCTGTAGTGTCGGGATTAGGATTCAACCTGTATATTGGGGGAGACAGCAACATTCACACCATAGCAGAAGTCCTCCATGCTTTGGGGGTTTGAGATTCTAGGTAGATTAGAAAATACGAGCAAGGAAATAAAGTGTTTGCTAGTAGAAGGCAAAGGAGGCATCCAGACCCAGCAGTCTTGGTCTCCAGGACACTGAACCATGGCTGGAAAAGAAGCTCTCCTCCTCCCTTCCCCTGCAAACATGAGTGCAGGGGCTGCCTGTGTTAACCGGGTCCCAGGACCTCTTCCCACTCTGCTCTGCACACTGTGTAGTTTTTTACAGCTTTGCAAATAAACCCTTTGGTATAGCCTTTTTTTCTTTCTTCTCACTAGTGGTACTGTAATTTGGCTTTATTTTAAAATAAGATAACAGGAGGATCAAAGATGATGATGATGATGATGATGATGATGATGATGATGATGGCAGCAGCTAACTTAGGCAGCACTTACTAGATGTCCTACACTTTTCTGTACTTTTACATCTATATTATCTCACTTATCTTCACACCACCTGTAGGAGGTAGGTACTCTTATCATCCCATTTTGTAGACAAAAGAATTGAGGTCTAGAAAGGGTAAGTAACTTGGCAAGGTCACACAGGGAGTAAATGGGAGAACAGGGACTTGAATTGGGCGGTTTGCTCCCAGAGTCCATATTCTTAGCCACTGGAGTGTGCTGCTTCTTGACACCTCCAAACTAGCATCTGAGTCCCAGAATAGGGTTTCTCAAGCTGTGAGTGGTGACTCACTGGATCTTGAGATCAACGTAGTGGATCCCACCCAACCTTTCTTTTCTTTTTTAAGTGGATTAGAATAGAAAAACAAAACATCAAAATGGGTGACAGGTGATAATGGAGGCATTATTTCATGGAAATTGTGTTTCAATTTTATATTTTGTGTATATATGTGTTGATCGCAGCATAAAGTGCATTTCTTATGGGGGGTGGCAGTCAAAACCCTTTGAAGGTTACTGCCTTAGAATCAACATGGAGACAGAGCCAGGACATCCAGGCTGCAGCCCAGGAGGCTTTAGGAAGCTGCTGTGGTTGAGAAAGCAAGAGAGGCTGTGGCCTTTCCATCAAGAATCAACTTTTTCTGAGCAAACAGAGACAAGCATATGGATGGCCTCAAGAGTCTATTTTCACAAATTTACCCATAGCATCTGCATTTCCCCACTGGAATACCCAGAGCCAAGAGGAAGCCTTGTTCCCAGCACTCTCTCTCATCCATCTCCTGCCCATAAACCACATTGACTGACACTCCCATCCTTTGCCCATGCAGTTCCCTCACTAGGCTTGCTCTTCACTGCCTGGTTGAATTAATTACTATTCATTCTTTTTAAACTCAGCCCAGATATTAAGTTTCCCGACTCTGCCAGTGTTTCTATATTTCTTATATGCTTAGATTATGGTGTAATTGTTTATGTACCTATCCCTCTCATCTCTTAGACTTGATGTCCCTTGAAAACAGAAATCAGGTTTATTAATCTCCATGTCCAGGCAGTGACTACTCCAGAATTACCATATAGGATGGGATTAGGAGCAGCATTTCTGTTGAAAGAGAGGTCGGGGGTCTTACCTGGAAGCTTCATTTGTGAGGACTTTACTGCAGCACTGAAGGTAAGACTGAGAATGGAGATGGCTGATGAAGATTATACAGGAGACTAAAACCCACATCCAAGACAGCCCCAGAACTGGAATAATCCCCAGCTCCTGACACTAAAAACTGAAAACTCTAATTATGTGCCCAGCATGGGGCTAGCTTCCAAGCATTAAAAAGCGATTCTTGCACTGAAAGAGTTTACAAATCAGTTGAGACACACGTGAAAGTACCAAAGCCATGGCTCTTAAAATTTCAGTTTACATCAGAATCCCTCTGAGGGCTTGTTAAAGTGTAGATTTCTTTGCTTTAGGTGTTCGGGAATGGAAATAATCACCCAGAGTTACAGTATCCTTTGAGGGTGTTGCCCTGGACACTACATTTTAGCAAGTCATTCCCCGGGTTTTTTTTCTTTTTTTCTTTTTTTTTTTAAGATTTAATAAGCTTTAACCTCATTTTCAATTATTTTTGGTCATTGGCAGAATTTATGTCAAGTTGGTATGTGCCAGGGTTGGCAAACTAGTGGTTTACAGCTATTGTGGGTCTTGATTCATCCAATGTCCCTTCTGCTTGGCTGGTGACCTTGCCATTCCAGCTGTGCAGCTCCTCCCCTGGGAGTCTCTGTGCCTCCTCACAATCCAGAAAGACTACAGGATTCAAGCTTGGTGCTACAGGGCCCCCCACACCCTCACTTCATGGTTGCCATAGTACAGTGGGTTCTTCTTGCCTGCTGCACAGATAAAGCCAATACACTGAGACAGCAGGCGTGTTGCAGCAGAGAAAAGATTTAATTATCACAAGGCAGCCCAGAAGCATGATGGGAGATAGTTCTCAAATTCACCTCCCCAGGAGCTTGGAGGCTAGGGTTTTTTGGTGGGCAGGTGGCTAGGGAAGGGATGCTGCAAACTGGATGGGGGATGAAATCATAGGAGTGTTGGAATTGTCTTCATGCATTGAGTCAGCTTCTGGGTGGGGGGGTCACAGGCCCTGTTGAGTCAGCTGTTTGGCACGAGTCTCAGGTTCAGGTCGGGGTGGTGTCTGTTGGTCTGCCTGAATGCAAAAGTCTGGAAAATGTTTCAAAGACCAGTCTTAGGTTTTACAATAGTGATGTTATCTACAGGGGCAAGTGGGGAAGTCACAAATCCTGTGACCTCCAGCTACTTGACTTCTGAGCAGTCAGCAAGCCAGGGAACAATGGCTGGTTATAACTTAACTATGCAGAGTTCAGGCTCCTATCATGATTCTAACGTTGTGGCCCTTCATTAGTTTCACAAAGGCAGTTTTGGTCCTGAACAAGGAGGGGGTTAGTTTCAGGAAGGAACTATTATCATTCTTGCTTTAAAAGTTAAACTCTAAACTGAATCCCTCCCATAGTTTGGCCTACACCCAGGGCAGTTAGCTTATGAAGTTAAAAGCAAAATGGAGTTAGTGATGGTAGATTTCTCTCACTGCCGTAATCTTTGCGAAGGCAGTTTCACTATGGCTGTCATCCATTCCAATTGGTTGTTAAACATCTTATTTATATATGAACATTGGCAGATAAAATTATACATATGTATTGTGTATGACATGATGCTTTCACATAGATATACATTGTGGAATGACTAAATCTAATCACAGGTTTTTGGAGGCCCATCATGACCACAGTTTGATGAGTTCTGTACAATTAAGAACTAAGCCTTAGGCAGTGTCTCCAGGGGCAAGAGGAGGGACAGGTCAATGTTAGCTGAAATCCTTGGAGGAGGCTTAGCGGAGTAGGCAGAATCTGAGCTGGGCCTTGGAGGATGAGCAGATTTTGAATAGGCACAAAGGGAGAGGCAGGGCTGGAGACGAAGGAGTGGACGTCTGAACGGGCATTAAGGCAGTGGCTACAGCCACAGGAGTGAGTGAACTCATCATCCAGGAAGAATGTATACAGAAAAGGGCCCTTGGATTTCCCTGATGATGCAGCAGGATGAGGAAATAGGGACAATGAAGGGCAAAATAAGAGAGGCATATTTTAAATCCTTTGTTCCTACACCAGTGGCTTTCAGTGGGGGTGTAATGCTTCCCACAGGGGGCACTTTGGAAATGTGTGGCAATAATTTTGGTGGACACAAGGAGCAGGCAGGCACAGTGCTTCCAGTGAGTGGGTGGAGGCCAAGAATGCTAGATGTGCACCAAGAGAATGTCTCATGTTACTCTTCACTTCTGAATGTAAATGAGAAACCTGTTTATGATGAGCTAATCCCAGAACCTAGCTCAGTTTTACATATAAACACAAAGTTTTTCTGCAGTTTAAATATACACTGGCTTTTCCAGGAATGCAAGTCTTCAGCTCTGCTAGTCTCCGATCTTTGCTCTGATTTGGTTTATTGCTCTGTGCCGTCTCCATGGCTTGAGACCTTTTTCTCTTGGTTCACTTTCTGTCCTTGGATTTAACTCTATTCTCCTACTCAGTGCCTTCCCCCAGCAAAAAGCTACTTTGGAGTCACCCCAACAAAGCTTAAAAGTGAGCCTTGAAAGAATCAAAGTCTGTGATGGTTGATTTGGGGTGTCAAGTTGACTGGATTAAGGGAAGCCCAGAGAGCTGGTAAAATATCATTTATTCTCAGTTTTTGCACTAATTATTCTCAAAGCTTCAGTAGGCACTGAACCCATCCTCTTTCTGTTGAAAGAAAAACCCAGGTGGTTTTGCTTCTGATTAGAATGATTGGGCTGCTCTGGGTGTGTCTGTGAGGCTGTTTCTGAAGGAGACTGTGTGTGAATTGGTGGACTGGGTGGGAAAGATCCACCCTGAGCATGGGTGGGCACTATTCAATTGGCTGGGTGCCTGGATAGAACAAGAGGGTGTAGGAAGGACAAATGCTTGTTCTCTCTCTTTTGGAGCCTGGATACCTTTCTTCTCTTGCCCTGGGACATCAAAATTCTAGGTTTTCTGTTCTTTAGACTTCAGGATACATACCAGCGGGCACCTCTGCTTGCCCCACTGGCTCTCAGGCCTTTGCCATCGCACTAAGAGTTACACCATCAGCTTCCTTGGTCCTAAGGCCTTTGAATTTGGACCAAGCCATGCTACAGGGATCCCTGGGTCTCCAGCTTGCAGATGGATTATTTTGGGACTTAGCCTCCATAATGGAGTGAGTCAATTCTCTTAATAAATCCCTTCTTATCTTTCTGCCTATATGTGTAGCTCTGATGAATTTTGTCTCTCTGGAGGTCCGACTAGAACAAAGTCCAAATCAATGTAAAATAATCTAACAAAACCCAACACCCAACAATGTAAAAATCAAAATATCTGGAATCCAGTAAACATCTATTACATATACAAAGAAGCAGAACAATGTTACATACAATTAGGAGAAAAACCTATGGAAACAGATATAGAAATTACAGATAAAATGGAGTTTGCAGACAAAGATTCTAAAACAGCCCTTAGAAAGATGATACAAGTGTTCAAGGAAGTACTGGAAAACATAAAAGAAATGGAAGACATGAAAAAGAGCCAACTGGAACTTCTAGAATAAGAAATACAGTATTTGGAAGAAAGTGCACTGGATGAGATTTACAACAGGTTAGCTACCACAAAAGAAAACTTGAAGACAAAACAATAGCAATGATCCAAACAAAGCGGACAGGGAAAAAGACTAAAGAAATGAAGAAGGCATAGTAGCTGCCCAGTGGGTTTACCTTACCTGCTGCACAGAGAGAGCCAATTTATCGAGACAGGGGAACTGCAATAGAGAAAAAGTAATTCATGCATAGTCAACTGTGTGGGAGATGGGAGTTTTATTATTACTCAAATCAGTTTCCCCAGGCATTTGGGGATCAGAGTTTTTATGGACAATTTGGTGGGTGGGGGAAAAGTCAGACAGCCAAGACTGCTGACTGGTTATGTAGGAGATGAAGTCATGGGAAATTGAAGCTGTCCTCTTGTGGTGGTCTGGGTGGTGTCAGCTGATCCATCAAGTGCAGGGTCTGCAAAATATCTCAAGTACTGATCTTAGGAGCAGTTTAGGGAGGGTCAGAATCTTGTAGCCTCCCGCTGCATGACCCCTAAACCAAGGTTTTTAATTTTGTGGCTAATTTGTTAATCCTACAAAGGCAGTCTAGTCCCCAGGCAAGAAGGAGGTTTGTTTTGGGAAAGGGCTGTTACTGTCTTTGTTTTAAACTATAAATTATAAACTAAGTTCCTCCCAAAGTTAGTTCAGCCTACACTCAGGAAGGAACAAGGACAGCTTGGAGGTTAAAAGCAAGATGGAATAGGTGAGGTTAGATCTCTTTCACTGTCTCAGTCACAATTTTGCAAAGGTGGTTTCAGCATTGGTGACCTGAGGAATAAGACAGAATGCTTTAATAGATGTGAAATTTGAGTTCCAGAGGTGAGAACCCTGGGGTGGGGGTCAGAAAAGTATTTGAAGTAATGGCTTATTCAAATATTCAAAATTTACAAAAAGTATAAAACATCAGATTTTAAAATTCTAACAAAAAGAATAAACACAGAAAAGAAAAACACACAAAAAAACCATACTAAAAAGAACATCCCAACCAAACTGTTGAAAAACAGTGATAAAAAGAATCCCAAAAGCAGCAAGAGAAAAAAGACATTACACAGAGGATTAAAGCTAAGAGTCACAGCACATTATTATCAGAAATAAATTGTTATAGGTTGGATGTATATCTCCAAAATGCATATGTTTAAGCCTTAACTCTCAGTACCTCAGAATGTGACTATATTTGGATGTAGGGTGTGTTAGTCCATTCTCATGCTGCTAATAAAGACATACCCGAGACTGGGTAATTTATAAAGAAAGAGGTTTGCGTGACTAAGGAGGTCATCAGGAAGGGCTAAAAAGTATCAGAACAAAGTCATCATACAAAGGGCTAAAAAGTATCAGAAATCATAAATATTCGGGCAGATATAAAAACATTTTTTCTTATTTTTTAAATGTTTAAAGTAAAGTTAATGACAATGCACAGTGGGGTTTAAAATGTACTATTATAAGGCACAAAAGGAGAAGAGGAACATATAATGTATAACTTGTGTACATATATAAATATAGCATATAACTTCCATATACTGTTGTAAAGTCTCTCACTATAGGTGAAGTGGTGCAATGTTAAAAGATAGACTGAAATAAGTTGAAGATGTATATTGCAAACGTTGGAGCAATAATGAAAACAACAATAACATCAATAAGGAAGATGAAAACAAAAACAAAAAGTTATAGTTGATAAGCCAAGACTGGAGATAAAGTGGAATACTAAAAAAAATTACCCAAACCAAAACAAGGCAAGAGAAACAGTGAAATAAAAGGAAACAAAGAACAACTGGAACAAACAGAAAATTGCAAGATGGTATATTTAAATCTAACCATATTGATAATTACACTAAGTTTAAGTTGTCTAAACACTCCAATGAAAAAGGCATAGACTGTCACACTGGATAAAAAGCAAGACTCAGCTATCTGCTGGACAAGAGTTATCCATGTTACATATAAATACAAAGATTGGTTAAAAGTAAAATGATGAATAAAGATATATTATGCAAGCACTAATCAAAAAAAGCTGCAGTGGCAATACCCATATAAGACAAAGTAGAGTTCAGAACATGGATTATTACCGGAGATAACAAGGGACAATTTACAATGATAAAGGAATTGATTCATAAAGATACGACAATTCTAAGACTATGTGCGTCCAGTAACAGAGTTTCCAAATACTGTACATGAGGCAAAACCCAATAGAACTGAAAGGAGAAATAATTGACCAACTTGATCCACTAGAACACCACACCGAACAGCAGCAGAATATACGTTCTTTTTTAAGTGCGCATGGAATATTCATCAGGAAAGATCACATTCAGGCTTATAAAATAGTATCAAAAAATTTAAGAAGGTGGAAATCACACACATTGAGTTCTTAGATCATAATGGAATTAAACTAGAATTCGTAACAGAAAGATACTTGGAAAATCCCAGATATTTGGGAATTAAGCAACACACTCTAAATAACTCATGGGTGAAAGCATATATCACAAGGAAAATTAGAAATATTCTAAACTAAATGGAAACAAAAATAAAATACATCAAAATATATAGGATGCAGTTAAAGAAATGCTTAGAGGGTAATTTAGATCTTTAAATGCCAAATTAGAAGAGAAGAAGATTTTAAAGCGGTAATCTGAGTTTCTGCCTTAAGAATTTAGAAAAAGAACAGCAAAGCCGGGCACAGTGGCTCAGGCCTGTAATCCCAGCACTTTGGGAGGCCGAGGCAGGTGGATCACTTTAGGTCAGGAGTTCGAGACCAGCCTGACCAATATGGTGAAACCCCACCTCTCCTAAAAATACAAAAATTAGCTGGGTATGGTGGCATGTGCCTATAGTCTCAGTTACTCAGGAGGCTGAGACAGAACTGATTGAACCCGGGAGGCAGAGGTTGCAGTGAGCCAAGATCATGCCACTGAACTCCAGCCTGGGCGACAGAGTGAAACTCCACCTCAAAAAACAAACAAATAAACAAACAGAAAACAGAAAAGAAACAGCAAGTTAACCCCAAAGTAGAAGGAAGGAAATAATAAAGAGCAGAAATCTATGAAATTAAAAACAGAAAGACACAGAAAAAAAATCAATGAAAACAAAAACTGTTTCATCGAGAAGATTAATAAAATTGAGAGAATTCTGGTAGGCTGATTATGTTAACAACAGTGAAGACAGAAATACCGATATCAGAAATGAGAGAGGAAATATGACCACTGACATTATTAAAAAGACAATAAGGGAATATTACGATGAACTTGATGCCAATACATAATAGATGAAATAGACAAATTCCTTGGAAAGACACAAACTACAAAAACCCTTTCAAAAAAGCAAGTTCATATAGAAAAATGGAATCTACGTATTGAATTATTTTGGATTTTCAAAAAGGTCATCCTTAAATAGTATTATTATTTCTTCCTTTCCAAATTTTAATTCCTCACTTTTAATTTCTTTTAGTACAAAATAGCACTAATTTGGAGAAAAGAAGATGGGCAGATATGATATGCTTTAATTAAAAGCTGTAAAAGCCAACATGAAATCAGAATGTCAAGCTTTTTTCTTCTCATTGGAGAATCTGAAATCTGAAAAAATTTCCTTGGACTATAATTTTTAATAAGAATTCTGAGAACCTGAGAAACTTTTCAGTAGCATGTGTATTAATAAGGAAGAAATACAGCTTCAGCTTGACTGTGAGAATACTAGCCTCCAGGAATGATAGAGAATTAGGAATCTACCAAACTCGTGTACAAATGCATGCACGCACACACACTTGAGTGCACGCACATACACTTGAGTGCACACACACATGCACAGTGTTCAGCAACAGGAAATCATCTCTCTTTAAATCAAAGTCTCACTCTAGTTTCAAACATAAAAGTAACTTGCTGATGGGAGGCTTGCTCCAAGCTGAAGTCATGCTGATGCCTGATCAAGTAGTTCCTGGGTATTCTTGTTTCTCATCTTGCTTTTAGCTGTAAGAGTCCATTAAAAATCTGAGGGACAATGTCCTTGACAGCCATAGCAAAGAATTATGGGTCAAGAGCTTATAGCTACACAATAAATTACCCTTAAAATCTACAAATCCAATATTAGGGTCACCAGGCAGTCTCAGAAAGTAGGTAGAGGGCATTTGTCTTCTTACTTCCTATACAGATAGAATGTATTCTACTATCAATTATTTGATTTATCTTTGTTAGTTGCAAGCAAATGCCCACAAGCATTTTAACTATATAAACTTACATATCTGGAGACTCAAAACTATGCCATGCTAAGAATGCTAAATATTCAAAATGTAAGGAGAAATACAACATAAGTGGAAGTGCTAAAGCATAAACTATTTCATAGGTTGATTTCTCTCTTGGTCTCTTTTTAATACCATTAAGGCATAGGCCTTGAAAGATATTCATAGGACTCTGGGGTCTTCTGGAAAACCCTCCTGTCCTATTTTCTACTACTCTTTCCTTACAGAGTGTATACCCAGAAGTGGGGTTGCGGGATCCTATGGTAATTCTACTTTTAATATTTTGAGGAACTGTCACGTTGTTTTCCATAGCGACTGTAAAAATGCACATAGATTAAAAGCAAAATGAAGGCTTCTAGGAATTCCCTTGCTTATAGACAGCTAGCTTCATCTATACCTCACCTACCCTAAGGATCTGCTTTCACTATTTTTTACCGTTAAATTCACCTTGATGGGAAAGTTTGGGAAGTGCTGGTGTGGCTATTAAGACATGAGCTTTAGAGCCAGTGCAGCCTGGATTTACGAATACCAGATCTGCTACTAGTGACCTCTGTGACTAGGTAAAGTGACGAAAGCTTTTGAAGTCTTAGTTATCTATCTGTGAAATGAAGATTCAAAAACTCGTAACACAATGCCTGGCACACAGCAAACACTCAGTACCTAGTAGTGAGTTACTCTATCATTGTTCTCAAAATCTGCTTCCTCTTCCTAATGATGGTGTTTCAAATATTTGAAAAGATCTGTCAAGTTTCTCTCATTACTTCTCTTCTTTAGGTAAATTTTCCATGTACTTTTTTTTTTTTTTTTTTTTTTTTTTCTTTTTTTGAGACAGAGTTTCGCTCTGTCACTCAGGCTGGAGTGCAGTGGCATGATCTTGGCTCACTGCAACCTCCGCCTTCTGGGTTCAAGTGATTCTCCTGCCTCAGCCTCCCAGGATACCAGCTGGATTACAGGCATCCAGCTCAATGCCTGGCTGATTTTTATGTTTTAAGTAGAGACGAGGTTTTACCACATTGGCCAGGATGGTCTTGAACTCCTGACCTCAAGTGATCCACCCACCTCAGCCTCCCAAAGTGCCAGGATCGCAGGTGTGAACCACTGCAACCAGCCCCGTGTACCTTCAATGATTGTTTGCTTATTACGCTTTACTGATTCCTCAAATTCTTTTCATTCTGTGATAGATGCTTTCTGGTTGGTCTACACCTCTTTTAAAATGAGATGCTTGCTCTTATATACTGCCTGTGTGAATCCAAATGGGTTTTGTCATTTTACTAGGTTGGTGCACAAATAATTAAGGTTTTTGCCATTACCACAATTACTTGTGCACCAACATAATAGTGAATCACTTGGCAATATATTAGGTTGGTGCAAAAGTAATTGCAGTTTTTGCCATTACTTTTGCACCAGCCTAATAAAACATAAGCCTCAAAAAGGTCCATATCCATTGACTTACTTTTTCTCTTTCTAGAAATTCTGCTTCCTAACAATCTATTCTAAATAAAATATTCTGAAACACAAATCTTTATGAACAATAAAGTTCATCAAAGTATTAAATACAATATCAAAAAATGCAACAAATGCAAATGTCCTTCAATAGCGAAAATATTCTAAAAGTATAGGACAGTGATATAATATATGTTGATAAAAAATTTTAAGACTATAAGGAGAGGTTAACTCACTTGGCTGTATAAAAATTTAAAAAGATTATTATATAATTTTAATTGGAAAAAACAGAATATCAAACTATACATTCAGTTATCCTCAGCCATATAAAATTATGCACACCAGAATGATAATTTGTTTGTTTTTTCATTCTGTTGAGATCTTATGTGTTAGGAATTGTGCAAGAGGCCTGGCACTGTGGCTCATACCTCCAATCCTAGCACTTTGGGAGGACATGGCAGGAAGATTGCTTGAGGCCAAGAGTTTGAGACCAGCCTGGGCAACATAGCAAGATAATCTCTCTACAAAAAAATTTTTAAAAACCAGCTGAGCATCGTGTTATGTGCCTGTATCCCCAGCTACTCTGGAGGCTGAGGCAGGAGGATCTCTTGAGCCCAGGAGTTTGAGGCTGCTGTGAGCCAGGATTGCGCCACTGCACTTCAGCCTGGGCAGCAACGAAGACCCTATCTTAAAAAAAAAAAGGAATTGTGCAAGGATCTGAGGAGGCAAATATAAACAAGGAAAAATTCTTGTTTTCAAATATCTTGCAATCAATAAGATAATTAAATAGAGTTTTAAAATAATGTGATAAGTCATATAATAAAAGCATATGTTTTATGTGAGTGGAGTGGAGGAAAGGCCTTGTTTTACAGTGGGGTGGGAGGAGGGGAGGCAGAGGAAGTTTCACAGAGGAATGATGTCTGACTGAACTGACTTTTGAAGGATAACTAGGGGAGATCAGGCAGGCAAAGAAAGACAAGGAAGGAATTAGGGGAAGGGAGTGAAGAGTCTTCCAGATGGGGAGGGATCAGCACTTGCAAAGTGAAAGTGACAATGACTGCTTAAAAGACAGTTTAGGGCACCAAGGGGATGTGCCGGGAACTGGAGCTGAAAGGATTGGCAGGATCCAGGATTTTCACTTGGCCAGGAGAGGTGGGAGTTAGGAGCATGAGCATGGAATTAGTCAGAGTTCTCTAGAGGAACAGAACTAATAGGATAGATGTATATATAAAGAGGAGTTTATTAAGGATTCTTGACTCACACGATCACAAGGTTAAGTCCCACAGTAGTCTGTCTGCAAGCTGAGGAGAAAGGAAGCCACTTCCAGTCCCAAAACCTCAAAAGTAGGGAAGCCAACAGTGCAGGCTTCAGTCTGTGGTCGAAGGTCCAAGAGTCCAAAAGCTGAAGAACTTGGAGTCCAATATTTGAGGGCAGGAAGCATTGAGCATGGGAGAAAGATGCAGGCTGGAAGACTAAACCAGTCTAGTCCTTCTGTGTTCTTTTGCCTGCTTTTATCCTAGCCATGCTGGCAGCTGATTAGATAGATGGTGCCCACCCAGATGGAGGGTGTGTCTGCCTTTCCCAGTCCACTGACTCAAATGTTAATCTCCTTTGCCAACACCCTCACGGTCACACCCAGGAACAATACTTTGCGTCCTTCAATCCAATATTAACCATCACAGGCATGATCCTGTGAGTGTTAGGGAGGATTGAAAGCAGGGGAGCAGAACACTTGTAACTGGTGGGCATTCTGACAGCAGTGAGGAGGGGCTGTGACCAGAAGCAGGAAGCCTAGTCAGGGAAGGTGTAGCAGACCAGGTAGGTGAGGACCTGAACAAACACTCTGATAATGATGGAGCAACCGAAAGGATTGGAACAGGAAGAATCAACAGAATTTGGTGATTGAATGGAGAGATTTCCAGGTTTCTGACTTGACCTGCTAGACAGATGATGATGCTACCCTCAGGATGAGAATATGGGAGGAGGGGAAAGTTCTGGAGGAAAGTATTCAGTTGAGGGTATGATGAATTTAAGATGTGATTTCCTTAGGTAATACAACTAGGTCGAGTTCTTGATTACAATTAAGTTATATAACTCACTCATGAGTTGTTTTTCATTAACACCATCAAGGGAGTAATGGAGCTCTATGTTTAACAACCAAAGCTGGGGAGAACAATCTGCTAAAAGTAGACATATGCAATCTCAGAAGCAGTGACTGCAATAATATCTTAACACATGATCCAGTTAAATTTATGTCCTAGCTATAAATATGTATGAAAGTGTATGCTTGAAGATGAAGTAACTAATGAATGCTAAACGTATTGCACCTTAACTTGCCTTCAGCATAACGTCAAATGATTGCAAGTCACGGTGGCTGGAGGAAGTCTGGTTCAAGAGCCTGTGTTTAATTTGCATAATGAAACTGTAAAGATTAAAGACTCTACATTTCCCAGCCTCCGCTACTGTGAGATATTGTCACTTTACCAATTGCTGAGCTGGAAGTGGAAATGGTATATACAACTTCCAGGAGTGTTTTTAATGTAAACTTTTTCTCTTCCCTCTCATCTGCTGGATTGAATGTTGATGTGATGGAGTCTTGGATCCAGAGGTGAAGATGGGAGGAGAGGCATGCATGGAGGTATGAGGTGGAGGAAGCCTGGATCTCTAACCCCAAGGAATCCAAATTCACTTCAGACTTGCAACCTGAGCTTTTATAAAAGGGAAAGAAACTTTTTTGAGAATTTTTTTTCTGTCAGTTACAATTTGATTGAATAGTATTGGCTATAGTTTTTTTTTTCTTCTTATTAGCAAAAATCACGTAAAATTCTTGCCCTTCCCACATCCTGAGATTGTAACAATGCATCAAAAACTCTGGGATTCTGGGTATGGGGAAAAAAAAGACCCTGCCATCATGAAGTGTATACGGGCATGCCTTGTTTTATTGTGCTTCCCAGACACTGCATTTTTTATAGATTGAAGGTTTGTGGCAACTCCCTGTTGAGCAAGTCTATTGGCACCATTTTTTTCCAACAGCATGTGCTCACTTTGTGCCTCTGTGTCACATTTCGGTAATTCTCTCAATATTGCAAACATTTTCATTATTATTATATCTGTTATGGTAATCTGTGATCAGTGATTTTTTAATGTCACTATTGTAATTGTTTAGGAGTGCCACAAACTTTGTCCATATGGGATGGTGAACTTATGGATGAACATTATTATGTGTTCTGACTGCTCCACCAACTGGCCTTTCCCCTGTCTGTTTCCCTCTCCTTGGAACTCCCTATTCCCTGAGACATAACAATTTGAAATTAGGCCAATTAATAACCCTACAATGGCCTCTAAGTGTTCAAGGGGAAGAAAGAATTGCTTGTCTCTCACTTTAAATCAAAAGCTAGAAATAATTAAGCTTAGTGAAGAAGGTATGTTGAAAGCTGAGACAGGCCAAAAGCTGGGTCTCTTTTGCCAGTTAGCCAAGTTGTAAATGCAAATAAAAGTTCTTGAATGAAATGAAAAGTGCTACTCCAGTGAACAGAAAAATGATAAGAATGTGAAACAGCCTTATTGTTAGTATTCACCATAGAAGGATCCACCTTTCTAGATGCCATGAAGAACATTTGTGCTTCATACGAGGAGGTCAAAATATATATTTTTAAAATTTTAATTTTTTTTTGGCAATTGGGCAGCCTCCTGAACCAGAATAGGTTCAGAGAGACTCCCTAAGGAGGTCAAGATATTAACATTAACAGGAGTTTGCAAGAAGTTGATTCCAACCCTCAGGAATGACTTTGAGGGGTTCAAGACTTCAGGGAACGAAGGAACTGCAGATGTGGTAGAAATAGCAAGAGAATTAGAATTGAAAGTGAAGCCTGAAGATGTGACTGAATCGCTGCAACCTCATGATAAAACTTGAACGAATGAATAGTTGCTTCTTATGAATGAGCAAAGAAAGTGGTTTCTTGAGATGGAATGTACTCCTGGTGAAGGTGCTGTGAGCATTGTTGAAATGACAGCAAAAGATTGAGGATATTCCATAAACTTAGTTGATAAAGCAGCACCCAGGGTTTGAGAGGATTGACTCCAATTTTGAAAGAAGTCAAACATTTTTCTGTGGGTAAAATGCCATAAAAAAGCATCACATGCTACAAAGAAATCTTTCATGGAAGAGTCGATCAATGTGTGAAACTTCATTTTTGTCTTATTTTAAGAAATTGGCCACAGCAATTTCTTAAATGCCCCAACCTTCAGCAACCAGCGTTCTGATCAGTCAGCAGCCATCCATATCAAGGCAAGACCCTTTACCAGCAAAAAGATTCTCACTGAAGGCTCAGATGTTCATTAGCATTTTTTAGCAATAAAGTATTTTTCAGTTAATATATGTACATTGCTTTTTCAGACATAATGCTACTGCACACTTACTAGACTCAGTGTAGTGCAAACATAACTCTTATATGCACTGGGAAACCAAAACATTCGTGTGACTCATTTTATTGTGACATTTGTTTTATTGTGGTCTTCGGGAGCTAAACCTGCAATATCTCTGAGGTCTGCCTGTGTTCTACTGGGGAAGACTCATATTTCGCCAACCAAAACAATGGGTGATAGGATCTATTACTTGCTGTTTTCAAGGGGCACAAAAGAGGGAATGATTAGCCTTGCCTGTGTGAGGTTGACATTCAAAATGAATCCTTAGCATTTTTATGCTATCATCGAGTAGAGAAGTGGGGTGGGTGAAGGCATCTCAAGGAGCTTATGTATGGGTAAATGCAATGGTATGCACAATTTCCAGGCAGCATTCCCTGAAAGGCTGTTGTGTTCAGGGAACAGTACATTATCCAGAGTGGCCAGAAGACCACGTACAATGGGGTTGGTAGAAGATGGGCATGGAATGAATGGACAATTGGGAAGGACACTGAACGTCAGACTGAGAAATCTGGACTTAATCTACAGGTAATTAAAATGATTTGCAAATGTTTTGCAAAGACAAGAAATCTGTTCACAGCCTGTCATTGAAATGATCACACATTTTCATATTCAGAACTTCACAGTGTGTTGCCAGCAAAGTAGTGAAGGGCATCTTTATAGAAATACATTATAATTACAGTTTTTTTTTTCCAAAGGACTAAAAGTATTTTATGGGCAGGATGCAGGGGGAAGGGAGAGAGAGACAAAAACAGAAAGAAACAGAGACAGAAGGACAGAGAGACAGAGAGAATGTGTGTGCATCTTTAATAGAAGTTCCAGATGGCAGATAAGGGAGAGAAGAAAGCCTGAAGACTAATATCAGATAAGATTTCAAAGGAATAGAAGGGAAAATCAAAACAAATTTTGAAAAGTTTAATTAAGGCTGTGGAACATTTTTGCCTTAGGGAAGGAGAAAACTGTCTCTAAATTTATTTGTAATGAGACCTTCACACTTTCTCCCTTGGTCTGTACATGGCTTCTCTGTGGGTTAATGGTAATATACATTAAATGTCTTTTTGGTTGAATTCCTAATAGTATTATTTGAGTGCAATTAATTTAATTTGAGATTCATTCTTTATAAATACCAAAGGAAAATTTTATAACCTTAATATTGTATTTCATACTGGAAACTGGAGAAAAAAGCAAACATAAAGTTCCCACTACGTGCCTATTCTATGGCTGGCATGAAGCCTATATTACCTCATTCAGTTTAATCACCATGAAACCCTAGGAAGTTGGCATTATTGAACCCATTTTAAAGAGCAGCTGAAGATCTCAGAGACTGATATAGTCATCAGATTTTTCTAAGTGGCAGAACCAGGATTTAAATTCTAATCAGCTTGACTCTAGAACCCAAGATCTTTCCAAAACACCAAGAACTTTCTGGCTGTGCCTCCTACAGGCTGAGAGAACTTGGGTATGTTGTGCATACTCAATGAGGTAAACTAAGATGTGCTTCGAATACCCAAAGGAGATGCTTCTAGGAACTTGATTAAGTATATGAGTCATTGCAGGCTAAGTTTCTCATGGGAAGGAAGTATAGCCTTCATACGTCTCTTCTTCTTGGTAATTTTATTTGGATTCCTTGAATCTATAAAGAAGGGAGTCTTCTGAAGCCGCTTGAAAAGCTCTGCCGTCAATGATACAGAAAGAATAACTGAGCAATGCTAAGCCCCTTTAAAAGTCACTATATCTCTTCACATATAAACCACAAGCTTCAGTGAAAGGGCAGGAGTAAAAGACCCTTACCCATATGGAAAGCTTTAAGAACATACGAACACCATGCTATCAAGCTACTTTTAGTTAGTTTCAGAAGTCTTGAATATCTCAAATAAAACAGGATATTAATCTTTTTAAATTTCTAATATTCAAGAAAAGTATTTGAACACTCATGGTAATGTGCGCTTAATTTTCTTACCTTCTTTCTTCCTTGGTTATTTCAGGGAATTGTCATGTGCTTGGAGGTAGAAATATAGTACTATGAGCATAAACCCTTGTTGTCAGGTTATGGGACTCTAGAGAATAGAGATAGAAATGGATTGGAATAGAAAATGATTGGAAAATGGAACATCCTGCATTGCCCTACAGTCTGGATTCAAGAGTTCACACATTCCTGCATTTATCTCACCAATCCTAACTTTCAATATTCCCTTTTGCAAAGCTCTTTTTCCTACAGTGTAATCTACTTACAATCTGTCTCTTGTGAAATACGTATTCCCAATTTTTTGTCTGTCCTCATGCTTGGAGTGTGCTCCTCTTTCCTGCCTATTCCCTGCTTTTCTTTCATAGAACAGCTCAAATCTCATCTCCACTGTGAAGCCTTTGTAGTTTTAAAGTCTGCCCTTCCCTTGGAATTTAGAATTCTGCTACTTTGTGTTGTTTTTAATCTCTCAATTTATTTGCCTCTAATTAAATTATTTGAGAACAATATTTGTGGTTTCTTCTTTTTATTCTTAGCATCCAGTGTTTATTGGGTGCTGAATAAATGATTATTGATGAATGACAGGTCCTGGGACAGCTTAGATAATGCCCCTGGGAAAGATTCTTTTTTCAGCTGCATAGAAGGTAAAAGGAAGTGCAGTAGAACCACTCAAGAAGAGTAGAACCTCTTCTCTGTAATGATCTCCTTCTAACCCAGCTCTCTTCTGAATTTTCTTATTTTTGATCTCTCCTATCCTAATTCCTGGCAGTCATCCATTCCATTTGCTCACACATTGCCAACCATCGTCTTTCTCCTGATGCTGATCTTTCAGATCCCAGTGACTCTTGACACTGTATCCTTGCCTTCCAACCTGGTATGTCATGGATTTAATCTTTGAAATACCTGCACATGCAGCTTCTCTGGTTCTCAAAAAGATGAACAATTTTAATGCCTGCATCTTTTCTGTAAAATGGAGATACTAATACTTCAGAGGGACATGAGAAGTTACTGATGCCCCCTGGAATGCTTTATTATAGTACAAGAAACATAGTAAACACTTAAGATGTTAGTGTTAGATATTATTATTAGCTTCCTTTATATTCCTATGTTTCCTCACACCTGGGATTACTTATGCTAAATCTCATAGTTTATTTCTGGCCTCTTTTTTCTTTACTCAATCTGGATCTAAAGAAGGAAGTATTGTGGTACTCTAAAAATCTCTCTCCATTGTCTTCTCATCTGCATATTTTCTAATGAGAAGTCTGCTGTTAGTCTTACTCTGTTTCTTTGTATGCAATGTGTCTTTCTTCTCTGGCTGCCTTTGAAAGTTTTCCTTTATGTTTGTTTTTGGCAGTTGTGTCAAAGTGTGTGACGACTTTTTGGAGAGAGGAATTATTTATCAGTTTTGGGTTCTCTGAGCTTCCTGAATCTGCAGTTTGAGGTTTTCCATTATATTTAAAAAAACTTCAGTTATTGTCTCTTCACTATGTATACTGCCTACAAGAAACACTATATTTTAAAAACTTTTTTAAAATATAAAGACACAAAAAGGTTTAAAGTAAAAGGGTGAAAAAGACATATCAAGTTAGTGCAAATCTAAATAAAGCTGGACTGGCTTTCTTATAGGTAGCATGTAGCTGAGTCTGACATTTTTTACCCAATCTGATTATCTCTGTCTTTTAATTGGGAGTGTTTAGATGATTTTATACTTTAAATAACAGATTTTTTGAGTATAATTGGCCCACAAACTGCACATATCTAAAGTGTATAATTTGATAAGTTTTGACACATATGTACATGTATAAATTTATATCCACAACTTTCCAAAGTTTCCTGTGGCCCTTTATACTCCTTTCTTCCCACCAATTTCCTCCTCCTCATGCCCAGGTAAGCACTGATCTTCTTTCTGTAACTACAGATTAGCTTGAATTTTCTAAACTTAATAGGAATCATATAGTATGTACTCTTTATTTGGTCTGGCTTCTCTCATTAAGCATAATTATTTTGTTTCATATATGTTGTTCCATATGTCAATAGTTCATTGCTTTATTTTATTTCATTTGTTTGTCTATTTGTTACTAAGTAATATTTAATTGAATGGATTTACCAAAGTTTATCTGTTTACTGGTTAATGAATATGTGGGTTGTTTCCAGTTTTTGGGAAATAAAAATAAGCTGCTATGAGCATTCATGGACAAGTCTTTGTGTGGACATATGCTTCCTTATCTCTTGGTTTTATACCCAGGAATAGCATAGCTAGGCCATATGGTTAGGCATATGTTTGACTTCTTAAGAAACTGTTCAACTGTTTTCCAAAGTTGTTATAACATTTTACATCACTATTAGCAATGTATGAGAATTCCCAGTTCATCCACATCCTCACTGGCACTTGGTATGGTTAGTCCTTTGAATTGCAGCCACCCTAATAGGTATGCAATGGTATCTCATTGTTGCTTTTAGTTTGCATTCTCCTCATCATTAATAATGTTGAGCATCTTTCCCCATGCTTACTTCTCAATTGTATGTCTTCTTTGGAGAAGTCTCTGTTTACATCTTTTGCCCTTTTTTAAACTGGATTTCTTGTTTTCTTATTGTTGAATTGTTAGCATTCTCACTATATTCTGGATACAAGTCAATTAGCACATTTTTTCACATATTTTCTCTCAGTCTGTGGCTTGTTTTTCTATTTTCTTAATGGTTTCTTTCGAAGTTTTTAATGTCAGTGAAGTCCGTTTGATCAGTTTTTTTTTTCTCTCATAGATTGTGCTTTTAGTGTCACAGCTAAGAAATTTTCACCTAATTGGAGGTCACAGATATTTTTCTCCAGTGTTGTCTTCTAGACATTTTATAGCTTTAGGTTTAAATTAAGTCTACGGTCCATTTTGCATTAATTTTTTTAATATATCATCTGAGTATACATTGATGCTCATTTTTTGCATATATATATTCCATTGTTCCAGCACCTTTTGGTGAAAAGACTATCATTTCTCCACTTATATTTATACTTTTTGTAATTGTCTCACAGTTCTTGGATATTCTAGTCTGTGTTTTTAATATATATTTTTTAATCTTTGCATTCAGTTTTAGAAGTTTCTATTGAACTTTCTTCAAACTCACTGATGTTTTCCCTTTGCAGTGTTCAGTCAATTTATGAGCCCATCAAAGGAATTATTAATTTATGTTACAGTGTTTTTTTATCTCTAGCATTTCCTTGTGATTATTTGTTAGATTTTTCCATTTCTCTGATTACATTGCCCACCTTTTCTTTTATCTTTCCCAATTTCTCCATTAGAACACTTAGTATATTAGCCATAGTTGTTTTAAATTCTTGGTCTAACAATTCCAATATATTTGCCACATTTGAATCTGGTTATGATGATTGCTCTGTCTTCAGAATGTGTTTTTGGTATTGTAGCATACTTTGTCATGATTGTAGTATACTTTGCTCGATATGATTTATTGGGTAAAAGAAACTGTGGTAAACAGGCTTTTAATGTGAGACTTCATCTGTCTAGGAGTTACACTGTGTTTACTGTTTGCTATAGTTGTAGGTCTCAGAGGCTAAATTTCTTCTGGCATCCTTGTTTTCTCTCCCCTGCTGTCTTTAGGTTTCCCTAGAGTCTTCTTCTTAAATAAGGTCTGAGATATGCATTTCTTCCAGTTGTATCCCCCTGTTATTAAACAGGAGCTCTATTGATATATTAGTGAGGTGTGGAGGAAAGGGGAGTGCTTGAAGTCTTATTATTATAATTCAGTCATTTAGTGAGCCTGTACCCTGGGCTGTGACCTATACAAGTGCTTCTCAGTCCTCTCCTCCTTAGGTGAGATAGGAAGGATAGAGATGTCTGAACTTTGGTATTTCACTTTCCCCAGATTGGTTAGGCCTTAGTAAAACCCCAGTCAGTTAGGATCTGGTAAAATAGTTTATTTTGAGAGTAGGACTTGTTATGAAGAACAGAATTCTCTGGGCATACTTCAAAATTGCTATTTTACCTTTCCCTGCTGGAAGCAAGAGGGGATTTTTCTCTGACCTTCACTATGAGAAGCTGGTAGAGATCCTGGAGGAAAAATTCACAAAACATGGGGGCTCCACTAAGACTGGCCTCTCCTGGAGTTTTAAACCCTAAGACTTGTTCTTGCTGAGCCCCCAGCAATCTTTCAGCTACAGTTTAGATTTTACTGCTCCAATACTGGTTCCTACAGAGGTTTCTGCTCTGGTAAGTTGTGATTCTCTGTATCAGTCTGTTTCTTTAATTTTGGGGACAGTGATTTGCCCCATGACCTCAATTCTCTGATGGATCTATGAAGAGTTGCTGATTTTCAGTTTGTTCAGTGTTTTTTTTTGTTATGAGCATAGCCAACAACTTTCAATTCTTTATATGCTGAACCAGAAACTGGGAGTCTGTCCTGACTAGCTATTTGGCAGTTGCATTGTGGCTTAATATAATCAACATTTCAGTTTGTTTGAGTTCAATAGGCTTTGGCTATAAAAATATCCTGCTTGGGTTTCATAACAAAGAGAGCCAGGCTATTTTAATTTCCATACTTTATGGAATTGTATGTGGGCATCAGATAAATAATTTGTTTAAAAGTATTTTCTAAGATTTTTTCTAAGTATTTTCTAACTATTTTTCTAAGATATTTTCTAAGTATTTTCTAATATTTTTGTTTAAAAGTATTTTCTAGAATTACTTTTTTCCTTTTTCCTTCCTTTCCCTCTCTCCCTGCCTCCCTCCCTTCCTTCCTTCCTTCCTTCCTTCCTTCCTTCCTTCCTTCCTTCCTGTTTTCCTCACTGCATCAATCTGACACTAAAGTTACTTCTTTGTGATAAGAATAATGGATGTTATTGCCAAAATTTTATGAATATGTGAATCTAGATTTCAAATGACTTGCCTCAGGCCATCTCACTGGTCCCTGGCTGAGAGAAGAGTGGAAAAGTTAACTTCCTTCTTCAGCTGTCTTTAAGCTTTTTTCAGGATGAACACAGAACCTATTGTGGGGAGAAAGAGCTAAGAGATATTTTAAAGGACACATCACTCTTTCATATTTTTATCCCATGCCCTCACCATGTCTCCAAAGTAGGTGCTAAATATAATATTGTAAGTAATAATAGCTATGATTTATAACAGAACAGGTATTACTTTATTTTTTGCTTTATATAAATTATTTTTATTCCCCCCATTCTAGGAATGTTGGGTTCAAAATACACATTCAATTAACTTTAAATATCCATATAATCATCACAAGGCTAATAATCAATAAACTATCGGTTTTAAGATATTTTTATTTTTCAAAACTAAATACTTTCAGATGATTGGTTATTTAAAGATAATGCCTTATTTAATACCAAATACCAAATAAAACAAGAAGATGGTCCAGAATTCTTGGTGTGAAAAGTAAATATTTTCAAAAGTTAACCTTATGAAATACAAAATAGATACTGAACTAGGATTTTAAATTAATGTCAATCTTTTTACCTAAAACAATGATTTTTCAAATTTAAAAATTGCATAGAACACAATTCAAAATGTCATTTTCCCCAGTTTAAACATAATAGCAAAGAAAAGAGTTAATTTTGTCTACTAATTTTATATAATACATAATGTAAAACACATATATAATGTTTGTATTTTATTTATTTATTTATTTATTTATTTTATTTTACTTTCAGTTCTGGGATACATGTGCAGAATGTGCAGGTTTGTTACATAGGTATATATGTGCCATGGTGGTTTGCTGCACTCATCAACCCATCATCTAGGTTTTAAGCCCCGCATACATTAGCTATTTGTCCTAATGCGCTCCCTCCCCTTGCTTCCCAACCCCGACAGGTCCCAGTGTGTGATGTTCCCCTCCCTGTGTCCATGTGCAGAACGGGTATTTCAAATATACAATTTGTATTGATCCTCCTAAAAATAAAAGGAGGTAGACATATTTCCACTTTATTACTAGTGAGAAAACTAGAGGTAACTTGCTCAGGGGTGTGCGGAAGTATACAGGATGGCCATTCATTAAGTGCTCATCAGATTCTAACGTTGTTCTTCTTTTAGCTGTACAAAACTGCCAAGCTCTGGGGTCACTGCCATACTTATTTACCTGCTCACTGAGGGGAAAATACAAAATTAAAACTCAGATTCCCATGTAGAAACAAGAAGCATACATGCAGTGTACTTGGGAGGGAGCCCCAAACCCTGAATTCTATGAATGCTGCAACTGGATGTTTGAGAGAAATGTTTCTCAATGTTCTCTGGTTACAAGCACGTATCCAGTATAAGCAATTTTTTCTTCAGGCAAATCTGATATATGAAAATCCCCGTTTGCAGAAAAGATAAATTAGAGGATATTTGCTTTGCCCAAGAATTTCTTTGAATCACAGATCCCGTTGCCTTAAAATGTAACACAATGGAAACAAATCATTCCATAATTCATTTAGCAGCACCAGGACTCTTGCTTACAGCAATTCTCCAAAATATTTTACGCTCTGTTGATATGCCAACAAAAACATTCTGACTTCAGTGAGGATGAAGTAGCATTTTTACACTGAGTTTCCGTATTAAGGCACGGTACTGGGTATCAGCATGAACTCTCACAAGAAATATGAGTGCAGTTGCAGTATGATAGTTCTCATTTTATAGATGAGCAAACCAGGACTCAGGGAATTTTAAGTAATTCACCCAAAATTATACAGTCAAGGGTATGAAGAACAGGCATCCCTCGGTGGTATCCATGGGGGATTGGCTCCAGGATCCCTGAAGATATCAAAACCCAAGGATGCTCAAGTCCCTGGTAGAAAATGCTGTAGTATTTGCATGTAAACTGTGCAAGACCAGTCCCGGTGGCCCACGCTTGTAATCCCAGCACTTTGGGAGGTTGAGGCGAGCGGATCATCTGAGGTCAGGAGTTCAAGACCAGCCTGGCCAACATGGCAAAACTCCATCTCTATTAAAAATACAAAAATGAGCCAGGCCCGGTGGCACACACCTGTAATCTCAGCTACTTCGGAGGCTGAGGCAGGAGAATCACTTGAACTCGGGAGGCGAAGGTTGCAGTGAGCCGAGATCTTGCCGCTGCACTCCAGCCTAGGTGACAGAGGCTCTGTCTCAAAAAAAAAAAAGAAACATACAAAAACCCCAAAAACCCCCCAAACAAAAAACTGCACAGTCTCCAATATATTTTACATCGTTTCTAGATTACTTATGATACCTAATACCACGTAAATGCTACGTAAGTAGTTGTTAGACTGTATTGTTTAGGGAATAATGACAAGAGAAAAATCTGCACATGTTCGGTATAGATGCAACCATCCTTTTTTTAAAATATATATTTGATCTACAGTTGAATTTACGGATACAGAATCTGTGGATGCAGAGGGGTGGCTGTAATTGCTAGCTTTAAGGAGCAGCTACTCTAACCTAGGCATTGTCCTAAGCACATTATGTGTTAACTCACGAAAGCCTCATAACAGCTCTTCTGGTAAATACCAGTAATAGCCTCACTTTACACATAAGGGAACCGAGGTAGAGTGTTTAGTAACTTTCCTTAGATCCCAAAATTAGTAAGAGGTGGATGTGAGTTTTAAATTTAGGCGATCTGATCAAAATCCATGCTCATAATCATATTCCTTCCTGAATGGATGTGTTAAATAAGAACACAGTGCAACCACTAATTTTAAAGCATATTTACTTTAATATACCCCCAAATTTTGTTGGTCTGCACAACACTGAGAGGAAATCCAAACAACCAACAAAGGCCCTATGTATTTTGATAGCAAGAGGTAAACCAGCTGGAGTGAATGTACCCTATGCTAGAAAGGCGGGCTACAAGCATCTCGGATACAGAATTCCCAGTTGTTTTTGTTTTTTTCATTCTGAGGAAGGTAGTTCCAAACTTGGTTCGAAGAGCTTAATAAGATCATTAAAAATCTGTATTAAACAAATTTTGTTCTGCCTTCCTTACCACATTGGCTTCCATTTGGGTTGGTTACCTCGTGGTCACAAAGTGGCTGCTGTTGTTGCTTTGGGAATTATATTCTCGCACAACTGCATCCACAAGCAGGAAGAAGTTTCTCCTGCCCACCTCTTCTTCTTTGGGAAGAAAACCCAAATCTGTACACTTCTCTTCAGGTCTTCTGGACTCATGTGGTCATGTTCTATGTTCAGGTTGCCAGGCTGGTAGAAAGTAGGGAAGACTTCCTCCAAAAAGGCCAGGCTGCAGTGGTAGGCTGCAGGTGTGTCACATCTGTTCTAACACTGCTGCTCACCCCTTGTCATTCTGTGCTGATTACAACACATGGCAGAGGCAGAGCTTAAACCAGAAAAGGACTTTGCAATGTCTGCAAAGAGCTGTTGTCACCGGATAGAAGATCTCTTAGATTTGTGGCATTCCAGATCAAAGGTTTGAGTAGGTGGCTAAAAGAGAAGACCAAAGAGGTGTTTAGCGGATTGGGGAAAAGAAGGAGGAGATGGGTTGAGAAAAATAGGTGGTGGATTTTTATCTGACATGGGTTAGGCTGGAGATGGCAAAATATTTTCATTTCTTATGCCAACTTCAATCTCTGGAGCTATCTGTAGGCTCTGGGACCCTGTTTTGGGAAGAATTCTCCTGGTAGAGAGAACATTGACACTTCTAGTCTCTATGTTGAGAATAAAGTAGGAGGTCAGGCTGTCAGTAACGAAGATGCATGGAACAGCTATTGGGTAGGAAGCCAATATAATGCCTCCCCCACAAGAAAGCTTCCAGGTTTCATATTCAGGACTAGACTGTGACTGAACCTATCCCTGCTAATTGGCAATTCTGAAGCAGTTATTATTCCAGATATTGCTGATTAAATGGGGAGCCCAGAATGTTCATCATTCTCCAGTCAAAACTATAGTAGGCCAGGCATGGTGGCTCATGCCTGTAATCCCAGGACTTTGAGATCCATCTGAGGCGGGTGTATCACCTGAGGTCAGGAGTTCGAGACCAGCCTGGCCAACCCCATCTTTACTAAAATACAAAAATTAGTTGGGCATGGTGGTGCATGCCTGTAGTCCCAGCTACTCCAGAGGCTGAGGCAGGAGTATTGCTCGAACCCGGGAGGTGGAGGTTGCAGTTAGCCAAGATCGTGCCACTGCACTCCAGCCTGGGTGACAGAGTGAGACTCCATCACAAACAAACAAACAAAAAAACTATAGTGGCATAATATCCTGACATGTTCTTGACAAATCTATTGACTTAATGTTTCCTTCATTTAATCATAGACTTTTGGGCTGGACAATCCCTTAGAGACCATTAGTCCATATCCTTCATTTGCCAGACGAGGAAATTCATGCTTAGAGAGAGAACATGACTCTTCCAAGATCATACAGATCACACAGTGGTAAGGGCAACATTTCAGTTCAAATCTCTTAATTCAAAAGTTATTTCAGATTGCCCAGGCTGCATCTTCAAACAGCAAAGCAGGCAACTTAAACCATGAAGAAATACATTAGAGATGGTAAATCAACAGGATTGAAGGAGCACGGTGTCTGGTAACTGTAGGCTCTGACATCCTCCTCTCTTCAACAGAGCCACTCAGGTGCAGCCTCTGCAACTTGTTCTTCCACTGTTCCCCCTCCCATAATTGGTGCTATGTAACCTCTAATAATTCAGGTGTCTGACTGATGATGTATTAATGAAAAGCCAAAGACATCCAGCAAAGCCTAGATCCTTCTGTGCTTATGCAAATGGTATTACTGAATGCCACGAGCTCACTAGGGAAAAATTGCATGGTGGGTGGGAAGAGTATCTCAGTATACAGGGAAACCAAACAATGTTTTGAGTGCCTGTTCTAGACATTGTGCTAGGTGCTGAGAGACAACGCTGGGTAAATACAGTTGTGGCCTTTGTTCATGGAGCAAAGAGACTGGAGGGGAAGACAGAAAAAATACCTGAAAATTAGGCTGGAATAAAAATGATAAGTTCTCTGTAGGGAAGGACATGGCGCTAAGAGGATGTGCACCTGGGAGACCTGACCTAGTCTGGGAGGGTAGGAAAAGCTTCCTCCAAAAAGGCCAGACTGCAGTGGTAGGCTGATGTGTCACATCTGTTCTAACCCTGCTGCTCAACCCTTGTCGTTCTGTGCTGAATACAACACATGGGAGAGGCAGAGCTTAAACCGGCAAAGGACTTTGATATGTCTCCAAAGGGCTGTTGTCGCTGGATAGAAGATCTTTTAGATTTGTGGCATTCCAGGTCAAAGGTTTGGGTGAGTGTTTAAAAAAGAAGACCAAAGAGGTGTTTAGCGAATTGGGGAAGGAAAGGAGGAGATGGGTAGAGAAAAATAGGTGGTGGATTTTTATCTGACGTGGATTAGTCTGGAGATGGGAAAATATTTTCACTTCTTATGCCAGCTTCAATCACTGGAGCTAACTGTAGGCTTTGGGACCCTGTTTTGGGAAGGATTCTGAGACCCCAACTGGACTCATTGCAAAAGAGCCCTGTGATTGATGGGAGCCGTCTGATGTGAGTACAGGAGGAGAAGAAAGTGGTGAAACACCTGCCATGTACTTGACATTTCTAACATGGGCAACTTAGCACTGTTGAAAAAAGATGGGTTTTGAACTTGCATTAAATCTTAGCTCTAAAAATGTGTAGCTGTGTGATATCGTGCAAATTAATATCTCCGAGCTTTACTCTTCTGTAACATGGAAATACTATCTTAATGCATTTTTGCTACATCTCATGCTGATAGAACCAGATTGAAGGCAGGCACTGAGGGTTGACTTGAAGCTCCCTTCCCAAGAAAAGCTGCACAATCTCAACTCAAGAGAGCAGAGGGGATTCTAGAAGTAGCCCATGAATACATCCTGTATTCATTTTCTCTTGCCGCTGTAACTCAGCAGCTTAAATCTCTACCCATTTATCAGCTGTGGTTCTGTGGGTAAGGATTCTAGCCTGGGCTCTGTTGATCTCTCAGGGTCTCATGACATTGAAACCAAGGGGTTGGCTAGGCTAGACTCCTATCTGGAAATTATGGGAAAGGTCTAGTTCCAAGCTCATTCATGTTGGCAGATTCCAGTTCCTCCTGGTCATAGGTCTGAGGTCCTCGGTTCCTTGCAGGCTGTAGCTGGGACCTGCTCTGTGCAGCTGGAGGTCACTAACATTCCTGCTCATGTGCAATCTGCATTTTCAAGCCAGCAAGGACCCATCTAATCCTTATGCTTCAAGTCCTCTGCCTCTCTTTTCTGCTTTAAAGGGCTCCTGTCCTTAAATTAGCTCCACCTGGATAATCTCTGTGGCGCTGCTCTAAGGACATGGCTTATCTCTAATAGCTTTGGGTCAATTGATTTGGGAGTTCAATGACACCTGCAAAATCTCTTCACAGCAGCAGCCAGACTGGTGTTTGGTTGAAGAACCCCATTTCCATAGAATGGGCATCTTGGGGGGCCATCTTTGCGGTTCTGCGCACCACACACCCTAACTTGAAGAGTCAGGGGAGAAAGGTGGTGGCAGGTTCAGGAACACAAGGAAACACATGCTTCTTGAAATTCCTCCTGCCAGTGAGGAGCAATCTAATCTGAAGGCAATGGGAGGAACTGGAGGCTGGGGTCCTGCAGGGCTCTTTCAGGCAGAAAGCCAGAGCAGCTCCCCCTCCACTGCCCTAGGAGAACAGTGGCTCCAGAAACAAAGCCAGGAAAAAAGCCAGGCACAGCCATCTGGGAACCTTGTAGCGAAGTCAAACCAAAGACGAGATTTGATAGGGAAAACTTATGTAAAATATGCAAAAGAGACTGCACAGGGGTAGATTTTGCCTCCTGGGGCTCCTCAAGGATTTTTCTTTTCAGTCACCTCCAGCTGCTGTGTCACTGAATGGTAATGTAGATGATTACCAGCCAGCCCTTTAGCTTATGCTCTGTAATAAGGACTCCACAGAAAATAGAGAGACATAAAATGGGCAGAAAGAGACTTACCAATGCCAGGGTCATGTAGAATTGTCCTTGTTCAAGGACGTGTCAACAGGGAAAATGCAATCAGACTGAAAAGAGACAAAAGCACAAAACAAGGCTTTCATAGCACTAAGTTGCATAGGAATGGTTGGTATTGCTTTGAGACATATTTATTACCATAGAAATATTTTAAATAGCATTTGCTTTGTCTCTATAAAATTCCAGAAGATATGGACCAAAGTAATGATGAAAGATGAGAAAATAGATTTATGTGAAATGGACTGAGAAGAGAAAGAAAAACATAAAATGAGATCCCTATGATATTGGGAAGTATTTCAGGAAAATAAAATGCGTACCAGAATTGAGACATGCATTAGAATTGGTTATATATATAAATATTTTAATTTATAAGTAAGTGAGTAAATAAATAAATAAATAAATAAATAAACTCACCATGAATAAAGTATTCAAGCCAAGGTGGAAAATTCTCTTAGAATCCAGAGGAAAAAGACAAATGAAAACTTTAAAAATGAACAAGACATGAACAAAATGTATGATGTATTAATAAGTACTCTTCTGGTATAGATGCTAGAAACTCATCTATCAAATCAAATGAATTTAAATATTAAAGGGACTTTATGGGGTCACATAACCAGGAGGGCTCAGGGTGCTTTGACTTCAAGGGTATTGCTAGACTGCTGTTTCATAATTGGCCATCTTAAACTATTTTAATGTTTATATTGATCAACTTTTATCACTTGTGGCATGGGGCAAAACATTCATTTTAAAGGGTATGTTTATCTACTTATTTCCTCACTATTCATTGTGTACTAAAGTAGATAAAGTGGATCTCATTAAACAGTCCATGAGAGATATTTATTTTCCAGATCAAATGCATTTCTTTTTTAAAAAATTTAGTTTTATTTTAAGTTCTGGGATACATGTACAGGACGTGCAGATTTGTTATATAGATATAAATGTGTGCCATGGTGACTTGCACCTCTTAACCCATCACCTAGGTATGAAGCCCCACATGCATTAGCTTTATCCTGATGCTCTTCCTCCCCTCTCCCTCAAATCCATTTCTTGAAGACCAAATTTATGCTTCTATTTCTACTTTCTCCTTCCTACTTTTCCGTCTTGGCTTTCTATTACGTACTGAGAATTTTCCACTAGGCTTGGGAATTGTTTTCCATTGAGATAAGCATGGACATTTATTTCTGTGCAAATTCTGTGTAGTCATGCTGTTTCTGAGAATGGGGAGGATCTGTGCAGCAAGGAAGCCTTGGTATTCTGAGTGCCTGGCATTGCCCCTCAAAGTGGTCTGGGAGCTTGCAGGAGAGAGTTATGGCCACCAGGTGGTGCTCTGGCTGTTTTCTTTCTGGGAGCTTGAGCAATAGTTCAGCAAAAACGTATACTTTCACGAGACAGGCTGTTACCATTGGTAATTGGGATAGGGTTGCTATGGTGATGAGAGGGTGTTGGGATGTTTATGGCTTTGGAAGACCCAACGCCTGTGAGCTATCAGATTATATCCTTTGATAACAATGGCTGGCATAGCAAGGTCATGAAAATCCGCCAAGATGGTGCAAACCGCAGTGGTCGCTATTCTTCGCACGTTCTTCTGTGATTTATGAGCTGTAACTGGAGTGTTGAGAGTGACAGAAAGTACTTCTTTTAACATGCTTATCTTACTCCACAGTGGATTTTTGCCATTTTCTGTTCATGTTTTATCTCCACCACCAACATTTCTCAGTGTAGTTTTCATAAAAATGCTCCATGAAGAAAGGTTCCATTGGTCCAACACGTGTGGGAAAGATTGCCTGCTAATGCTCTTGGAGACTGACCATGTACAACAGCATATTAAAATATATGAGAATCCTGTTACATTCCCAAAATTCACATGACAATCAAACCCTTCCAATGAAATAGTCACTAACACATAGGGAATCTATCTTCATTTTATTCCTTTAGGGTTAATAAATATTACATTAAGTACGGGTTCAATTGTAATTTAATATGTTCATGTAGGTCTCCCCAACAAGGTGTTGAGTTCTTTTTTTTTGTTTCCAGAGTCTTGCTTGTCACCCAGGCTGGAGTGCAGTGGCAAGATCTCAGCTCACCGCAACCTCCGCCTCCTGGGTTCAAGAAATTCTCCTGCTTCAGCCTCCTGAGTAGCTGAGATTACAGGCACCCACTACCATCCCCGGCTAATTTTTGTATTTTTAGTAGAGACGAGGCTTCGCCATGTTGGCCAGGCTGGTCTTGAACTCCTGATCTCAGGTGATCCACCTGCCTCGGCCTCCCAAAGTGCTGGGATTACAGGTGTGAGCCATGGGGCCCAGCCGAGTTCTTTTTCTTTGGCACTAATCAACAAAGGCTTAGTGCATAACAGAGGCTCAATAAATATTAATTGTTGTTTTGGGGCATCTAAGAAATATTTTCCAATTGAATTATCTATTCATGAATGCCACTGATTACAATTATTCCTATAAATGATCTTTAATGATAAATTTTATTGGATGAATGAATCCAGCATCCAAGACATGGCTAACAACATTAGCAATAAGTCATTAGTACCTTAGCTCGGGATTATTACCATATTCTCAAAAGACTGAAACGCTTTCACTTCTCTACTCTCCATTAATTTTCTACTTCATCACATTTTCCCTGAAGTGTTCAGATCAATATGTTGCTAGCTATTTTTCAGAAAAACACGTTTCTTCTTGTGAATAATCAATTTATGATTGATGATAAAATGTAACCCATAAAAATCCCATGAAAATGCAAGAACACTGAGTGTTTGCTTATATATATCTTGTCTCCCCAAGTAGTCATCCTCAGTAATGGGTTATTGTGTGTATGTCACCATGTCTCCTGCATTTTTTGGGAAAGTGTCATGTATGTCTGAATCTCCTCCTGATGGCCAAAGAAGAACAATAGAATGGCACCCGAGGGTGGTGCTCTTTGTCAAAGCCTGTGACAGGGCACTAGATCGAAGGTATCTGACTCCTTTCCTCAGGGTAACATTATGCTATTTCCACTGATGGGCATCCTCAAATATGGCAGCCTCTGTTTGATTTTGGATTTAAACAGATCTAGGCTCAAACATGTTTCCTACAACTTACAAGTTGCACGAGATGAGGGAAGATATGTCTAAGTCTTCATTTTCTCATTTCTAAAATGGGGATGATAAAACTCACCGAATGGGGTACTTTGAGAGTCAAGTGTAATAATGTATGTAATAAAACAGCAAAGTGCCTGATACGCAGCTAGGTTCTCAATAAATGTTACTTCTCCATTTACCTACTTTTTCCATTGCTTGCCTTTCTCCCAATGTCACTGCAACAGACAACAGCGGAATTCTGGGGTGCAGGGTGGGGAGAAAATAACAGGGAAAGACACCAACATCTGGAGTGGGATTTAAACAACTTCACTTTTAAATTTCTACTCTTTCCAAGCGCCACTTGATGAATCTGGAGCTGACAAATCCTCCCACCTTTCCCTCTCTGCTTTATATTCTTTTATTTCCAGCACACACAAGTATTGGTATTTTAGGCTCACAAACTATATAAATCTAGCAAAGGTGTTTTGGCTGGCAGTGCTCTTAGGGTCATAGGTAGAAGCTTACTTCATTGTAAAATAGAAGCTTTCACAATTTTACCTTGTTGTTCATGCTCAATGGCCACTTTTTGTTAGGTGACTAAGGTTCACGTTCACCTGTTTTTCTGAGCTCACTTCTCTTGTCCGATTCCTTAGCATCCATTGGCTCAGCTACCATCTTGTCTTCCTCCTATAACATGAGCTTTTTCCTTGGTGCTTATCTATCCATATTTTTTTAAACTCTCCAGTTGATGCTAAATTGACAGATTACTTTTGATCAAGCCTACAAGTTATTTTATCCAAAGGTGGACAATTGACTTCTACTCAGGATATTTTAGATACAAATTAATATTTGTCCTAGATTTCATTGGTAATCAATGAATTATTCCTTTTCAAACCTAGTAGATCAACTTAATGACTTTAATTATCAGCCTAAATAAGAATCAATGATCCACACATTTAGCTATTCCAATAGATTATTTGACTGCAGGGAGGGTTGCATAATGATAATTTTTTTTCAAAATCATTAATTCTTAGTTTTACAATACACAATCTTAAAGGCATATATTTTGGCTTTTATACTAATAATCCCCATTATAAATCAGGCAGACGTATATCTGAGATCTTTTTCAGTTAGCTGTTTCAACTTCACCGATTTATTGCAGTTTGAAAGAATTTGTGGATAAAGATTATAAAGAAGTTTCATGTATACAGATTGACAGTATTCAGTTGAGAGTTACCTTAAATATTTCTTTGTGAAATTTAGGCCTATTTTATTTCATTTCCCAGTTGGGTGGGTTATGGGAACCATATCTCATTTAGTAACATGGCGTCCAGCCAATGTTGCTGCATTTGTAGGGAATAGTAATTGAATGAACCATGTGTCCATCTGTTACATGTTCAAGCTCACTTTTACTTTCCAGTCTAAGACTGTGGACCTTCTGATTCCTTTGGTCCCTGGGGAGGAAAAGGCCTTTCTTTCCATATGTAGCTTATTACTTCATTGTGCTTCAAAACAGTGACGGATTCCCAAACTCAGTGGTACTTGGGGTCTGCTGACTGATTCTGAGAGCACATCTCTGATCCCTGGCTGCACAGTGCCCATTCAGTTACTATCAGTTGTGGCTTCTCTTCACTCTTCTTCCCCTAAAATCTCCCCAGGTCCTCCAAATTTCTAATATCTTTCATGTTCTTCTTCCCAGGGTTTACCAACTAACCATCATTGCTGAATGACCACATACCTTATCAGGGAATAATTTATTCATACATCACCTTCTCGTCATTACCCGAGCTTTGAACAAACATTACCTTGGCATCAACAAAATTATCTTCTTTGTCTGAGACACAGTTGCTCCCGCTATAATGTGGTGATAATAGAAAATACTTCTTTTTAAGATTGTAATGAGCATTAATCACATAACCTATGCAAAGTTCCTAGCACATTTTGGGAAGGATTATGGGCATTCCAGGAAGTTAGTTTCCTGTTCCATCCTTATTTTCTTCCTTCCTCTTTCCATTATTTGCTTTCTCCCTCCTTCCCTTTCTGTCTCTCTTTTTTCTTCCCTTCCTTCTTTCTTTTGTTTTTCTCCCTTTGAACTATACATGAATATTTTTGGTATCTCTGAAGACTATGCTTCTCTTGTTCCTCTTTCCATTCACTCCGAAGAAGAGAAAGAGGAGAAGGGAAGAAGTTACACAAAGATTGTCTTTTATCAGGAAAAGTCCAATAAAATGATTGCCTTAAGTCGCATTAGGGGGAGCTCCAGGCTTTCTCCTGGGTTCCACCCTCCCTTTCGTTCCGGGAGCTGTGCGCTTGCATCAGGCACCCAGGGACATATTTAGGACTTTGGGTTAGGAGTTGGTGCTCTCAAGGGAGAAAACCAAGAAATCAAAAGTTCCTTCCACTTGAGATTGCCTCCTTGTTTTTCTTGAGTCAATTCCCCTTTTTGGACTGTTTCTCTTTGTAATTCTTTTCTAATTTGGCTGATGTAGGATGGCGTGGTACTTTCTCCTACGTTCAAGAAGGCAGCACTCCATGGTGCCCTCCATCTCTCAGAAGACAAAGTGGTAACCAAGTTGGGGCCCAGAGAAAAGGGTCTTGAGGCAGACAATTTAAGCCTGTCTATAAACTGGATGAAAAAGAATTCTCCCAGTAAAAGTATCCCAAGTTATCTCAGCAGAGTGTAGAAATACAAAAAGTAGTTTAGCCAAAGTCCCAACATGGATTATACTGTTCCTTTTAATCAAATATCCCCAAGAAAAAGAATATATATATATACACACACATATATATATACACATATATATACACATATATATACACATATATATACACACATATATATGCACATATATATACACACATATATATGCACATATATATACACACATATATATATATGCCTTAGGGTGCTAGTGGGTGAATATAGTTATGAAGGATGCTGATTCAGAGCTGGGTTCAGGGTTCTCTTCTGCCGGATACAAGAGAAACTCTTACTTGAGAAAAGACTTTAGCAGATTGAAAGGCCTGTTATGAAAATAGAAGGCTGATCATTTGGAAGAAGTATCACATAGGTGACTGAAGCTGTGAAAATAACTGCAAATCATGTGCACAAAGTCCCAAATGAGCAAACATGGCTCATGCATTAAGGGAGTTACTCAAGCTGTTATCTGATACTGGTGGGAAAAAGATACATTTAATTCTCTTACTCAACTGGTCTCTAGCTGTGGGAATGTGTTGGGAAACTTTGGAACTGGTGGATATGCTGGGATTGTGTGATGGTAATGAAGATTACAATGTGAGTAATACTTATGATGATAAGATATATGGAAATGGATGAAGAGGAAGGATAGGAGATAAAAATAAAACATATCATATAAAGAAAATAAGATTATTGATATAACAAATTATTTTAATAAAACATGTTTAAAATACAGGGGAAAAGTGAGGCTACATAACAATCAAGAGGTTAGTGTTTAAGAGGAAAAATGTGATTGCCATTGTCATAAAGGCTATGTGCTGAGAAAGATACCAGAGACAGAACCTATGGGACCGCTAAAACTCTTGGCTATATATACCTCAAGAGATGGGAGGTCAAGGTGGGAGGATCATTTAAGGCCAGGAGTTCAAGACCAGCCTGGGCAACATAGTGGGACTCCAAGTCTACAAAAAAATAAAAATAAAAAAACTTAAGCCAGGTGTCGTGGCATGTACCTTTCGTCTCAGCTATTTGGGAAGGTGAGGTGAGAGGATTGCTTCTACCCAGGAGTTCGGGGCTGCAGTGAGATTTGTTTGTGCCACTGCAATCCAGCCTGGGTGCCAGAGCAAGAACCTCTCTCTCTCAAAAAAAAAAAAAAAAAAAAAAAAGAAAAAAAGAGAACTCAGAAGGAAATATATAGATAAAAGTAATTTTAGGAGAGTTACGTCATGGCAGGAACTAAGCAGTTATACCTAGTAAGAACAAGGGGAGATTAATATCATGGTGAGTGAGATAGGAAACTTCAAAACCAGGATAAACCTTCCCAGTAAAAACAATTAGAATGGCTGCACTATACTATATACATGAAGGCATGGGTGGTGAGCTGACTGCATAGTGAGGACTTCTGCTTTTAGCCAGATTGGAGAAACTAATATCAGATTTATCCTCCTGCCTTGAAACAACTAAAAAATTGGACCTATATAAAACAGGACAGCAGGCAGCACAAGATAACGGTGCCTGAGAAAGGAGAAAAAGATGATCCCAACGATGTCCCTAGTCTTTTTATTACAGTGTTTTCAGGTTGCAGTGAAGAGAGGAAAAACTCAGTCAATGCCTAGAGGTCTCTCCAGGTTGATGAAAGAGCTCGGGGTGTGAAGATGCCAAGGCAGAGTTTGCCTGACAAAGTACTGAAGAAGAGAGACAGATGTGAATGGAGAGATACGGAGATCTTCAGAAGGTCCCTTTTGTATCTACAGCTGAATACTGATCTGCTCATGCAAGTGAGTAAATTGCCCAATACCAGGAAAAGATCTACACAAAGGAAATACAGGGACCAATCCCTGGCACTCTGAAAGGGCTGAAAGTAATTTGTGTTCCCATGAGCCAGAATGGAAACCCAAGCAATTCATAGGGTATGCCATATAACATACAGGAAGGTATTGGCTCAACAGTGGGGCAAAATTAGCCCTGGAAAAAAGGTCACTCTCGTCCTATATAACAACACGTAAAGTCTTGAAAAGATCAATCTATTACCAAGTTACTTGACTGTGTCCCAAAATAAAGGTAAGAATATTTATAGGAATACAAAAATATCCAGCAAAGGCCAGGTGCAGCGGCTCATGCCTGTAATCCCAGCATTTTGGGAGGCTGAGGCAGGTGGATCACATGAGGTCAGGAGTTCAAGACCAGCCTGGACAAAGTGGTGAAACCCCATCTCTACTAAAAATACAAAAAAATTACCCGGCGTGGTGATGTGTGCCTGGAATCCCAGCTACTCAGGGGGCTGAGGCAAGAGAATCACTTGAACCTGGGAGACGGAGGTTGTGGTGAGCTAAGATCATGCCATTGCACTCCAGCCTGGTGACAAGAGTGAAACTCCTTCTCAAAAAAAAAAAAAAAAAAAAAAAAAAAAAAAAAAAAAAAAATCCAGCGCATGCTACATGACAAAATTCACAATGGCTAACATCTATTAAAAAATCACTAGGCATGCAAAAGAGTGGAAGGAAAAAATCAATCAATAGAAGAGACTCAGAAATGCTAGCAATGATAGAATTAGTAGATAAGTATATTAAAACAGTTATTAAAACCTATACATATATTGAAACCTACATGTTCAAAAAGGTAAGGAGAACTCGAACATGTTAAGTAGAGACATGGGAGATATATTTTTAAAAAAGACACAAATGTCTATACATGAAAAATCCAATGTCCAAGATAAAAAAGTACAATACCTGTTATAAAAAATTCAGGAGATGGAATTAAACACTGCTGAAGAAAAGATTAGAGAACTTAAAGTCATGGAAATCAAAACTAAAATAAAACACATGAAGGAACATTTTTTGAAAAACAAACAAACAAATGTTAGTAAGTTGTGGAATAGCTTTAAGCACCCTAATGTACAGGTAATAGGAGTCCCTGAAGGAGGAAGTTGGGGAGAAATACACTTTAAGAAATACTGCCTGAAAAAATTCCAAATTTGATGAAAGCTATAAACACTCAGATTGCAAAGCTCAGATAATCTCAAACACAAGAATCAACTCCCTTAAGACCAGTGATCAAGAGAGTCTTAAAAGCAGCCAAACTTTCAAGGGAAAAAAAGCCAAGCAGTACGGGATTGCAACAGCTATTGTAGCCTGGCTGGCAGTCTCCTGTCTTTGTAACCAGTTTAGCTATTTTTGTACCTCACTTTTGTTTTCTGTCCCTAAATACTGCCTGATAACATTGTAGATTAGAGATTTTTGAACCTGTTCTGGTTCTGAGGCTGTTCAAATGATGAATTTTTCTTTTCTCTTTTCCTTACTGAAATAAGTTCTACTAAATATAACTTGTCTAAGGGTTTTTCCTTCTAATAGTAACCACGGGAACCAAACTAAAAGTTGATTAAATTTAATATAATTATGGGCCAGTGACATTTCTTTTATGTTTATAATCTATTTACATTTTTAAGAAATCTAACAGTTTAAAGAAAATGATGTTTTTATTTAAAAAACAATGGTAAGATAATTTAAAAAAATTTTTTTTTGAGACAGAGTCTCTCTCTGTTGCCCAGGCTGGAGTGCAGTGGAGTGATCTTGGCTCACTGTAACCTCTGCCTCCCGAGTTCATGCGATCCTCCTGCCTCAGCCTCCTGAGTAGCTGGGACTACAGGCATGTATCACCATGCCTGGCTAATTCTTGTATTGTTAGTAGAGACACGGGTTTCCCTATGTTGGCCAGGCTGGTCTTAAACTCCTGACCTCAAGTGATCCACCCACCTTGGCCTCCCAAAGTGTTCAGTTTACAGACGTGAGCCACTGCGAATGGCCGAGAAATATTTTTAAAAAGACATGTTCTCACTCATAGGTGGGAATTGAACAATGAGAACGCCTGGACACAGGGCGGGGAACATCACACACTGGGGCCTGTCAGTGGTTAGAGGGCTGGGGGAGGGACAGCATTAGGAGAAATACCTAATATAAATGATGAGTTGATGGGTGCAGCAAACCAACATGGCACATGTATACCTATGTATCAAACCCGCACCTTGTGCATATGTATCCTAGAACTTTAAGTATATATATATACTTTATATACACATACACACATATATAGTATATATAAAGTATATATATATACACACATTCACACATATATAGTATATATATAAAGTATATATATATATAAATTCTGTCAACGTTTGTATGTCTCTCTCTATATATATAGACATACAAAGGTTGACAGAATTTACCACTAGCAGACCATTACTACAAGAAATGTTGAAGTAAATTCTTCAGGGAAAGGAAAAATGATACTAGATGGGAATCTGGGTTTACACAGAAAATTAAAAGCATCAGAAATGATAAGTATGTAGGTAAATATAAGACTTTAAAATAATATCTTAAATCTCTTTAAGTCTTTAAAATACAATTGACTGTTTAAAGCCAAATGATTTTTGAGTTTATACCATGTATATTATGGGGTTTATACTATGTGTAGAAGTAAAATGTATGAGAATAATGACATGAAGCCTGGGATGGGGAAAGTGGAGATATACTGTTGTAAGATTCTTATACTATGAATAAAGCCCATCTTTACTTGAAAGTAGAGAGTGATAAATTAACAGCACATGTTATAAACCTTAACACAACCACTAAACTAATAAAAGATACATCTATGTGTGTTTATGTGTCTCTCTCTATATAAAACCACTATACACACATACAATACACTTGATGTATATATACTTTGTATAGCTATATATTATATACGATGTATACTTCATATATCTACATTATATTTAATGTATATTTTGTATATATACATTATATATAATGTATACTTTGTATATATACTATATATAATGTATAGTTTATATATAATTCAATGAAGTATATAAAATGGAATCATGAAAATATTCAATTTGTATGAAAGAAAGCAAAAACAAGAAAAAAAAGAGCAGATAGAACATGTAGAAAACAAATGGCAAGATATGGGCTTATATCTAACCACATAAATAGTCATATTAATGTAAATAGTCTAAACACCTCCAATTAAAAATTAGAGATCGTCAGATTGCATAAAAAAGCAGGACACAATGATATGCTATTGACAAGAAACCCACTTTAAATATAAATATGCAAATAAGGTAAAGGAAAAAGGATGGATAAATATATACCATGACAACAATGATTAAATAAAAGCTATATTAATATCAGAATACGTAGATTTTAGAGAAAAGACTAATGAAGAAAGTCATTTCATAATGATAAGGAGATAAAATTACCAAGAAAACATAGCAATTCTAAATGCTTAGGTATACTTAATAACATAGCTTTAAAGTATATAAAGCAGAAACTGAAAGAACTGCACGGAGAAATAAACAAATCTGCAATTTGTCAGAGACTTCAATATCCCATCTCAATAAATGATAGAAAAGTAAAGAGAAAATCAGGAAGAATATAGAAGATATAAACAACCCTATTAACAAAGCAGTGAAAAACGGTGAAGCCAACCAAAATCTGGAATAAGAAGGAAATCTAGAGGTGAACTCCCGTGGACTCTTTTCTGTTAGGGGAATCTATCAATTCAAGAAGAAATGGCTGAGTGTCTAAGAATTTGACCAGAGTTTTTGACAGCATCCTGTGCCTGTGGGTACAAAACTTACAGTTCAATATGTACTAAATATGGAAGCCCCAAGAAACACGCTGGATTGAAACTTCAAGAAGCTATACCTTAGAAACAATGCTAAATAAGAAATGGATCAGGATTAACAGCTTCACATCATTTTATTTGTGAAATTATCTTTAATCCAGAATTGCTGGTATTCCTGGCTGTTTGCAAAAAGCAAAGGTAAATAATTTATAGAGGAATATATCAACATCCAGAACTTTAAATGTCTAGTAAACAATAAACAACTAGGCTTGGGAGGAGACAAGACAATACAGTAAGTACCAGAATTTAAAAACAGATAACAGAAACAGATCCATGGCTCTAGATAATGGAGTTATCAGAGGCAGAAAATCTTTATTATATTTAAGGAGATTTATAAAAAATATTTTTATATCCTCAGAGAACTAAACATTATGCAAAATGAACAAAAATTCTATATGTATAAAAACGATATTAAGAACTCAATGGCTTGTAACTATATAGTTACAAGACTATATACATATAGTTACAAGACTATATATAGGTACAAGACTATATATATAGGTACAAGACTATATATATAGGTACAAGACTATATATATAGTTAAAGACGGTATATATATAAAGACTGTATATATATAAAGACTATATATATAGTTAAAAACTATATATAGTTAAAGACTATATATATAGTTAAAGACTATATATATATAGTTAAAGACTATATATATAGTTAAAGACTATATATATATAGTTAAAGACTATATATATAGTTAAAGACTATATATATAGTTAAAGACTATATATATAGTTAAAGGCTATATATATATAGTTAAAGACTATATATATAGTTAAAGACTATATATATATAGTTAAAGACTATATATATATAGTTAATGACTATATATATAGTTAAAGACTATATATAATAAAGAAAGAATTAGTAAACTGGAAGGCAGATCTGAAAAAATAGCAAGACTGAAAAACAGAGAGAAAAAAGGATAGAAAACAGAGAAGAGAGTGTAAGAGACATAGGGAGTGCATATATGCACTTTGGACTCTCAGAAGGAAAGTATAGAAAGAATGAGTTATAAACATATTTGAAGAGACCAAGACTGAACAACTTTGCCAAGTAGGAAAAATGTATCAATCAATTGATAAATATCAGTTGGTTGATTCAAGAATTAAGTTGCGGCTGGGCGCGGTGGCTCACGCCTGTAATCCCAGCACTTTGGGAGGCCGAGGCAGACAGATCACGAGGTCAGGAGATCGAGACCATCCTGGCTAACACAGTGAAACCCCGTCTCTACTAAAAATACAAAAAATTAGCTGGGCGTGGTGGGCGCCTGTAGTTCCAGCTACTCGGGAGGCTGAGGCAGGAGAATGGCGTGAACCTGGGAGGCGGAGCTTGCAGTGAGCCGAGATCGCGCCACTGCACTCCAGCCTGGGCGACAGAGTGAGACTGTCTCAAAAAAAAAAAAAAAAAAAAAAAAAAAAAAAGAATTAAGTTGCAAGCCATGTAGACATACACAAAAAAGCACACTTAGGCACATCATGGGAAAACCAGTGAAAACTAGACAGATGAAATAGTTATCTTCCCAACAAATGAAAGATGTTGGAAGATAAAAAAAAAATAATGCTTTCAGATGCTGAGTATAGCAGCAGCTCAATTTTCATACCTTCCAGAAAATGAAGATGAATGAAGAAATTTCCAGAGAAAAACCAAAAACTGCCAGATGAGAACAACATTTGAGGAGAGAGCAATGATAGGGAGCTGTAAGGAGAACCCTTTCCAGAGCTCACACAGAGCTGAGAATCATCCAAGTTTACCAAGCCAGAGTGGACAGAACACACCGAATACACAGAGCATTTGGTAGGGACGTCAGAAGGGTCATGTTAGTTTTTTATCTCCATTTGAATTTCTGCTACAGGCACCTCAAAATTAATTGTCACAAATTAAATAACCAATTCCCACTCTACCTTTCTAAAATTCGTCTTTCCCATCTCAGTGAGTAAAAAGAAACATCCGCTTGTGGCTTGTCAGAAATCTGGTTGAATTCCTGATTCCTCATGCTCTCACCAACTTCATCAGCAAGTTCTATTGTTTGTTCCTCCCAGATGTATGCATTTAAGACCTTCAGTTTTCTCTATTTCCACTGCCAACCTCCTCATCTCTCATATCTCCCATCTTGATTATCATTTCTCAGCTGGGCTACCATTAATTGGTGTTTTCCTAGCCAACTTCCAATTCCTTCTCCACATAGTAGCCATAGGAACCTTTCATACACCTTAAATCATACTGAGCCATTCTCCTGAGCTTAAATTCTCTAGTAGTTTTCTATGGAATATGGAAGAAAATTTTATTCTTTGCCATAGTCTTGTCTCTGCAAACTTCACTCACCATAGCTTTATGCCTCCCCCTCACTACTTACCATTCATGACAGCTGATTTTAGATTTCTTAAACATGTTGGTAAGTTTTCTGCTGCACAAGTTTTGCTCATGCTATTCTGTTAACTTGTATCCAGAAGTGATATTCAAACATTTCAGTATGGCAGAGGCCCTCCAATTTGGCATGAACTTCAGCCAATCATGATGGACATCTGGCAGCACAAGGAAAGGACTAGGCATGCATTGGCCAACAGCAGCCCAGCCTGCATGCCCTCATCACAGATTATATTCTTTCTCACCCTTTGGGTCCCAGCTGAGATGCTACCTCCTCAGAGAGGCAAGCCTTCTTTTTCTGTTTAAATAAATCTCTTTTTTTCTATTTTGCTCCATCACTGTAGTAGCTATGTTGGCATTTATCACAATGTTTAAGAATTTGTTCGTTCATTTGATATCTCCTTCAATAGAGTATACACTCTGCAAAAGAGAAACCCCATCGGCTTTCTTTCACAATGTCTACTTAGTGCCTAGTGTAGTGTCCAGGAGAAAGTAAGTGCTCAGTAGATATTTATTGAATGAATAAGCGAGTGAATGGCCAGGACAGGCTCACTCAAGGTGCAAACGTAACTGTGCATCTGGAGTAGATCATCATAGGAGAAGGATGTAGGATGAGGTGTGGTTGATCCTTTTCTAACTTGGTGGTGGAGTCACCCCTAAACACACAGAATTTTGAACTGGAGAACTTTGATTTTAAGGGGTTGATACTTTCTCTAAATTATCATGCAGATTTAAGGGACTGATATGATACTCCGGGGAAATCAAGTCATGTTCTACTGTAGCTGGATTAAAGGGTCTTAGAGGATATTTGTGCTGTAATAAGTGCAGGTAAGGTGTCTAAAGCTCTGGGGAGTACTGGAAGGTTGCAACTAGGAACATTTGGCAGAGGAAACACTGTTCTCATGAATCTCAGAAGCATCAACAGTAGCTACACAGGGACAGAGAGAGCCTTGGGGTGGAGAGCTATTTAAAAAATGAGCTTTGAAGAGTGGGAATGTATGCTCACTAATTTCCTTGGAATGCTAACTTTTAAAAGTGTGGATGTCAGAGTCACAGGACAGAATTGTGGACAAACTCATATTCAGTTTACGCTTGGAACACAGCAACCCAAGGAAAACCTAAAGGAAAATCATGAGTTTAAAATATAGGAGTTAGGGATGGAGGTTGCACAAAAATGACCTGGAGACTGGGAGTCCCATTTTTTTTAAAATGTCCCCCTAGGTTTTTGTCCCCTAGGTTTTCCCATGGGACAAAAATGTAAATTCCATATGCTAAGAGAAATCAGTTTGGACAAATGATGGACTTTGCCCCTCTCCCTTCCTGCTTGGATGCTGTTATTGTCACAGATAGTATCTATAGGAAAGACACTTTTCAAGTGAATTAAAAATTTTAACGTAACTTTTACTGGCTTTTTAGAAAAGCAACACATGTTTATTATATGAAATTTGGCAAGTATAGATAAGCAAAAAGAAAAAACTAAAAATAATCCTACCACTTAGGTAAAAACAGTTAGCATTTTATTCGATAGCTTTCCAATCTTTGTTCTATGCATGCGTACCTGTCTTTGCATATATATTCTAAAGTATTTCTAAAATTGAATCATTTGGCGTATACTTTTTGTAATCTGCTTTTTCCATTTGAAATTGTGTCATTAACATTTTTTCATGTTATTAATTTTTCTCTTACAACAGTGTGTTTCAATGGTTGTATTAATATTCATTTGTAAGCACATATCATAACTAATCAAATTAATATTTTTTGACAATGAGTATTTTGACTGTTTCTTTCTCAAAATGTGTGTACTGACTTACAAAAACAGTGAGGGGGTGTTTACCCATGAGGACAAGTTTTTTGCATACATTCATAATTAATCCCCTAGGATACATTCCAAGAATTGTTAGCTCAAAAAGGATATAAAAATCTAAGACTTTTGAAATATACTGCCAAACTACCTCGCATAAAGTTAATCCACTTCACACTTTACACCAACGCTATACCATTTTCTCTACCCTCACCATTCCAGGATAGCATCATCTTTTCAAACATAGATTCCAATAATTGAATTTCATTGGTTTTATTTGTATTTCTTTCATTATTAGTAAGACTAAACACATGAAAAATAATTTTTTGCGTCTATATTTCTTACTTTGTGAATTCGCTGCTAACATCCCTTATTTATTTGCTCTATTGGAATGTTTACCTTTTTCTTATTAATTTACTCTTGCTCTTCATATCAGGAGGTTATTTAACTTTTGAAATAGTTTGGGACATATTTATCCCAATTAGTTATATTTATTTATTTTTGTTTTGTCATTTTCTGATGCACAGATATTTAAAAATTTTATTTAGTTAAATCTAGTATTTTTTTTCCTTTAAGGCCTCTGTTTTTGGTTTAATGTTTGGAAAATTTTCCCCTACCACACAGTTATATAAATATTTATCTGTTGCTTCTTCTGAAACTCTTGGATTTTATTTCCTGCCCTAAGTTTAACTACTCCATCTGGAATTCATTTGGATGTATGGATTGAGGTAAGATTCTGATTTTAAATTATTACAAACCAGTTATTTGTTAGTATTTTTGTGTAATCCTTCTTTTTTCCACATTGAATGTTCTAAATTTCTTTAACACATAATACATCCTTGTGCATATATTACAGTTTTCTGTGATTTTCTTTTCTGTCCCACTAATCTATATTTTCATACCTGTTCCAGTATTATTTTAATAAATATACTTTTATGCTTTAAAATAAAATAGAATAACTCTTCTAAAATAATTTTATTTTGGCTCAAATTTATCATGGCCAACCATGAAGTTAGCAATCCAGAACAAAAGAAAAACTTTAAAAACAATTTTCTAGGTCATTTCCAAATTCTATTGGATATTTTATAGAATTGTGTAATCCAAATTGAGGAGGAGTGAAATTTTGACTCATTGAATATTTTCATGTAGGAGTAGAATGGCATTTTTCTACAATTATTCAAGTCTCCTTTATGTCCCTGAAGTGCTATGTTCTAAATCCAATAGTGTCCAAGCTGAGGCCAGGCTTCCCACAGGTGCTCCCAGCGATGACAGAGCAAAGCAGGGATTCTAAAGCAGTCCAGGTTCTGAGATGCCAGGGGCTCCTCTAGTGGGTACTCTCTTTCCCTTGAGGACTCCCATCAGCCTTGCCCAGACTATCTTATAACTGCATTACAGTCTAAGGCTCATTCTATTCCAGTTTCCTTCCTTCCTTCCTTCCTTCCTTCCTTCCTTCCTTCCTTCCTTCCTTCCTTCCTTCCTTCCTTCCCTCCTTCCTTCCCTTTCTCCTCCACAAGAGTCAACTCTGCCCCTCCACGTGATGACTTTCCTGGACTTTTTCAACACTCTTCCATTAGCCTCTCACAGGTGTTCTCCCTCAATAAATCCCTTGTATATTTAATCCCACCTGCAATGTCACTGGGCTTTTGAAAACCAAGTGAGAAGACAAGTGTCTGTTGATAGAAACCCTTCAGTAAATGTTAACATGTGAAAGCAGTGAGTATTATATTTTATTGTAATGTCTAATTTTTCTATATAGATACATCCACTTTCCCTTTCCTACGTTATATAACTGTGGACTTTTGCTTTTACTTTTTCTCTTGAGTAGACTAGCCAGAAATTTTTCCATGTTATTTTCTTTTTCAAAGAACTAACACTTGTGTATATTTATAAATATATTTATTTCAGCTCATTAATAGAATAATTTTTAAAAATATTAAAAAAATTAAAATTTATCAATATAATCCCACTTTGTTGAAGTTCGTTTTGGGGTTCACTTTCCAATTTCCTCAACTGAATGTTTAGTTCATTTATTTCATTCTTACTGATTTAGGAATGAAAATGTTAAGGCATTCAATTTTCCTACGAGTATATCTTTGATGGAAATTCACCCATTTTGATATGTCAGGTTCTCATGGTTTCATTTTGTAAATAATTGGTAATTGCAGTTTTGATATACTCTTTGATTCAGTAATTATTTGGAAGAGGTTATTTTTACTTCTCCATTGGTTATTAATTTCCATTTTTATTATAATAATTTTACAAACACATCCTGTACAAACTCTCCTTGAAAAACACATTGAAATTATTTTGTGGCCTAATATGTGACAAGTTAATGTAAATGTTCCATGTTTGCTTAAAAATACACATGTATGATTTAAAGTTTGATACATAGTATAGCTATTGAGTCAACCTTAGTTACATTACTTAGCCTCTGTAATCTTCTTAAGTTTTTATTTTTTTGCTATTTTAAATTCCTCCTTACTACTGTTTTCTATAAAATTCTCTTTCTATTTCTAATACAATATAACTTATTCATTCCACCATTGAAGGCTCTTTATTGACCACCCAATATGTGCTAGGAACTCTACTAGTTCTTAGTCTAGTAATAGAATAGATAAATAATCCCTGGGACTTTTCATTCCGCTGGAGGCAAACAGACAATAAATAATATAAATAAGTAAAACAACTTGTATGCTAGGTGCAGATAAGGATTATAAGGAATAATAAGACAGGGAAATAGAACAGGTTGTTGTCAGGGGAAGGGAGTTACAACTTTAAATAGGGCGGTCAGTGAAGACCTCACTGTCAGACAATAGCTGAGCAAAGATCTGAGGAGGTCAAGGTGTCAGGCTGCAGCTCTCTGAGGCTAGAGCAATCCATGCAACAGGAACAGCAAGTGCTAAGGCCCTGAGGCAGGAGCACTCCTGGTGTGTTCACACAAGAAGTAAACCAGTGTGCTTGGAGCAGACGCAGCTAGAAAAAGAGCAGTTGGAGATGAGAGATCCAGCACATAACATTCACAACACGTGTTCATTGTGAATTGTACCTTTTACCAGTTTAAAGTGGCCTTCCTGGCTTATTTCACATTGTTTGCATTAAACTCAACTATGATATTAATGATATAACCTTCATTTTTTAGCTTATCTTGCACAAATGACATTTATATGTTCCATAAGTGTTAAATATTTGATGTCACTATCTTTAAATATACCTCTTAAAAACATGATAGGTACATTTTATTTTTGATAGAATTTAGCTGTTTACTTTTAATTTCCCCCAATGTTTTGTTAATTGGCAGAGGTGAGTAAAATGGTAACTTTTGGGCACCACGCCCCTTCAAAACAAGGAATTAAGTTCAGCTATATTCTCACTTCTCTTCTAAGAACATAAATAAGCATATAAATAAGGGCTTTATATTTAGATGATATTGTGTATGTATATCTGTGCATCTTATAATTATAGTTGTTGTTAGATCAGAAATGGCTTTCACATTTGTCCCACTCTGGGCTCTTATATCTTGATGATGCCTGTAACTGTTTCCAGCGTGGCCCAGACTTGGTGATATACGAAATACACTCCCCTGCTTCTCTCCCCTTTCACTCCTCTGATGCCTCTGTCCTCGGAGATATTCCCCCAACCACTTACTCTAACATATCAAATTCGAATCAGGAGGTATTGGCTCAATTTATCAAATGCTTTATTATGCATTCCTCACATTAGTAGGTTTCCAGAAGTTTCAAAGTCAGACCTATCTGACTTTGTGGTCTAGTTTGAATAGCTATTTCCACTCTCGGGGTATTTGCCTAATCTCACGTTTTAAAACTCACTTGTTATACTAGGTGAATGCTGATCAGGCAGCCCTTGTACAGCCTTGCTGCGATTATTAATTTTCCAAAACTATCTGGTTTACTCATCATTCTACACACGCACCATTCCCTAGTTGTGTAGACAGGAAGGAATATGTATGTATATGTGTATGTGTGTGTGTGTGTGTGTGTATAATATGTATATAATATATACACACACATATACGTATACCTGTTGTACACACACACACACACACACACACACAATACATATATAATATAGGCTTGATAGAAAAAACATCGCCAGGCACAGTGCTCATGCCTGTAATCCCAACACTTTGGGAAGCTGAGGCAGAAGGATTTCTTGAGCCCAAGAGTTTGAGACCAACCTGGGCAACATAGTGAGAACTTGTCTCTACGAAAAGTTAAAAAAATTAGCTGGGCATTGTTGTGTATGTCTGTAGTCCCAGCTCCTAGGGAGGCTAAGGTGGGAGGATCACTTGAGAGCAGAAGTTCAAGGATGCAGTGAGTTATGATCACACCATTGCACTACAGCCCAGGTGACAGAGCAAGACCCTGTCTCAAAAAAAAAAAATTAATATCCATCTACAGAGAAGTATATGGCTACACTCTACAGACAGTTTGAACTTGACAGACCTAAACAACTGTATATTTAAAATGCCGTCTCATGGAGCTTATAATTTAGTTGGGGAAATAAGATATAAAAAATTAAAAAGGTTAGGAGCTACTGGATGAAGTTTAAAACAGTAATAAGGCAGACAACACTAGGCAATGCCTAGCATAAAGAGAATAAAATTTGGCGTGAAAGAGACTTGGATTTGAGTCTTGGCTTTGTTATTAACTGCGTAATCTTAGATTTGTTATTTAATATTTCTAAAATTTAATTTCCTCAAATTATTGCGGTAATAGTAATATTCCCTTACAGAGCTGCTATGAGGATGAAATTTAATGGAGTGGGCATCTTATACTGCTGACATTGCAGTTTTTGACTGTGGTGATGCACTTTGTAAAAGCCTATCTTTTTGCCTTTGTTGGGTAACATAGTGACAAAATTTGAGAATGGAAATAGATTGTAGATGGATTTCTTAGTCTAGGATATAATATGATTTGGGGGTTAATTTAAGTGAAATGGTAATTACAATCTTAAAGGAGCTTCTGGGAAATGAGCAAAAAATGTCAACCGACACTTCACAGAAGAGGAAATGAACATGGTGTTTAACATACGGCCAAAAAATGCTCAGCTTTGTTCATTGGCAAGCTGTGGGAAATGGGCAGTCTCACACATTGCTGACGGGAAGTCAGAATGGTGTAACATTTGCAGAGATGAATTTGGCAGTATCATAGTATCAAAATATCATAGTCACTGATCAGTTGACCCTGTAATTCCAGTTCTAAGGCTCTATCCCAAAAACATTATGGGAAAAGCTATTAAATAGCTAATATTCAAGGTTGTACACTACAACAATTGTGACACCATAAAAATGTAGCGTAAAGGACTTGATGATGGATGGCACATTCATAAAGTGGAAAATTATCCAGTTATAGATGAAACAGGAAAATGCGTGGGGTAGATTTGGAGGTGAAACGTCTCTGAATATACATTTTGTTATGTAATTTTGGCTTCCAAAACCTATAAATGTATTACATACTTAAAAACTATATCTAAAAATGAAAAACAACCTAAAGTAAACACTAACAACTAGTTTTTAAATAAACCACAGATAGAAAAAAATTATTTCTGTCTTAATATTTAAAACAGTATTTTGACTATACATTTTTAGTGAAATACATAGTAAGGAAACATAAAAAAGCAAAATTATATTAAGTTGGATTCCATAGTTTGTTAGGGGTAACATTGGAATTATTATTTTGAATCTCTTTTAAGCATATGATAAGATATTACAAACAAATAATTATATTAGGAATGTTTGAAAGCCAAATTTTCAGTGTAAAAAGGGAAGCGTAAGTGAAAAATTAGAGAATGTAAGTAAAGCTCTATAATACCTGAACAGGAAATATTAGTATGAACCTTTGAAATTTTTATTTCAAAATTACATATTTTCTAGATTTGTCCATTGAAAAGGCTAAAAAGAAATGACAGCCCATAATCGACGGGTACATTCCATTGACTGAGACTGTGATCTTAAATATTATTGCTATTGGAGAACACCAAGAACCCTGGAGAATAACTGAATGCCGTTGTGAGAAAGGAAATATATATTAAGACCCTGGAATGTTCCATTGGGCCTAAAAGTAAGCTAAAAAAGATGCATAGTACATGTTCAAAACACACAGGTGCCAAAAAAGAAGGGGCTCCCATTGGCCAAAGATGAGATATATGAATATTAAAAAGAATAATGAATGCAACTGGTTGAAACATACTTGCTGTATAGAAAGCCAAGAGTTCAAAATGATACTTAAGAAAAAGCTCATTGAACACCACTGGAAGGAACAAAAGTAAAAGCAACTTGTCTCAAAAGCCAGGAACTAAAAGTAAAGAATTAGACATTTATTCCATCTTTTCATATGACCTATATTTCAGAGTTATCACAAAGCCTGATAAGAGTTATCTTATCTAGATGATGAGATAAAGCGTCCATTATTAGAGAAGAGCTCCAGCTAAAGCTGTGAAGGCAATCATGAAATGAAGACTCACCATTTTGCAGCAGTTCATGATCACCAATAGATGAAGCACTAGGTGAAAGGTTGATGGGAAGCTTTATAGCGGGGGAGGAGAGGAGATCAGACTGCCACCTTCTGAATTCATTGATCGGTCATGCATCACTAACCACGGGATGTCTAGAGATTGTATACCTCCTGGTGTGATATGATATGAAGCTCACAGCACTACTGATGAAGGATTCCTGCAAAAAAAAATAATTGAACCTAAATCTAATAAAACGTGCAGGGTTAACTACCATTTACGGGAAACACAAAGAAGATGGAGAAACAAGCAAACACCATAAGGAAACAATTACAGAACATGGAACATTTTATATGCGGTTAACAGTTTCTGCAACATGTCAATGACTGGCACACGAAAAACTAAGAAAGAAAACCTCTAGATTAAAAGAGAATTCAGACATAACCATTAAAGGTAATGAGTGGACCTTGTTTGGATTCTGATTTGAATCAATGAAATGTAATTGACATTTTTGAGACACCTGGGAACATTTTTTATGGACTGGGTATTACAGGAAACAAAGGAATGACTGTTAACTTTATTACATGTGATAATGGCATCTTGGTTACATAAGTAATGTTTTTAGAAATGCCTTTTGAATTATGTACAGTGAAATGACTTGATGTCTGGAATTTGCTTTAAAATACTTCAATGAAGAAGAAGAAAAAAGAAAGTAAAAAAGAAATAACTGAAGCAAATGTGGGCAAAATTTTAATAATTGTTGATCTAGGTAAAGACTATATGGAGGTTCTTTATTTTCTTAACTGCTGTTAAAAGAAAAATTTAGGCACATTAAAATCTCAGTGAATTTATTTGGGCATTCAGTGATTCATGAAACAGGCAACACCAGACCTCAAGTGGTTCAGTGCTCCACTGTAGGAGTGTGAAGGGGGAACTTTTATAGAGTGTTCCTGGAAGAAAGATAAAGGAAATATTTGATTGGCTAAAGTGGAAAATACCTAATTAGAGGTTAGTTGGAGGTTCCTGATTGGTAAAGTCTCCAGTTAGAGGTGAGTTGGCAGTTTCTGATTGGTTAAGCTCAAGTTTCCCTTCACTGTTTACATTGAGTTGGGTTTTGGTGTGCTTATGTGGGAACCCAAGGTGCTGGAGCTGTCTTAGCCTAATGCCCACCCACCCCCCAATTAATCATTTTAACACTTCTAAGTATGTTTGAAAATATGCCTAATACAATTTTAAAACCAAAAGTTACTTTGGAAAATAAAATAGTAAAACAACTTCTGGGGAAAGCATCAAAGAGTCATTTGAAAACCGTCTTGAGATACTGATCTTAGGACAAAGGGAAAAGATAAGAAACAGTCTCACTTAGATGCAGGTCTTTTTTTGGAATTTTGCTGATTACTTCCCTAATGGAAGTACTAGAACCTTTGGTAGACTTTGGATCTCGCTCCTTATATTAAGAATAAATGCGTTTTTTTTTTTTAAAGAAGTGCAGGGAATGAAATTTTCATGCTATAGCTGTTGGGAGCCGAGGATGTGCTCTAGATTTCTCTGTCAATTACTCTTGTACCAGGAAGGATATGGCTGTACCAGTCAGCAGTCTAGGAACACCTGCTTATTATGGGCTTTCTGGGAGAGGAGTCAAGTGGTTAAGTGTTCTTTCTTCTATATGGCTTGCTTTCTTGGTTCATACAATCTCTTTCCCCATTTAGACAGCTATTTCTTGTTTTGGAATTTGTTTCATATGGCTAGGGAATAGAAAAACATTTCTTTTCCTCCATTTAAGCCACATTGGGAACCAAGGTGAGATACAGGTGGAGGGGCATGGGGCAGCCCTTAGACCAACCTTTCATATAAACCAGTGCTTTTCAAAGTGTAGTCTACAGAACGCTGTTGGTGGGGGGACTTTCCGAAACCCTTTCAGAAGGATCTGTTAAATAAAACTATTTTCAGTATATACCAAGAAATTTTTTATCTTTTCCAATGTGTTGACATATGCACGGAATGGATTTGTTGCCAATGATGCAATTCAAACTATCAACAGAATATTTAGACATTAGAAAAATGGAATTTTGCAAACCTTACATCCATCACTGTTAGCCTGACAGCTGCCCAACATTAAACACATTTCTGATGAGACCAGAAGTGATAATAACAAATGTGATTTTTTGTTACTGTAATATGGAAATGTGTCAACATTTGGAAGACATGCATAACTTAGTGAATCAATATTTTCCAAACAACTACTGTGTGATGGTCTGAAATCAAACATGAGTAAAAGATCCATGCAAAATGCAAGATAGACCATGGATGTTAAGCCACATTAATGAGCAAAAAGTTAATTGACCCAATTTTATATCTTTTTTTGCCTTAAGAAATTACTATTTGTTGAACTTTTGTGTAGCAGTAATAATATCCAGAATTATCTAAAAAAATTTATAAACTTCTTTATTTTCCAATTAAATATATGATTTTTTTTCATATAGCTTAACTAAAACAACATATTGCAACAGATTGAATGCAGAAGCAAATATGAGATTCTAGGTGTCTTCCAGCCAGACATTAGAAAGATTTGCAAAAATGTTAAACAATGCCATTGTCCTCACTAATTATTTTTGTTTTAGAATCTGTTCTCATATTTGATAAAAATGTGTTATGTATGTTTATATATGTGATGGGTTTATTGTTATTTTTAAATGAATCACTACATATTAAGAATGTTATTAGTTCTAATTTCTAGTATGGTAAATATTGACAAATATAGCTCTCATAAACAAAAGCTTTTAGGGGCTGTGAATCAATTGTTAAGAATGCAGAGAAGTCCCGAGGCCAAAAAGTTTTATAAGCCACTGATCTAGGTTATGGATACTGGTCCATCATGGCTTGGGGCTGATCCTTGGGTTTGGGCCCCAAAGAGGATTTCTTTGCTTGTAATGTCCCCTGTATAGGTAACCATGTGTCAGTAAATACCAGTTAGGACACCAAAATAGTTCATGACCTTTCAGAACCATCTGTTGGTTCAAGGTACATGGCCTTGAATTCAGAAGCATCTGTTTAGAAGCACCAGGTAAATCAAAACTTGCCACAACTGTGTGGGAGTTTAACTGGGGCTCAATCCCTTGCTTTTTTTTTTTTTTTAATAACCAGGGTTTTGGTTAATTCCCTCATGGGCTCCTGAACCAAAGGACCTGAAATGAAATATATCTGCAGGCTGAAGATGGTTTCTTCTCATGAAGAGCTGGAATTAGGACTAAATTTGATATGTGAAATTGGGTTGAAACATTTAATTACTGCCTCTAATTGTTTTAACAAATTCAACAAAGGGTAACCTTTGTTCCTATGCAAGTGCCTTTCAAAAGTCAGATGGTAAGTTCCGCATTTAGACTTGACCCCCTATCTTGGCTTGACAATCTGTCAAGGGTTCATGAAATCCACTCCCTTGAAATCCAGAGGGCACTTAAGCTTCCAAAGCACAATATCCACAGGCACTTGCTGACATGTTTTTCCGTAGTCTCCCTCATTGGGGTGAAGTTTGCAAAACAAGTATTTCAGTTTGCCCTGTCACATGATAGCCCCCAAAGGGAATCATCATGTAACTTCAGAGGGCTGGAAAAAAGCAGTCATCCCTGCCGTGCATGATATGAAGGTGGACTCCCTGCTGGGAAGGACTGAGGCACTCTCGGCATAGGGTGGGGGCTCTCTGAAGGCTGTGCTTGTTTAAGTTTAAACTGTCCCCTCTTTTGGGTGGTTTCTCCTTTGACTTGCATCATCTCCACTGCTTGCAGTTGCTGAAGTTTCCTGAGAAAGTGCATAATGGCGTTTTCTGGGCTTACCCTTACTCCAGAGAGGCACTTGTGTCTCCAAACTCACATCTTGGGCAAGAGGCTCTGTGGAGTCCTCCTGGGTCCTTCAGGTCCCCAGGTGACAGCTGGGCCATTCCTGGAGATCTTGGGATGATGAAGAGGGAGCTTGAGGGATGAACTGCCCAGGATTTTGACGGATCCTATGAGCACCACACACCCAGCCCACTAGGTTGGTGCCACTGTGCCTCCATTTGGAAGGCTGAATCATTCAGATCTAGCCCCAGATCATGGTGAAATAGAAAAAAGTATTAAAGTGAGTGGCTAGGGTCTACGCTCACTTTTGCTGTAACAGCTGAGTGATGTTGGGCAACTCATACCACCTCTCTGAGCACATTGTCTCATCTGCAAATGGGTGAATTGGGCTCACATCCCTAAAATTCCTTCTGGCTTGGGCATTCATGAGACCATTTCCCAGCTACAGTGGGGAATGGCCCTCAAGAGAATAAATAGGTGCAAGAAATCACTTTTCTGGCTTCTTCCAATAGCCCTAGTCCTGGTGTGTTTTCCTATGAGGAAGGAAAAGCCATCACTCCCAGCAGCCCCAACATGGGCATCTAGTGGGCAATGTGTTGGAGTACATAGGGAGAACAGCTGGTAGCAGATTTTCCTGGTGGAATAATAAAGCTCCAGGGATTTCTGTGCGCCTGACACCCTTCAATGTGCTTTGGGTGAGTAACTCAATAAAGCCTCACATTAAGCCTTTGAGGTAGAGACTGTCTACCATCCCCATTTTACAGACGGAAAAAGTGAGGCACAGACATGTTAAGTGGCTTCTCCAGCATTACACAATGAGAGATGGGAAGAGCTAAAATTCAAAGCCAACCAGTCTAGCTTCTGAGTCTAGACTCTTAACCACAACTACCCCAATCTCCTGTTTCTCATCTGTCTTCTCAAGTCACTCCTGCTTTGGCTGCATGTTTAGAATCTCCTAGGCCTGGCCCTCATACATGTGGATGCCAATTGAATGTCTTCCCAAATTGGAACCCCATCACTGGTCTTTGCCCTCCCCATGTCACAGCCCATGGGTGACAAATGTTCTGCCAACACATGTATCTACACATCATCTATTACTCAGGTCTTTTGTCATTTAGGATAAGAATTAGCCACTGGCCTACATGTAGGGATAGCTTTGACTCCACCCTTAGCCCCACCCAACTTACAGCATCAATTTTGGGCGGAATGGGGTTATCCCTTTCAAATAAAACATTTTTGTGTGTGTGTGATGAAAAAATGTAACTCCAAAGCCTAAGAGAGGAGGGTAATCAGCATGTACAGAGATTAAAGGGCTATGATTAATATATTAAGTCCTATGCACTGGCTGTCATTCCTACAGGCCAGTATAATAACACAGTCATACTCAGGTAGTTTCTGGCTCTCACTCACTAAATCATCACATAATTCATTGGTCTGACTTTTCTTATTCCACGTTTGACCTCTTTTTGTTACATAAGCATTGATGATGTTGAGCTGAGATCATTCCTTCTAATCTTTCACTCCATATTCACCCTCTTCTCTGCCTGTATGATTGTCAATATATTTTCTCTCAATTAGATTACTCTTTACTGGAGAGCCGTGGAAGCACTGTGTCACAGACACTCTTACAGGCTGTCAGAAATCATTTCCTATCTAGATTATGGGTTTGAAAACACCCCCATTTCAGAGATTAAAATGTTTGGCTATTTTGGAAATGAAAGTAGCCTCAGAAAAATTAATGTGAGATTGCTCCCAATGTCACAATGCCAGTGCATTGAAAGAATGCATTTTGAAAGGAAATGAATTTTGAAAATGTCACAATGCATTTTTGAAAGAAACATATAGGATGTTTTAAAGGAAGGTTCATTTTATTTTTCCTGATTGTAGACTGTCCTGTAATTTAGAGAAAAAACAGTGGAGAAGACTTTTGTTTTCGTCGTTGCATGAGTACCTGATGGCAAGAGCCTTGGGCATCCCCATTGTGCTCGTTCGTCACCTCATTCAGCATTATTATTATTATTATTTTTATTTCGTTTTTTTTTTTTTTGTTTTTTGTTGTTGTTGTTTGTTTTTTGAGATGGAGGCTTGCTCTGTCACCCAGGCTGGAGTGCAGTGGCACAATTTCGGTTCACTACAACCTCTGCCTCCCAGGTTCAAGCGATTCTCCTGCCGCAGCCTCCCAAGTAGCTGGGACTACAGGTACCTGCCACCACGCCTGGCTAATTTTTGTATTTTTAGTAGAGATGGGGTTTCACCATCTATAGAACTTCTGACCTCAGGTGATCCACCCACTTCAGCCTCCCAAAGTGCTGGGATTACAGGTGTGAGCCACCGCACCCAGCCTCAGCATTATTCTTTTCCAGTAATTCTCAATAGGGGGGAAGTGTGTTCCCTCAATCAGGGGGAATTTGGAAATTTCTGTGCTGTTTGAGTGGTTTGTCACAATGACAGAAGGAGTGCTACCGGCATTTAGAGTTGGGGTGGGTGGTGTGGGATCAGTTCTATAATGTCCCAGGAAGTCTTTTTTTTTTAAAGGCTTTATTGAGATATAATCCACATACCATATAATTCACACACTTAAAGTGTACAATTCAATGGCTTTTAGCTGTGCAGCCAATCAATCAATTTTAGAACATTTTCAGTATCACAAGAATAATAACCATTATTATGCCCCATTTCTCCCCTTATTCCCAGCTCTAGGTGACCACAGATCTACTGTCTTTTTCTATAGATTTGTCTTTTTGTACATTTCACATAAATGGAGTCATACAATAGGTGGTCTTTTGTGACTGGCTTCTTTCACTTAGTGTAATGTTTTCAAAATTCATCCATGTTGTAGCATGTATCAGCATTGTATTTCTTTTTATTGCAGAATAATATTCTATTGCATGGATATACCACATTTTTTTTTATCCAATCTTCAGTTAATGGACTTTGGGATAGTTTCCATTTTTTGACTCTCTTTAATGCTATGTATATTATGAACATGCATGTGAAGTTTTTGTGTAGACACATGGTTTCATTTCTCTGGGGTATGTTCCTAGGAGGATAATTGCTAGGTCATGTGGTAACTCTATGTTTAACATTTTGAGGAGCTGCCAGGCTGTTTTCTAAAGCAGCTACACTGTTTTGCATGCCCACTAGCAGTCCACGAGGGTTCTGATTTCTCCATATTCTCTCCGACACTTGTTATTGTGTTTCTTTTACTATAGCCATCCTAGTGGATATAAAGTGGTATCCCATTGTGGATTTGATTTGCATTTCCCAGATGGCTCATGATGTTGAATGTCTTTTCATGTGAAAATTGGCCATTTGTGTATATTCTTTAAAGAAAAATCTATTTAGGTCCTGTGTCCATTTCTAAATTTGGGTTATTTGCCTTTTTGTTATTAAATAGTAAGACACCTTTATACATTCTAGATACAAGCCCCTTATCAGATATATAGTTTATAAAATTTTTCTGTCATTCTGTTTTTTTTTGTTTTTACTTTCTTGATGGTATCCTTTGAAGTATAAAAGTTTTTAATTTTTGATGATACAAAGGCAGTCTGAACAATAAATTCTCCCCCCAGAATGCCAATAGCACAAGCACTATAAAAGGTCAGGCTAAAGGTAGATGATTTATGTTAGTTTCAAACCAATGGTTTTGATGCTTACTGATTTCTGTATATCCACAAAAGTCTATTTTGCCTTTTCCTTTTTAAAAATATAACTCATATTTGGAGTGAGACTTTTCAACTAAAATATTTTGTTTATATTACTCAGCAGAGAACAGCTCAGATATAAGTGAACTTGTTTTTTGCCCCCTTGCCATATTTTATTTCTTACTAAACATCAGGCTTGAAATGGATGAGATTGATGTTTAGCTGGGAAGTGTTACATTATGATTATATCCTAACATTTTTAGATCACATGGTGTGCTTGTCTGTGTATGTGCCAAAGTCCAGAGACATGAAAAAAACATGGTATTTAGAGAAAATAAGAAATTCAACATTCCTAAGCATTGCCCATTTGAGTAGTGGGGGCAGGTAGTAAAATGGAGGTCTGAGTAGGGGAGGAGAGGAAAAACTATGAGAAGAGAAAAAGGAAAGTAAAAGAGAATGAATAAATATGGAGAAGAAGAAAAGAAGGAAGTGGGAGGAAGAAGAAATGGTAGGACAGGAAGAAACAGAAAAATAGAAAAGACAGAAAGACCTCTCAGGCATGGTCTAGGGGCATCTTGGGCACCTTCCTCAATCTCTGCTCACTGCCTACCTTCCCATCGCTGGGAGAGGATCCACAGTACCCTGTGTAAATCTCTAACCAGTATTTACCATCCAGCATGATATAGCGAGGATGCTGTATTAATTCATTTTCACACTGCTGATAAAGACATACCAGAGACTGGGTACTTTATAAAGAAAAAGAGGTTTAATGGGCTCACAGTTCTGCGTGGCTCGGGAGGCCTCACAATCATGGCGGAAGGTGGAAGTCATGTCATACATGGTGGCAGACAAGAGAGAATGAGAGCCAAGTGAAACAGGTTTCCCCTCACAAAACCGTCAGATCTAGTGAGACTTATTCACTACCATGATAACAATATGGGGGAAACTGACCCCATGATTCAATTACCTCCCACCAGGTCCCTCCCAAACACATGGGAATTATGGGAGCTACAATTCAAGATGAGATTTGGGTGGGGACACAGCCAAACCATATCAGATGCCTCTCTTCTCCCTTTAATGTGTATTGGAAGGCACAGAGTGTGGCTTTTATACCTGTCCTCAGCCCTAGTATAGTGCATGGGCACAGTAGACCTGAGGCATTATAGGTGTAAGAGCAACTGCAGTCCATGAGCTGTGGTATTACTTGTAACTGCCCCCAAGGGATCTGGATCCTGCGGGAGGCATGGCTGGCTTTCGAGAGCTGAGCTTATCACTCAGGACCCAGCCACATCCTGGCATGGATTTGTTCTCTCCCAGTTATGACTGCACTTTAAATGGGAAGTGTTAGAGTAGAATTTTAAAAATTGGAGTTTAATTGAAAGTCAAGAGTCTGTTAAATGTGTTTAAAGGAAGGGTAAAAGATAGGCAGGTGGGTGAAATAGAAAACCATTTACAATTTCCTTGTGTGTGACCCAATCGCAGTATGCATGAGGGCAATCATACAATACGTTAGTGATCTCTGGTCAACACAACCAACTAATCAAAAAATAAAAAGGAAAGAATGAGAGGACTTGTTCCTTAACAGCTTTACCTATGTCCCAAGTTTTAAGCCACTGTTACAGGCCACCTGACACCCCTGATGGGTTTGTAATTATCTTGTGAAGTCTTCAAAGTCTTTCTTTAGACAATTCTATAGCCACTTCTTTCTTTAGACACTTCTTATTGTGAAATGATGATGTCAAAATAAATCCAGCAACCATAATCCCCCAGGAACGGAGTCCTGGGAAAGATGCTGACATCTCCATTTCAAAGAAAGTAAGAATGTGGGAAGTCCATCCATGGAAATGTTCCCACAAGAGATTAGCCACTGGATATGCATTTCGTATTTTGTTATTTATACTAATATTTCCCATCAACACAAAATGTAACTGCTTCTGGTTATTATTGCTACTTTCAGATATCATTTCCTACAAAGGAGCCTAATTTAGATAAAGCCAGGCAAGGCATGAATGCCTCTGTTCAGGCAGGCCAGCATGGAGGATGTGGGAAGTGACAGCCCAGCTGTTATCCAGTGGAGCTTAATTATTGCCATTTATGCACATGCTGTGTGAGCAGCCTAATCAGCTTCGGGCATGGACTTGTCACAACTCAATGTCTAGATTCTTCTCCATCTACGCAGCAAGAAGCAGTTATCATCCCTCACAGGACAGCCTCTTACTGGTTGCTCGTGTCCTGGCTTCATTGCTCTGTTGATTGTAAGACTGTCGATCAGTGTTTGGAATCACCGCTCCATTCAACAGAGCTGCTTAGAAGTCAATCAAGAGCATATTTTCAATTTAATTACACCTGCCCTTGCCCAATGTGTAAAAAGGGTGGTGGATTAGTTCTTTCCTCTTTAGTAAAGAATTTTTCATAAAAATGACACCAGTATCATGGTATGTATGTGTATGTGTGTGTATAAATGTGTGTGTGTGAGTGTGTGTGTGTGTGTGTGTCAGGGTTTTCCAGAGAAACAGAACCATCTCTCTCCAGAGAGAGAGAGAGGGAGAGAGGCGGAGGGGGGAGACTTATTATAGGAATTTGCTCATGTGATTTTGGAGGCTGCGAAGTCCCAAGATCTGCCACCTGCAAGCAGGTGAATGAGGAAGCTGGTGGTGTAATTCAGACTGAGTCTGAAGGCCCAGGACCAAGGAGCCCTTGGTCAACGGTGGGCATCCCATTGTCCCAGTGCAAGGCCTGAGGGCTGAAGAAGAGGGAGGAGAAGAGGAGGAGGAGGTTTGTGATGTTGCAAGTCTCTGAAGGGCTGGAAAACAGGATCTCAGATGTCAGAGGGCAGGAGAAGATGGATGCCCCAGCTCAAGGAGAGAGAGGCCAAATTTCTAATTCACCCTGCCTCTGCCTTTTTGCTGTATTTGGGTCCTCATCACACTAGGTGATGTCCACCCACATTGGTGGGGATGATCTTCTTTACTTAGTTTACCAATTCCAATGCTAATCTCTTCCAGAAACACCATCACAGACACATCCAGAAATTATGTTTTACCTGGGTTATCTGGGTATCCCTTAGCCCAGTCACACTGACACAAAAAGTAACCATCAATATATATATGTGTGTGTACATATATTGGTAAACATATATATGTGTATATATACATATACATATATGTGTGTGTGTATGTGTATATATATATATATATTTGATCTCAGCAAGTCATACTTCCATTATTATTGCAACTTATTACTTTGCATATTTAAGCCCAAGTGGAGGGAAAACATAACAGAGAGCTCAGAACAACTAGGATCCCTCAACTCAAGGCATTTAACAAATTTCCAGCATGTGGGAAATGTGGGCAGTGAGTTGGGCAGTCTTAGATGAAGAGAGTAGGTCCCCATGAATGGGCTGGGATCCCTCTTAGATCTTCTATTTCTGCATCAGTAAAAGCATTTCAATTGTCAAAAGAATATAAGTGTGATACCTCATAGTAATAGAGACACATGATATGCAATCTCTCTTTTATCTTTTATAGAATTATTATGTTAAACTCCAAGTTCTTTTTCTGTCACTTGAGAAACAGTGGCACAGCTAGTAATTTCAGCGCCCTGGCTAATTTAATTTGTATCCCATAACCTGCAGCTCTTACCTTTGAGTCTTTTACTCCCTTCACCCATATAATCTGTTTCAGTAAAAAGCACATAATATACACACTTAACTCATGGGAATTTAATTACCCACTTGTGGAGGGAAACCTGCAATGGTAATTTCCATTGTCATGCTCCTCAGTGAGCTGATGCCCACAACACCTCCCTTGCCAAATATACAATGAGAGGTTTAATCTACTCTTCCCTAAATGGTTTCAGCTCCTATTTGTCTCTTGTAGCATCAATGTGATTTTAGTGTTTAGATGTACATTTTAAAATATAATATTACCTCTAAAGCCAGGCATGGTGGCTCGTACCTGTAATCCTAGCACTTTGGGAGACTGTGGTGGGAAAATAGCTTGAGCCCAGGAGTTTGAGACCAGCCTGGGCAACATGACAAAACCTTATCTCTACAAAAACTACAAAAAGTTAGCAGGGCATGGTGGCATATGCCTGTAGTCCCAGCTACTTGGGAGGCTAAGGTGGGAGGATCACCAGAGCCTGGGGAGGTCAAGGCTGCAGTGAGCCATGATCTCGCCACTGCACTCCAGCCTGGGCAACACAGTGAGACCCCTTCTCAATAACTAGCTAACTAACTAAATAAAATATGATATAACCTTTAAATAGAAACCAAATACTTTGGTGGTCAACTTAAGTTCTATTGTTGAAAGAAAAACGGACTTTTTTGGACCTATGAAGAATTGGAAAATCAGTCTCCTCCCTAGTTATGCATACTCTCCTTTTTAGCTACTTAAGGGCTCTTCGAGAATATTTTTCTACAGCCTACCAGCCTACGTGTTATCTTTTGCTGTAGACTTTGGAACGTGACCCTGTGTAATGTGTAACTGTGGCATGGACAATTGAGCCAAGATCCTTTCATTCCTTGCTTTCAGTCATGCCTGTAACTTTATCAGATAACAAGTCTTGATAGAATTCTCTTTTTTTATTTTTTTAATTTTAATTTTTTAGTTTTTGAGACGGAGTCTTGCTCTCTTACCCAGGCTGGAGTGCAGTGGTGTGATCTTGGCTCACTGCAACCTCCGCCTCCTGGGTTGAAGCGATTTTCCTGTCTCAGCCTCCCGAGTAGCTGGGACTATAGGCGTATGTCACCAAGCCCAGCTAATTTTTGTATTTTTAGTAGAGACGGGGTTTTACCATGTTATCCACGCTGGCCTATGCTTTGGAAAAATATGAATGTTTGCTGTTGCTAACCTTTTTATGTTCGGTCTAAATTTACTCACCACAACAAGATTTTCCTCTGGTGTGCGCCATGAGGGTCGTGGAGTTACGAAGTGTGAGCGAGAGGACACCAAGCCCTTTTTACAATCCCCGTAGGATGGTGACTCGTCCAGTGTCCCACAGCAAAGTGCAGGCAGATCAAAGACCTTTGTTAAAACAGATAGATTATACATTAGCCACATTCCACTGAATAGGATTGAATTCCATGTCATACCATTGAAAAAGTAGTTTTTGAAATTAAACTAACGTTACTACTCAAGGGAGAGCGTCTCATAAAGAATGAGCTGGGACAGCAAGGTTCTGATGAAGGCAGAAAAGTCCAGAACAACAAAACGCACAAAGAGAAAAGGTCTTCGCAAAGAGCCGCACGGAGGGATCTGGTCTTTGGGGATGGCAGGGGGTCAGGGTCTTCTCCAGAGACACTAGACATTCAGGACCTGTCCAGAGAAGGCTATGTCCCGGGGGAAAGGGCAAATGGGGGAACAGGCTAGTGTTCACAAAGACTGAAGAACAGCCTGGTATCATCCCAGCTCCTGATTGGATAAAAGTAAAATTTCTCATCCTACCTGCCTGCTGGAAGAAAGATAAACCCTCCTCGAAGTAAGATAATATATTACCATCCAGAGCCTCTATAGTTTTTCACACATAATGCCCAGCACTCAAAAAAAAATTTACCTGGCATGCCAAGACACAGAACAATATATTAGAAAAAAAGGAGAGAAAAGGCAATATGTACAAACCCATAGGTGATCTAGATATTGGAATGATCAGAAGTAGATTTTGTAATAACCATGATTAACATATTCAAGGAAAAGATGGCAAGATGGAAAATTTCACCGCAGACCTTGAACCTATAAAATAATCTAGAACTTAAAAATACTATAACTAAAATTAGAAATTCAATCGTGGGTTTAAAAGCAGATTAGACATTGCTGAAAAGAGAACTAGAGGAATGGTCAGTAGAAAACAAACAGACTGAAACTCTGAGAAAGTCGAAAGGATATAAAATAGAAAGAGGGTGTAAGAGACACATGGAACCCAAAGAAAGTGCTTGTGTGATTTTAATACCAGATGGAGAGAGAGCACATAGGGCAGAAGCAATATTTGAAGACAATTAGCTGAGATGTTCCCCAAATTGATGACAGACTCAAGTCACAGATTTGATAAGTGCAACAAATCCAAAGAAGTGTGACAGAGGAAATCCATACCTGGGCCCCAAGCAGTAAAATGGTTAAAGTTGAAAGACAAAAAAAGTCTTAACAGGAGACAGAGAGAAAATGACCTATAAACCTCAAAGTGCAGGTGACTTTTCAACACCAACAACTCAAGCCAGGACACCATGGAATGACATCTTAAGCATTGAAAGAAGTCACTGCCTATGCAGAATTATATCCAGTTAAAATGCTTTTCAAAATGAAGAAAAAATAGAGAAGACATTCCAGATGAACAAAAACTAAAAGAATTTGTCACTAGCAGAATTGCATGGAAAGAAAAACTAAAGGTTGTCTTCATGCTTTCCAGGTAGGCAGCATGGAAATTTAGGAAGATATAAAGAGCAATAAAATATGTAAGTATATACAAATGAATATTTACTATATAAGACACTGACAACAATATCTTGTGGGGTTTAAATACATGCAGAATAAAGACACATTATCAATAACACAAAAAGTTTAGGTTGTGGTAAATAAAGAATTCTATGATCCTTTTATTCAGAGAGGTGATAAATGCATGAATTTATACTATAATATATAAGTCAGAGATGTATGTTGCATCCTCTAGGGTGCAGATTAAAATAACATAGAATTAATGAGTGAATGGAGAAAAAAATAATAAAAATAATTAATCAAAAAAGGATAAGAAAGAAATAAAAAACAAAGGAACAAAGAAAAAATGGGAACAAAGTAAGATGACAGATTTTTTTACTCCAAATATTAATTGCCTTAAGTTTAACTGACAAAATACTCTCATTATAGATAAACAAAAATCAAAGATTGTCAGACTAGATTTTTAAAAACTATCTAAATGCTGCTTACAAGAAGCTCTCTTTAAATATGAGAATATGGAAGGCAAGGAAATTCAAAGTGTTGGTAAGAAAGATTCAAATGATAGGTTATAGAATTTAAGCAAAATAAAGAACGGATTAAACACAAAAAAGCCTACAAATAGGGAGGAAATAGATCAGACGTTCTGCCTTGGCCACACATTAAAATTACATGGGACAGTTTTTGGTGGTTTGTTTGTTTTTAACTAAACTTATTTTGACATAATTGTAGGGTCATATGCAGTTATAAGAAATAATACAGAGAGTTCTTGTGTACCCTTTACCCAATTTCCCTAATAGTAACATCTTACGACACTGATGTTGCACAGAACATTTCTATCAGCTCAGTAATCCCTCAAGCTGTCCTTTTATGGCCATTCTCATTTCCTTCCTGCCCCCATCATCTCTTTGACCCTGAGCAATCTGTTCTCCATTTCTGTAATTTATCATTTCAACAATGCTATGTAAATAGAACCATATATTTTTTAAATTGGTTTTTGCATTCCGTGTAATTCCCCGGAGATTCTTCTGGGTTGTTGCGTGTGTCTACAGTAGCTCCTTCTATTGCTGAGTGGTAGTCCATATGGGTGTGCCACAGCTTGTTTAACTGTTCACCCACTAAGGGACATCTTAGTTGTTTCCAATTCTTCCTTATTAAGAATAAAACTGTTATAAACATCTGTGTATGGGTTTTTTTTGTGAACAAGACTTTTTATTTTTCAGGGGAAAATGGAAGAGTACCACTGCTTAGTTATATGGTAGTTGCATGTATTTAAAGAAATTGTTAAACTGTTTTCCAGTGTTGCTGTATCATTTTATATTCCCATAATATGTTAAGAAATATATTCCCAATGTTTCTTACATTTCTTTACATCCTAGGAACAAATTATCATAGGCTAATGAATTGGTGCTCTGAGTGGCCAATCTTGGGTTATGTATGTGCGTGACCCTGGGAGGAGGAAGTTCAGTTCCATCCCAGCTACATGGCCTAAGGCTCCTCAATATAAAAATAACAGCTACGAAAATTCATACTTGATTACCTACAAGATACCAGGTAGTGTTTTAAGCACTTATAGATGATATGGTTTGGTTCTGTGTCCCCACCCAAATCTCATCTCGAATTGTAATCCCCACAAGTAGAGGGAGGGCGTGGTGGGAGGTGATTGGATCATGGGGGAAGTTTCCCCCATGCTGTTCTCGTGACAGTGAGTGAGTTCTCATGAGATCTGATGGTTTAGAAGTGTGGCACTTCCCCCACCTCCGCCATCTTGTGAAGAAGGTGCTTGCTTTTCTTTCTTATTCTGCCATGATTATAAGTTTCCTGAGTGAGGCCTCCCCAGCCATGCAGAACTGTGAGTCAATTAAACCTCCTTTCCTGATAAATTACCCAGCTTCAGGTGGTTTTTTTTTCTTTTTTTTTTTTTAGAGGGAGTCTCCCTCTTTCACCCAGGCTGGAGTGCAGTGGTGCGATCTTGGCTCACTGCAACCTCTGCCTCCTGGGTTCAAGTGATTCTCCTGCCTCAGCCTCCCAAGTAGCTGGCATTACAAGTGTGTGCCACCATGCCCAGCTAATTTTTGTATTTTTAGTAGAGATGGGGTTTCATTATATTGGCCAGGGTGGTCTCGATCTTCTGACCTCATGATCCGCCCACCTCAGCCTCCCAAAGCGCTGGGATTACAGGCGTGAGACCCCGCGCCCAGCCTCAGGCAGTTCTTTATAGCAGTGTGAAAACGGACTAAAGCAATTGAATTGCTCCTTTCATCCTCTCAGCAATATAGGTGCTATAGCTCTATTGTACAGATGAAGCACCTGAGTCCCCAGGATTAACTAACTTGCCTAAAGTTTCACTTTAGTACCGGCAGACAAAATTCCAAGTCCGCTAGCCCAGCTGCAGAACTGTGTTCTTCTCCACTCCACTGTGCCTCCCCCAAACAAGGGAGAACGGTGACTGGGCAGGTAAAATTAATAAATTCATAAGAAGGTCCTTCTTGTTTGGGGGTTGTCATCCCTTTGTCAACTATTTTTACTTTTCCTTTGAAACATGTTCCTTTCAAGCATTTCTCCCACCCTCCACCCATTAGAATTTCACATAATCTCCTTGCATGAGCCTAGAAATGCTGTTGCCCTCACTCTTGCAGGGGTAGTGGTGGGAAAGCAGATGCTGACACAAGACGGATTCCCTACCCCTTATTAGGTCACTCTCATAAAGAAAAAGGAGGACATTTTGGGAGGCTGAGGCAGCAGGATTGCTTGTGGCCAGGAGTTTGAGACCAGCCTGGGTAACATAGCCAGATATTGTCTCTACAAAAGAAATAAAAATAAATTAGACAAGCATGGTGGCACATACCTGTAGTCTCAGCCACTCAAGAGGCTGACATGGGAGGATTGCTTGAGCCCAGGAGTTTGAGGCTGCAGTGAGCTATGATTGTGTCACTGCACTCCAGCCTGGGAGACAGAGAGAGACCTTATCTCTAAAAATAAAATAAAACAAGAAGAAGGAGGAGGAGACCTCAAAGCAGAAGGCAAGCTCTGCAGTCTCTCTGGATTCTCTACATTAATATAGCCTCTCAGATTTCAGTGAGAATGAATATTCTCTTCCAGTGGGACAGCAGCTGTCTAGCAAGGTGGCTGCTCTCTCACTCCCAGCATGTGCTGGCTCAGGCTCGGATGGAACAGCATTATTTTCTGCTTGACTTTCAGATGACCCATGCACAGCGCACTGTCAACACCTCTTGAAGGGCTGGCATAAGCTTTATTCATTCATTCCATTGACTTTGCTTTGCTTGGGTGCCAGCACAATTCAGTTCCAAGGAGCAGCATCAAGCATTCACCAAGCATGGATTGGAATCAATGATTTGAATGTTTAAATTTTCCAAAAATCAATAAAGACATTCATCTTCACATAAGGGTAACAAAACTTCCCTCTAGGAGCTATACAGGGGGGCCTGGAGAAAGGAAGTAAGGGTTCCAGAGTGATCTTCAGCCTTCTCAAATCTCCCTTGCAGGGGCATTGGAGATGGGAGGAGGCTTTAAGAGAGGAGGAAGGTGATGGACAGATAAAGGTGGAAAAAAAGGAACACTAGAGAAGAGAATTCAAGTAGGGCATGGTTGGCTGAAGACAGACAGGGAAGTCCACTAATTCTGATCTTTTTGTTCTCTCCTTTCACTGTCAAACCTCATCACAGTCACATTTCCTGAGCTGATAATTTGGACATAAATTCATACCCATGATCTGACAGTGGAATGGGCTATTTGAGCTTGGGTTTCTTTTGGAAATAGAGGGTAGGTATATGGTTGACATACTCATGACCCCCCATTTGTGTTTTCTTTACTCTCTTCTTATGAGGGACAAATTGTATGTAAATTATTTATGTTTGTTACTATAGATGCAGATATGGCAACAGCTAAAATGTGCCCACTGGTGAGGTTCTTATAGAAAGAGGTTTTTCACATTTTACAGGCTGAAATAGCATTTCATTATCACATCACAGATCCATCTAACTGTTCTTTATTATAACTCTGAAGCATCATTTTAGTGACTAAAATGCACACTTATTAGATTTCAGTCCCATCGTACATGATTCTAACCAATATTCAGCACTAGTCCTTTTTTGTTTTCTTGGCAGTATTTTTTTGGAGGGAGAACCCAAAGAATCAATTGACTCCACAAAAGGCAATGTCAGAGCACAATGATTTTTTTTACTTCCTGCAATTAAGGTAAATTTAACCCTTTCCTGAATATAAACCATTTAAAAAGTATGCTGCATCTAGGCTGAAGATTGGAAATAATGTAGGAGGCGGGATTTGACTCCAGAGGCTTGGCTCGGACACCAGAACGGATTGAGGACTAGCTAAAACAGGGCCAAGGCAAAGCAGCTTTTAATCAGACATGCCCATCAGTGTGCCATGTCAATTTACCGTTGCCATGGCAACACTGGGGCGTTACAGCCCCTTTGCATGGCAATGACCCAATGACCCAAAAGTTATTACCCTTTCCCTAGATATTTCTACATAAACCACCCTTTAGTCTGCATGCAATTAAAAGTCAGCATAAATACGACTGCAAAAGTGCTCTGAGCTGCTACTCTCTGCCCATGGGGTAACCCTGCTCTGCAGAAGTAGTCACCAAGCTGTAACACTTCAATAAGGCTGTTTTCTTCTGCCTCTGCCTTGCCCTTGAATTCTTTCCTGGGCCAAGCCAGAAACCCAGTGGGCTAAGCTCCACTTTGGGGTTTGCCTGACCTGCATCAGAAATACCTGATGGAAGTGGGAATCTATTCTTATTTTTAAAAAATATTTATTTATTTTTATCAAACGAATACATGTACATTTTTTTTTTTGAGGCGGAGTTTCACTCTTGTTGCCCAGGCTGGAGTGCAATGGCGTGATCTTGGCTCACAGCAACCTCTGCCTCCGAGGTTCAAGCGATTCTCCTGCCTCAGCCTCCCTAGTAGCTGGGATTACAGGCATTCCCCACCACGCCGGGCTAATTTTTTTTTTTTTTTTTTTTAAGTAGAGACGGGGTTTCTCCATGTTGGTCAGGCTGGTCTCGAATTCCTGACCTTAGGTGATCTGCCGGCCTCAGCCTCCCAAAGTGCTGGGATTACAGGCATGAGCCACTGCGCCCAGCCTACATGTACATATTTTTGTAAGCTGAATAGTAGCAAAGTGTTTACAATGACAAAAGAGCAGCCTCCTAAGCCTTTCTTTCCCACCCTAGATGTCTACTTCCTAGAGGCAACCACTGTATATACATTTAGTTTGATTAATCTAAATACACACTTAAATTAGTATTTCTTGTATTTTCAGTTTTCTATCATCAAAACTATCTGGTGACTTCTAATGATGGAAGTCAAGGATTTCAAATTTTTTCACCATGTCACACACACACACGCACAGATATCCTCATGGCGGAATTCTAGCACATTTCTGCTTAGATCAAGACTCGGCGTATGCAATATTGTGAAAATGTAAATATTGCTCCCTGATGAGCTAAGTAGGATATTTTGTTCACATTTCTGTGTCAACTTCTTATTTCCCAAAGCAGATTTCTTTGGATTTTTTTTTTCTTGGCTTTGTTAGAATTTCTTGCTGTTTGTATATCCTCCATCAACAATGCAAAATACTACTTGATCCAATTTTTCACACAATGTCACCAGTTCCCACCCATCCCCATCTTTTTTCCCCCCGATGTCATCCCTTCTGGAGCCCTCTGCCTTCATTTCTAATGTGGACTAGCTTTCCTCTCTTGACCACTTCCCAGTTGTAGTCCTGGGACCTCCCTTTGCAATTCATCTGGGAATTCCCATTGCCCTTCCCCTGCATTGGATCACCTATTTTATGCATCCCTTGGCTTATCTTGGTTTAAGGTGATACTAACTGCTATTTAATATAACAAATATATCTCAAAATGTATTGGCTGAATGCAGTAGAAGTTTATTCCCATCTAACAGCCTGATGCAAGAATTGAGTGTGTCTTTCACAAAGTGGCTGATGTGCAGCAACTCTCTTCATCTTGTCGTTCTCCTGTCCTTTAGGGTCTTGATGTATTTTGCTTTCAGCCTGTAGAAAGAGAAGACAGGATTGTATCTGGGAGGATTTTATTCCATTGGCTAGAACTCAATTGATCAAAACAGAGAATTTTCCAGAATTGAAGAAAGACATGAATCTTCAAGTTGAAAATGTTATTTTGAATTCTGAATCCTCTGTAATACAGATGAAAATAAATCCACACTTAGACTCATTATGGTGAAAATGAAGGTCTTTGTGATATTGGTTTATGACTCACAGCCCCGTTCTCTTTCGTCTCCATACTTGATTTTGATTCATGATTCAGTTGGCTGCAATATATTCTTAAGTAATTTTTCCCCTTTAAGACTGGTGTATCTTACATGTCTTGAAATCTGAACATGGCAGTGGCCTTCACATATGAATGACAACTTCGTGGCTGTATCCTTTTTGTTCTCAAAACTGTAGACCAGTGTTTTTCTAAAGGACGCAAATCCCCCATTCCCCATACTCCAGAGGGATATTTGACCAGATTTGAAGACATTTTTGGTTGTAACAACTGTTGGGGTTTGGGGGTGCTATTGACCTCTAGTGGGTAGAGGCCAGGGATGATGCTGATCAACACCCTACAATGCATGGGGCAGCCCCCCACAGGCCCCAAAGTCAACAGTGCTGAGATTAAGGAAACCTGTCCTAGACATTGCCTCATTGTTTTTGTTGTTTTCTGATACTGAAATATGTGGCATGTCTGACATCAATCACATTTTTTTAAATTTGTGAGGTTTAAAAAATTTTATAATTGAAACGTAACCAGATTTTATAACGTGAAGTCCAAGTGTAGTTTTTTTACTTTGCGATTCAACTTTGTTTTTGGCCCAGGGGAATTTTCAGTGGTTTGTGCCCTGCTACTGATGAAGAGGCTGGATGGATGGGATCCTGTAAGTGATCTGACTTAACTTTGCCTACAACACACTCATCTAACTGCACACACAGTCCTGCTTCCTGCTTGCTACCAGAATTAGAACCTTAATTTGTGTAACACATATTTATAATATTTATCCAATGCCCAGTGTGCCAGGTATGGATTTAGACTTGGGATGCAGAAATGAGCAAAACAAAACAAAATCCTTACTTTAATGTAGTTTATATTTTTTGGAAAAAATGTGCATGGTCATGTGACTGCTCTTTTCTGTGCCAACCTCTGAAGTTGGGGTGATATCCCACAGCTTTTACTCCATTTGGTTCAGACATTTTCATCTCTCTGCTAGCTCCAAGCTGCTGAGGTCTTAGCATGCCTTGCCAAAGTAAATAGTGAGTAAAAATCAACACAGATAGAAAAAGAAGCATTATCAGAAATTATATGTCTGCAGCTGGGCTGGGGCTAAGTGGATTAGGGTGAAGGTTAGAATTCTAGTGTAGACAAGTCTATATCCTGTCCCCAGTGGTAATAAGTTTATCGGGGTCTTGTTCAACAGCTTGCAAGCTGATGATAAGCTCCCAAGAGTATTGTAGTTTCACAGTTTAAGATCCAGCAGTATGGTTTCTGTTTGCTTAGCTCAGGATACAACAGGGAGACAGCATGCAGGTTTGCACACAGTCTCTGATCTAAGAGGCCACCAAGGGCCTGTTCCAGGCACTCTGTCCTTTTATTCCCAGACATCTATTGCCACCCACGAACATCTTTTAGGAACTAGGCAACAGTAGTTCTAGTTAGCCTAAGAGGACTTATTTAGTTACGTTTAGCTTAATAGAATATGTATGTAACAGATTCAACATATTTATATTTGAATGACAAATTTTCTGGGTTTTACGATCTGAGCTTATCTTCTAGGTCAGTGCTCCCCAACTTTTTGGCACCAAGGACCAGTTTCATGGAAGACAATTTTTCCACATCTGGGAGGATTGGATGGGGGGTTGTTTAATGTGCATAACCCATTGTTATGCACATTATCTAATCCATTGTTATCCAGCCTTCTTCCCTTACTTATTTGTAACCTTCTACTCCAACAGTGAGAAACCTAGCTTGCATCATCTGTCATCCATTTTTCTAATCCTTCAGTTTTACTATACATGTGTAATGGTATCAGAATTACTTACCTATGTTCCCATGGGAAACACTTTTATCAACTGGACCACAGTGCTCATGTGCAGTTTCTTTTGCCTTTAGTCTTATAGACTCCACTCATTTCCAAAGCCAATTAGGTCCACACCTTTGCTCTTTCAGTGAGTTTGTTTCATACATTTGTAATATAATTAAATTGTTTTGTTGTATTTTGCACTTCTTCCTTCTTACTAAGGTTTTAAAAAATCAATTTTATTGAACTATAATTATGTAGAATAAATTGTATCAATGTAAAATGTAATTCAGTGAGCTCTGACAAATGCAGAAAACCATTGCCACACGCAGGAAACCACTGCCACCATCAAGACATAGAATGTGTCCATCACCCTCAAAGCTGCCCGAGCTCCCTTTGCCATCTTTCCTCTCTTCAGCCCTGGCCATGGGCTACCACTGATACTCTCTTTTCACCATAAACCAGATTATGGTTGTCTTTTAGTAATTTTGAGATTCATCCATGGTTTTGTATGTACTAATTATTTGCCCCTTTTAAAAAAAACCTGACTACTACTCCATTGTACAGATATACTACAGTTTACTAATCTTTATTTCACTTAACATCTGTTTATTTAACACCTGTTGAAGAATATTTGGTTCATTACAAGTTTTTAACTATTGTGAATGAATGAAGCTACTACGAACATTTATGTCCAAGCCCTCGTGTGCATATAACCTTTCTTTTCTCTTGGGTAAATAACTTGGAGTAGAATGTCTGGGTCATATGGTAGATGTAGGTTTAACTTGAAAAAAAGGTCGCTTTTTCAAATCAGTTGTAACATTTTAATTTCTGCCAGCAGTGTGTGGGAGCCTTCACACATCTTGCTCTTACTCTGACTCTCCTGGGTCTCTCTTGTAATGACCCGTGTGATTACATTGGGCCCACCTGTAAAATTCAGGACAATATCCCTATGTCAAGATCCTTAACTTAAAAAATAGCTTCATAGAGGTATAACTGATATGCGATAAAGTGCATATTTAATATATACAATTTAATGAGTTTGGACCTAGGCATATGCCCATGAAATCATCACCACAATCAAGATAATAGCCATGTTCATCACCTTCACCTTGTGTCCCTTTGTTTTTGGGATTCTTAACTGAATCACATCTGCAAGATCCTTTTTGTTCTATAAGGTAATGTTCACAGATTCTGGGAATTAGCATGTAGACATCTTTGGTGGGGTGGAGCAGTCATTATTCAGCCTAACACAGACCCCTACTCCTCAATCAGAGCAGTCTCAAAGGACCTGTGACCGTATTTCATCTCCCACTTCACCACTCATAAGGAACAACACAGGGATCATTGTGGCTGGAGCACAGGGTGCATGGATGAAACACAGGAGATGAGATTCAAAAGATTAACTAGGCAATCTGATCATACAGCTCATTTTCAGCTAATGTGAGACCACTGTCTTCTACTTTGAGTAAGACAGGAAGAAATTGGAGGATTTTTGAGCAGAATGAAAAAGATTTGGCATATTTTAACAATCTTACTCTGGCTATTGTGCCTAGAACAAACTAAAAGAGGGTAAAGTGGAAGCAGGAGAAGATTTAGGAAGTTTTTATAATAATCCAGGCAAGTAAGAAGAATGGCTTGAATCAAGGTAGTAGCAGCAGTGGTGGTAAAAATTGGTCAGTTTCTTGATATAATTTGGACATATGGCCAAAGGTTTGCTGGTGAATTAAATATGGGATGTGAGAGAAAGAGAGGAAGCAAGGATAATTCCAAGAGTTTTGTTCATTTTTCTTGAGCCATTAGAAGGATGCAGTTAAAATTTATGTAATGTGGAAAGCTGCTGGAATGGCAGGTTGAAGGGAGAAGATTAAATTTAATTTTGTGCATCTTCAATTGAGATGCCTAGTAGACAAGCTTATGGAGAGATTAAAGAAGCAGTTGGAGTTTAGGAAGAAGGCTGGACTGAGGATATAAATTTTGGAGTTGTCAAAATATAGGTGGTATTTCAAGTTATAAGACTGGATGAAATCATCAAAATGGTGAATATACAGAGAATATACAAAGTTCTACAACATTAAGAGGTTGGGAAGGTGAAGAGTACCCAGAAAAGTAGACTGAGAAACTACAACTATTGAAGTAGGAGGAAAACCAGGTGAGTGTGTTGTCTTGGATGCCTAGTGAATAAAAATGTTTCAAGTAAGGTGCAGATTGAGAACTGATCTCTGAATGTAGCAACATGAAGGCCAGTGGTGACCTTATAATAGCAATTTTGATAAAGCTGGGGTTGGGGGCACATGCAAAAATTGGATTGGAATAGTTTTGAGAATGGAGAGAAGAGAATTGGGAGACAGTGATCACTATCAAGGCATCAAGCTCTAAGGGAAGGGGATAAATAGGGTGGTACCCAAAGAGGATAGGGAGGTCACTATTTAATCCTCTTGTCCAGACCAAAGAGGTCAACAAAAAGGAGCATATGTGGCTCAACCATGGGAGGTGTAGGAGAGCACACACATCTATTTGTATCTGTGGAGCCTTGTATTTTTCTCTTATTTGGTTTTGAGATGTCTCTCTGAAGAGTGGCGATTAGACTCTAGCTCTGTGCTGGGAGGGATCCAGGAATTTGGTCATGAATGTTTACAGTGAACTTTTCGTGGGATTCTTCTCTATCCCGGTGGACCACCTGATGCCTAAGTGCTAAACTTGTGATCAGGTGTCCCTGCCACAAGAAGCTTGTGTATCCTGGAAGACACCCTGTGGCTCTTGTCTGATCTGTATCCAGTTTATTCCTACCAAGATAGCCATTCCTTAGCACCACCCTGGTGGGGAAAGAAGTTAGGTCCAATCTGTTGGTCGAATGAGAAACAGAGAAGGCAACTCAACAGAAGACATGAAATAACAGAAGCAGTTTATTACTCACAGATCCTGGAAAGAAGCAGCAGCAGGCCTCATAGGCCAACTGGGAGTGGGGAGCCATTGGGACATGCAGACTCAACCAGCCGGTGGGAAGCAAAATAAAGAGAAGCCTGTGGGCCAGAGACTGTATTAGGATTCAGGGGGTTACCCAAGCAGGTTTCCCTCAGGGAATTCAGGTTTACAGCAAGCAGGTGCAAGTTCCATGAGTCACGCTGTGACTGACAGTAGGTTGCTGCAGCATGTCTACACAGTCCATGCAGGGTGTAGGGTCAGTGGGGCAGGTCACGTAGGTTGCATCCAGCTGTCCCATAGGGAGGTGGTCACTGGGAGACAGTTGTATAAAGCAGATATCTGCATCAACCACATTGAGACACTGGGAGGAGGCAGAGAACTGGAAACTGTCAAGGGTGACTAAGTCTTGCTTCTGGTATGAGAAAGTCCAACTTATATTCAAAATGGAAGCCAAGGCAACATAAAATTATAGTATTTCACTACAAGCCCACACTCCATCCCTGGTCTGCTGTTTTGTTGCCCAGCATGAGGTATCTTTAATGGAGAACAAACTCTTTCTTCCTGTAATATGGCATGATTAACAGTCTCTGTTCCTTCCTGTGTCCCTAGTGTTTCTTGTAACATTGGATTGATCATTAAGTGTTCCCCCTGGGAGTTCAGCAGCAGGATTTTCTGCAAAACCGGATGATGAGAAGAGACTACAATAATAAAACCTAACTTTTTTTTTTTATCTGTAAGTGAACCTAGAGAGGGATTATCTCTTAATAAAATGTTCATAGATTTTTTTCCTTTTTTTTATGGAGTCTGCCTGAGATGGAAGCAAAGACATCCTCCTGCAATGAGTGTCCCTCTGATAGTAGTGTCATTGTTGCTATTCTGTGAAGGCATTTTGAAGTCTCACATGTCATGCATTGTGCTGAGAACTTTATCAGTTAGTTACATACTTAGTTTAACCATGGGACTATAATCCTTAACCTTTTTTAGAGATGGGACCTTTTGAAAATCTGATGAAAGCTATGGACCTTGTTTCATAGCTTATGCTCATAAATATAACATTTTGCATATCATTGCATAGATCCTCTGAAGCTAAAGAAACCCTGCTTTGGAAACTTATAATGCAGTTGACATTCACTGATACTCCCTGATCATCCACCCTCTGAAATACAATGCACTGGGCATTTGGACTGAAACAGGGATGGAAAGTCCAGGGCTCCTGTCTCAGGAGTTTATAGTTTTAAGGAAGAAGTAAACACACACTAAGCATAGGGCAAAATTAGTAAGTCCCATAAGAGAAATATTTACAATGCTTTAATGTTGTGTAGTGGCTTATTTTTTGAAACATTCAGTATGTAGCCTTTTCAGAATGGCTTCTTTTACTTATTTAAGTTTTCCCCAGGAGTTTTCATGTCTTGATTACAAAGTTCATGTTAATTCCTGCAATATGGTATGAATATCCTTGGTTAATATGTGTCTTCCCCTATTAGAGCTTTTTGAGGTTGGAGATGTCTCATTTTTATGATTTCAGATTTTTTTTTATCAGTTCCTGGCATAAATTAGTAAGCAGTTAATGTTAGATGGATGAATTAATAAATGAATGAATAAATGGATGGATAGATAGATGGATGAGTGTATTTATGGATGGATGTATGTACAAATGGATGGAGACACACAACTAGGTTATGGGTTAAAAGCCAGATTTCTTACTGCCACACTCAGGATCCTTAATATAGACAAAGCTGCTGGATGGTTTGCGAAAAGACAGGGCCCAGCAAGATTCCTAACATTCAAGGTACTTTGGAATTTTAAGAGGCAAAAAGAGAAACACAAGAAAGACAATTTGCGGACTACCAATCCCAGTGTAAATTTTTGTGCACACTTATACTTACAAATACTTTGGAATTTTAGAGTGTGTGTGTGTGTGTGTGTGTATGTGTGTTTAAATTACAACTTTCCTTTTATCTCTTCCACCAGGAAATAAAAACTTTAATTACAAAAGCTAACCATGTTAGGTTTTCTGACATTGAAAATACAGCCAACATACTCATTGCCCTCAGTTGGTGCCTAACCATATGAATGAGACCTAAAGGAGAGTAGGAACATTGCACAAGCACACAGAAATGCAACAACAGCTCTGTGTTTTAAACAGCTGATCCATATAAAAATAAGAGTAGACCCAATAGATAGGAACCTGGTCTGACTTGAGATCAATGTCTTCTCGGAACCAAACATAATACCACACAAGTAGGAGCTGATAAATAAATATTTGATGAGTCATAATAAAATGTGAGATCAGTGAACATGGCAATCATAATTGTGAGAGGCATGTGGTATAGTAAAAGCGGCCGTGGGCCGGGGCACCTGTGCTCGCTATTACTTGCTGCCCCTCCATCCACTCCCATCCTCCATGACTTGCCCTGCATTGCCTTTCATGGAAGTGCTCTCTTGCTTTTGGCTTTTGATGGGTCTGGCCAATGGGGAGCAATGGCAAGACATCAGAGGGAGGGAAGCAAAGAAAGGCCGGGGCAATGAAAGCCCTGGCTCCCTCCCTGTGGTGTCTCCAGAGCTGGCTGTGTTTCTCAAAAGTCAGAGCTTCTGTCTCTCCATTCCCCTTTCTGTCACTCCATTCCCCTTTCTGTCACTATTCCAGGCCTAGGGATGGAGAAGTTGATACTATCCCAAGAGTATTGCACTATTCCTGTGGTTTCTTTATAAACACTCATGCTTTTGTAAATAGACCCTTGGGGGGCCAGGTATGTGGCTCACACCTGTAATCCCAGCACTTTGGAAGGCTGAGGTAGGAGGATCACTTGAGCCCAGGGGTTTGAGACCAGCCTGGGCAACACAGTGAGACCCCATCTCTAAAAAAAAAAGACAAAATAAAATGAAATTAGTCAGGCATGATAGCACATGCACCTGTGGTCCCAGCTACTCAGAAGGCAGAGGCAGGAGGATCCCTTGAGCCCAGGAGTTCGAGGGAGCTGTGATCACACCACTGCGTTCCAGCCTGGGCGACAGAGTGAGACCTTGTCTCACACACACAGAAAGTCTCTTCATGAAAGCCTTCCCAAACTGCCTAATTTGGACATTGCCACCATTTCTTTGGCCTGAACAGATACACTTGTTATCAGGGTCAATTTGGCTTTGTATAATAGAAACCCACTCAAATATGTTAAAGAAAAGAAAGCAAGTCATGGGATGATGCATTATAAGGCTGCAGGGTAACTTCTGTAAGTAAGGTCTGCAGAGCCTCTCTCATTAGGGGCTGGAACTGGAACTGGAGGGTCATTGAGAAGCAAGACAGCCATGCTCTGTGCCCTTCTGAGTCCAAATGGGTCTTTTCTAGCTGCTTCCCTCTGAGTGTCTTCTCTCTCTCCCTTTCTCCACCTCCCACCCCTCAATACAATCCTCATGTCAGGCTTTCTATGCTTCTTTGTGCACCTGGTGGAAGATGGTCCCTACTTAATCACCAGTTTACAAGTCCTCAATTCTAATGACTCACTCAGGTTCACTATGGCTCTTAAATCTTAGAAGAACAATTGGGTTTCCCCAGATAGGGTCAGCACTCCATGTTTGTTTAAGTAGCTATGGCCAGGAGATCCACATCATGTAGTACAAACATGAGTACCCTGAGAGTGGGGGTAAGTAGCCCTCAGAGAAGAGAAAGCCAGGCTGGACAGGCCCTGTAGAAGGTGTCTGCTAGAAGACAGATGAAGATGGCTCATTCTGAGCTCATGCATGCACAATCTCATTGTCATATTCACTCACAGCTGATACAGGGAAGACCATGATTCATGCAGGAAAGAATTACATTGTGCTGGTGTGAGATCAAAGAAGAGTTTCTTTCATTTATCCATCTAGAAGGAAATCTTGTAAGGTAATGTAACAGTGTACAAGTTGCTCCTTTGATGAAATACATGTTTTAGAAATAATATTCTCTTTAGAATGCTAGAAAATTGCAAAAAATGTATCCCTTCATTTTCCCATGTATGCTTGGCTGGTACTTACCAAAATAAGAGCTTAGCTGGCACTGAATACAGCAGAATCTCTGTGTTAAGACTGCTCCTCATTTAATGACGACACTACACCCAAGTTAACAAAAACTGTTCTTCAAATATGTGGGGTATTTCTCTATTTGCCATAGAAACTCAGGTTTCCTATTTTAGTTTAATTTCATCTTTTTTTCCACCTCAAGATGAATAAATACTAATTTGGAAATAAGAATTTCAGTTTTAGAAATTGGGGTAAGAGGGACAACTGGTAAATTCTATAATTTATCAGTTAATATAAGATGAGCTTGGCAGGGGCCTAGGTGCTAGAGGAGGAGGTGGTAGTTATGGGAGCTATGTGGTGGGGAGGGCACATGACTAGACTGTGAGGTCTTTTCCATCACCTGTAGGCCTGCAGTGGTGAGAGGAGAGAGCTGGGTGGTGCTGGTCCATGGGTAGGTCCCCGATAGGCAGTATAGTATTTCATTTTGTATTCCTATTCTTAGAACAATGATTGACACACAAAAGGCACTCAATATATGTCTGTTAAATGAATCAATGTCCTCTAGTAATTCATGGCACAGTTAGGGAGAAGAACTACATACACAATATAAAAACCTGTAGAAGTTGAGGAAGGATTAGATATTAAGATCTTAACAGTGGTCATTTATGGGGGAGGGAGAAGGAAAGAATTATTGTTGTCTTATTTTCTTTAATTTTTGCTTCTGTATTTTGGCTTTTCTCTGCAAAAGATTATTTATTTATTTTGAATTTAAAAAGGGCAATTGATTTAAACAATGAATAAAAATATATTAATATCTTTATATATGACAGAAATCTGAGGATTCAGTTTCTTTCTGTCTCTCTGTTCTATCAATGTGTGAGTTCCCATGTTAAGGCTGGTTGCCAAGGTGCTCAAGAAGGCTGTGGGGTACAATTATAGATACAGGTCTCATTGATATTCCTGTTGAGGTAAGAGGTGGGACTTTACTCTGGGGGTGGGTCTTGGACACTGGACCAAATTGAGGACTAGCTAAAATAGGTCCAGTGTGGAAGCAACTTTCCGTAAGACACACCCACCAGTATGCCATGTTAGTTTACCATTGCCATGCCAACACTCAGAAGTTACTCTCCCTTTCCATGGCAATGACCTTGACAACCTGGAAGTTATCATTATTTTTCTAGAAATTTCTGCATAAACTGCCCCCTTAATTTTCATATAGTAGGTATAAATATGAGTGCAGAACTGCCCTGAGCTGCTGTTCTTGGCACTCTGCCTATGGGGTAGCCCTGCTCTGCAAGGTGCAGTACGTGTGCTGCTGCTGTACTCTGCCACCTCAATAAAAGTTGCTGTCTAACACCACTGGCTCACCCTGGAATTCTTTCCTGGGTGAAGCCAAGAACCCTCCTTGACTAAGCCCGAATTTCAGGGCTTGCTTCTTCTGCATCATTGTGGCTCTTCTCTCTCAATGCATTTTGAAATTACATAACATTTAGACATACAATTAATGCACATAATGTATATAAAGATCATGAAACATTTTTAAAAGTACTGTGATGTCACTGACCAAGGTAAGACCCTCAAATTTACCAATAATATGAAGTTATCTGTGTGCTTCAACTGAGTGCCCCTGCCTTCCTCTTCTTTTGGAGGAATATACTGCCTTGATATTTATTTTGTTATTCCACAGCTATTTGTTTTTACCTTTACTACATGTTCATGCATCACTAAGTAATATGTCTCAGATTTGTTCTTGAGTCTTATAAAAATATTCTGTATGTGGTTCTTAGAGACTCGCTGTTTCCATTTTACATTATATATCTAAGATTCATCTATGACAAAGAGTGTTGCTATACTTCTTTGACTTATGCTGAAATAGAAATTCTATGCTGTGATTATACAAAACTTATTTATTCTTGATTCATGGACATTTGGGTTGTTTGTTTTATTTTATTGTGATGAAGAACAATGCTATGATCATTCTTGCATAAATCTTTTGTATGTGTGAAGGAATGTCTCAATAATTACCTGGGGATGGAATGGTTGGGAGAGGTTATGCATGTTCAGCCTTACAATATAACGCCTAATTATTCCACAAACTGATGCTAGCCATTTATAGCCTCACCCACAGAGTCTAACTACTTCGTTGCTCTCTAGCCTAATATAGCTCTGACAGCTAATAATATTCAGAATAGTTTAATGTGTTTATTGGCCATTTGTATTTCCTATTTTATGAGTTATCTGTTTATCACTTTTGTTCATTGTCCTCATTTTTGGTAGTCTTTTTTCTTCTAATTTATAGAAATTTCTTATATATTTCTGGATGTGAATGCTTTATCTGCCATGTTTGTGACACTTATCTTTTTCCAATGTTGAGACTTGTTAGTGGATCTTTATGTATAGCTTGCCACTTTTCAACAAGTGTGTGGTGGAAAATTTTTATTTTACATTGCTACCACATTCTATTCATTATAAACAAGTCATGAAAAGCCACGCTTGTACACTTTTATGCAAAGACAGTTAATGAATTTGGGGTATGTTTAAAAAATATTACTGGGGCTTCTTTGTAGATATCTTTGATGGTTACTCATAATGTCCAGATTCACACTAAGCATGGAAATGTCCCAGGTCTCAGTCCTTGGGCATTTTCTATCTACCTTCATTCCTGTAGTAATTTCACCCAGGCTCCTGGATACACACTATTTTTAAAATTGAGGCCGGGGCATGGTGGCTCATGCCTGTAATCCCAGCACTTTGGGAGGTTGGGGTGTGCAGATCACCTGAGGTCAGGAGTTCAGGACCAGCCTTACCAACATGGCGAAACCCCATCTCTACTGAAAATACAAAAATTAGCTGGGCATGGTGGCGAGCACCTGTAATCCCAGATGCTCAGGAGGATGAGGCAGGAATCGCTTGAACCTGGGAGGCTGAGGTTGCAGCGAACTGAGATCGCGCCATTGCACTCCAGCCTGGGCAACAAGAATGAAACTCTATCTCAGAAAAAAAAATTGAGATAAAATTTACACACCATAAAATGCCCCCTTTAAAGTGTATATTTTAGTATATTGACGAAGTCGTGAACCATCACCACTACCTCATTCCAGAACATTTTCGCCACCTCAGAAAGAAGCCTCACATCCATCAGTGGTCACTCTCCATTCTCTCCTCCCTCCAGCACCTGGAAACCATGAATTTGCTTTCTGTCTCTATGGATTTGCTTATTCTGGACATTTTCATATTAATGGAATCATTCAATATATGACATTTTGTGTCTCATTTTTTCTCTTAACATATTTCCAAGGCTTCATTCCTTTTTAAGGTTGAATAATATTTTATTGTATGTATATACTGTCATCCCTTGGTATCCAAGGGGGATTGATTCCAGGAACCCCTCCTGATGCAGACACCAAAATCCAAAAATCCTCAAGTCCCTTATATAAAATGGCATAGTATTTGCATATAATCTATATACGTCTTCTTGCATACTTTAATACTGAACACAATGTTCTCTAAATAGTTGTTATATTGTATTTTTGACTTCTATTATTTTTATTGTTGTATTGTTATTTTAAATTATTTTTTCTTTTTTTCTTTTTCTTTTTTTATTTTTAGTGATTGCATCTCGCTGTGTTGCTTGGGCTGAACTCAACCAAACTCCTGGGCTCAAGCGATCCTCACTCCTCAGTCTCCTGAGTAGCTGGGACTACAGACATACACCACCACCCTGGAGAGTTATTCTTTGAATATTTTTGAATAGTGGTCAGATTCTCAGATATGGAACTCTAGGATACAGAGTGCCAACTGTACCTCATTTTGTACCTCATTTTGCTTATTAATTTATTAGTTGATGGACATTTGGGCTGTTTTCACTTTCTGGCTACTATGGATAATGCTGCTATGAACATTCTTGTGTATGTTTTTGTGTGGACATATGATTATAATTCTGTTGGGTCTGTACCTAGGAGTAAAATCCTGGATTATATGGAAAATCTATGCTTCACCCTTTAAGGAACTAGCAGACTGTTTTCCAAACTGGTTCCACCATTTTACATTCTGAAGAGCAATGTATGAAGATTCCAGTTTCTCCACTTTCTTGCCAACATTTGTTACTGTCTGTCTCGTTAATGATAGCTACTATAGTGTGTATGTAGTGGTATCTCATTGTGGCTTTTATTTGTATTTCCCTGATGACTAACTATGTTGAACATTTTTTCATGTGCTTATCAAATATTTGCATATCTCAAAGAAATATCTACCCAAATCCTTTGCTGGTTTTTAAATGAGGTTACTTATCTTTATTATTGATCAGTAAGAGCTCTTTATATACTGTAGATAATAGTCCCTTATTAGAAATATGATTGTTACATATTTTCTCCCCTTTTGTTGGTTGTCTTTTCACTTCCTGTGTCAAAAATAAAATCAGATCAAATTTAAAAATTGCAGAGTTGTATTGTGCATATGAAACAACAATTCCAGAACCAAGACAACTGAAACTGGAAGTGGTAAGAAGCTCTACACTAAGTAGTTACTGTGCAGCTTGCAAAGGATAAATGAGAAAGTATTTTGACCTTTTTCTGGATTGGCTTTTATACAAGAACATTCTTTTTTCTTTTTTTTTTTAACTTGTTTTCTTTTTTTTTTTCTCTCCCTCCTCTCACCCTTCACCTTTAAGTAGGCCCCAGTGTTCCCCTCTTTGTGTCTAACCACAAGTTAGAACATGTGGTATTTGGGTTTTCTCTTCCTGCATAAATTTGCTAAGAGTAATGGCCTCCAGCTCCATCCATAATGAACATTCTTTTTAGGGCAAGTGGAGCTGTTTAAGCTGATTTGTCTATCACTGATTGGTTTCATTTCACTGAAACCTTCTGACAAGGACATGTGCTTTATTTATAATTAGAGCTATCATTTAGGGGAAATATTAATAAGGGGTTGTTCTAGCCTTATTTATTATGAATAGAGCTAGAGCTGTTCTTTTATATGACTTTTTGTAGTGCTTCCAAATTCCTTAACTTTAGTAATTTTGGAACTTGCAAATAAGAAATCAGAATTTCTGAAATCATAAGTTGTGTTTTTCATTACATTTTATTTGTATTTTAAACTAATAATGAATGGACATAGTAAAGATTCAATCACTTGTTTTATAACAGGGTTATACTGAAAGTTCCAGATGCTTTTTTTTTGGTTTAAAAAAGTATTTAATACATGCACGGTTAATTATTATTACCTACCAAGATATTATGACAAGATTATGTATTTCAATACAATGTAAAGAACTTGACACCAGAAAACATTAAAAGAAGGGATTATTAACACAAAATTAATGCTTAATAATCATTTTAAAGGTTGAAAGATAATATCACAATTATTCTAAAGCTATTTTTAAAATAAAGATTTTAAACATTCAGTCTTCATTTTTCTATCAGGTAATCTTTATCTTTGTTTTATGAGAAATATCAAAGATGTGGGCAATTTCTTTCATTTTCATCATGACACTGGCTGAATCATTGATTGCAAGCAAAAGCATCTTTAGTTTGGCTGTTGGGGTGCATGTTGCTTCATATAAGCTTATTTTTTTAAAATGAGGAAAATATTTTTTCTGCCTGCTGTGATTTTCATTTTATTATTGAAAGTGCTATCATCTTTGCTAGTTCAGATTTAGATCAGTTTCTGATTCCATGTTGGAGTATTTCATAACAGTCACATCTTCTTCTCTTTGTCTCTCTTTTGGTAAAATGTTTACTTAGAACTGAAGCCTATAGCCAATACTCAAACACTGAAAAGTGCCAGCAAACATTATTCAGTAGTATTCAAATAACGTTTAGATCTCCTTGAAAGGTTAACAGCGCCACACAGAATCACATGTCAATATTGACAATTTAGGATTTCTTTTGCTCTCAAAATTTTTTGTTTCTTGGGACATCCTCCCAGGATTTATAAAGTATTATATGAATCTACATGTGCTAATGTTTATTTTATTTGCAAGAATGCAGACTGGGCCATGAACACAGACTTGAACATGGCCACAAGTACAAGCACTGCTAATTGATGAGATCATGACCATTTCCTACCTACATGCTCCTGCACTGGCCCAGGAGACATTGACCTTAACCTTTGACTACCATTCTTGTCTGTTTCTGTTCTTGCTTCCTACTTCACTCAATATATTCCTTCCAACAACTAATGTCTCTATGTTAATTGTGAAGCTTTAATTTTTGCAAGAAAATTAGAATACTTTTTCCCCTCTTTCTCAACTAATTTTTCTCAGAATTGGAAAACATACATGCCAAGAAGGAATTTCTGAATGGACAACTTAGCTTTTTGATGTTTGTATGCACTATTTTCCCTTTGTTATATATTCAGGAATGAAAATGATGGGCTGTGGGGTAAACTTTCTGACCCTAACAATTTCCAGAGTTGGAGTTTTCATTTACACTCTCAATAATGATGTAAGGAAATTTTATTGCTCTACATCCTTGAAAAAACACTTAGTATTTTCAGTCTTTTAAAACATCTCATAAATTGATATAATTACACAGGTTTTGGGGGTACATGTGACATTTTGATACATGTATTCAATGTATAATGCTTAAATCAGGGTGATTGGGATATCCAGCACCTAATATCATCATTCTTTTTCGTCTTACCCATTCTGATGAGCAAGTTGTGGCATCTCATTATAGTTGTAGACTTACATAAAGTAGTAAAACTTGGAAACAATGTACATGACTAAAATGGTATCAGATACTCAATAAGTTTATTCTTTCCATGACACTCAGCAGTTACTCTGCCTTTTAAAATCCAGAAAAGATTAGCTCAAATGTCCATTCCATTCCGTATTCTGTTGAAGTCTAATGCCTTCCCTAACATTTCTGTGAATTTCCAGGTAAGATATACTTGATGGTCACTTTTGGCTCTGACGGTCTGTCTCTTAGAAAATGCTAATTTTCTGCTCCACGTTTTGTTGCAATTTCTCATTGGCCTTGTCATTGACTCCAAATGGAACTGAGTCCCTTTCCTTGCGATGCACACAAAGCCACTCAGATAAGCCCTTTTGTAACAGGTGTACGAGATTGTGAGAACTGCATCTCAAAGTAAAAATGACTTAAAATTGAAAATCAAACATTCTTGTTCTTAGAAGTCTTTGGCTACTCCACCACATAATTTGACCCTCTTTTCTTTCTCTTTTTAAAAATCACCTTTCTTGTCTGATCCTTTTTTTTCAATAACACAGAAACAGAAATTTTTTCTTGTTTTCTTGTGTATAAAAATTTAACTCTCTCTAGGCCTTTCTCTTAAATACATTTACAGAATTCCCTTTGCAAATCCAAAACTATGACAAAAGCTTAGAGACTAACTGACACTTGAAGGGACCTGATGAGGCTCAGAGAAAAAGCACCACTGTCTTGACCGATTTCTTGTATAGAAGCAGATAGGAGTTCTATTCTTTTAATTCAGTAAGCATTAAAAGAGGAAAATGAAAGGATATTAACAACATCTTAATACTTTTATCTCTGAATGATGATCCCTCTAAAGTTATTTTTTATTTTATTAAATTTCACTTTCTATGCTGTCTAAATTTTCTAGATAAACATGTCATGTCACATTCTCTTAGAGACAGGTCACTTTAAGAAATTTTAATTTTATTAAATTTCACTTTCTATAATTTCTAAATTTTCTAGGTGTATTAGTTCATTTTCACACTGCTATAAAGATATTATGTTGGTGCAACAGTAATTACAGTTTTTGCCATTACTTTGATTGGCAAAAACCACAGTTACTTTTGCACCAATACTACCCAAGACTGGGTAATTTAGAAAGGAAAGAGGTTTAATTGACTCAGTTCCACATGGCTGGGGAAGCCTCAGGAAACTTACAATCATGGCAGAAGGCAAAGGGGAAGCAGACCTTCTTCACATGGTGGCAGGAAAGAGAAGTGCAAGCAGGGGAAACGCCAGAAGCTTATAAAACCACCAGATATCCTGAGAATTTACTCATTATCACAAGAACAGCAGGGGGGAGACTGCCCCCATGATTCAGTCACGTCCCACCAGGTCTCTCCCTCAACGCCTGGGGATTACAATTCAAGATAAGATTTGGGTGGGAACACAAAGCCTAACCATATCACTAGGTAAATGTTTCGTATCAGATTCTCTTAGAGACCCGTCACTTTAAGAAACTTGTCCCTTCTTTGGGAATACTGGTATCAGTACAAGTGCAGCACAGAGGTTCAAACCTTGGCAATCAGATAGATCTAGGGTCAAATCCTACCTCCATTACTTACAAATTGGGTTTCCTTGGGCAATTCATATCACCTTTCCTCATTTAAATGGAAGATGCCCACAGCATTAAATCAGACAATGTATGCTAAATGCTTAACTACAATGTCTGCCATATATTGAGATAAGCCTTTGAACCTAAAAATAACAATTTTAGTGGTTTCAAAGGGTGGCATGCTGGCATGTTCAGTTTAGTAGTGTCATGTATAAGAAATAATTTATTACCAGTTATAATCAAAGCATGAACGCTTGTAATTGATTATTGACTTAAATATTTATATTTGATCAATTTACTTAAAAATATACATGTATACATAAAGTGGCTCTAAAATAATCCCTATAGTCATGTTGCGTGTACACATTTGATTTCAGAATACCTTCTTAGTGGAAGAAGGTGGAACTATGTTAAAAATTCCTAGTAAGCCCATTATTTGTGTTCCATCTCATTTAGCTCTTACTCACTGGTTGAAATGGTTATAAGTGATTAAATTCTCTGTGATTTGTGATTGTATAATTATTGCAATGTTTTATTGATTTTTATTACCATGAGTAAATTTTAGTAAAAGAGAAAGCAAGAGATTAATTACAAAGTTTTAAGTACTGCGCTTATGAAGTATATGGGACAAGGCTGCAATAAAAAATCTTTATTAGGAGCATACAACAATCAGGATGATCACATAGGAATTCAAAATGATGGTCAAATGACTTTGCAGTAATACTTCTATTTTAACAATTTATTTAATTTGGCTGATTTCATTGTGCTCATGAAAGATCAAGCGTGTACCGCTATTTACTTTATTTCAGCCCAAATTATTAAGTTGCCACAGAATGCTTCTAATACATGTTTTGAGAGGAAAAAAAGGTGAAACTCACTACTTTAGGATTTCCTCAGCCTGTTCTATCTGAGATGTGCAATTGCACGGTCCACATTGCAACTGCAATTGCCTCTTTTGTAGCATAAAGATCTTCATCCGACTTCTCGTTCTCTTATTTTTCTCTGCTCATGTTTGTTTCTTTCCTTTCCATTTCTTTCCCTTGGTTTTCTTCTTTCAAACAGCAAGAATTGTTTCATAATGAAACTCAATTATTAAGTGTTCAGCTGTTAAAAAAGAAAACTAATTAGCTGTTAAAAATACATTTTCCTGGAGAAGGAAATAAAGGATGGGAAAGGAGATATTCTTGTAGGAGAGCTTTCAGGAGTTCTGGTGCAACTACCATTATTGAAAATACCATTTTCAGTGGATCTGCCAGAAGATTACTAATTGATGCGATAAACGTTTAAGTTTGGCTGCTTTTTGAGAAAAGGATGGCAAAAATACAATGATGCAGATTAAGAATTTAGAAAACCTAAGGTACTTTATAGTATATCACATATTTTATGGAAAATATAATTTGTTAAGATGCCTGTTGCCTATGAGCAAAAACTTACTAGGATTGTATAATAAAACCTCCAGCAAATCAGCATCCTCTGTGTTCCCTGCAGGGAGCACAACCAGTTTCACATTAATTAGGAATTAGAGAATGACGGAAGGAACTGATGAGCAAGAAGTCACCAGTGTCTCATGTTAGTGGCAGAGGATTCCACTGCATCAGTCACTCGGTCTTTCTCATGGCTGATCTAAATGGATAGCCATTGGTGTAACTTCTGCTATAAATTAATTAAAGTATATAAATATATAAACATGCAGAAATTACAGTAAAATGATGTTTATCTCACAGAGGTCATGTTCTTACGGCATTTTTCAGGTCGTAGGTCTTCAGGGCAGTGGACCCTGGTGCCGATTTCCAGGGTACCAAGTCCAAGTGACAGTCGTGGGAAGGGTCCTCTTTCTACTTCTGCCATTAACTTACTATGATTATTTAGGATCCACCTAGTGGGATGACCCCTCAAATGGCTTTGGCTTTGGTAAAGACATCTCCCCTAAAGTTTTTTTTTTTTTAAGACTGTTTGCATTTGCTATTCTGTTGTGAAAGAAGGAAGTAGGCAGAATGGCTTGTGCTTCTATATGAGGTTGAGCTAAATTAAATCGAAGTTGGGGTTTTTTCCCCATTCTAGTGAGCAGCTCCCTTGTAGAATGATTTGCTGCGTTTTGTTTTGAGACCCACTCTGCCTCTTACCTGTTGTCTGACTGAGCGGATTAACTTTTAAGACCTCATTCTTCTATTCTTTGTAATGACGAAGTTAGTCCCTTCATTCACTCATTCAACAGATATAAATTGAATCTTGACTGTATGCCAGGCATAGTATACGCACATTGCTTTCCAAATTCTTCACCATACAGGTTCCCCCTTATAGTATTTTCTCCTTTGGTCCTTTTATTTTGAAAGATATGATCTACCAAATGGACTGCGTGTGTTAAGTAATATAATTTTTAATCTTTAAAAATAGAAGACATTTAGAATTGACAACCACAGCTTCTGATTAGCTGGCGATAATGTTGCCAGGCGACAAAGAAGACTCACTCCTGGGGTTAGCTTTTAGAGCTGTACTGCCAGTAAATGTGCTGCTTCCATTAGGGATTTAAAAAAACTTGAAATAGTTCTAACTTTAATCACTTTGTTAAAAAGAGTCATCTGCATATAGGTGCATTATCCTATCTGTTCTTTCATGCTTAATTCATGGTTCCTGAACGCCTCTAATAACCATTTCTGGCATAAAGGGGAGACATAGGTAATTTCAGTTGTCATATCAATGGGATTAATATTTCTAGGAAGTCTCATTTTCATGGGTCTTATCCATTGTTTTTCTAAAATACTGAAAATGGTTCAGAGATGCTAATTACTACCTATGACGGTTGCTTAGGAATCCAGGAACTTCAAGGTAGGATGGGTGGGATGTTCTCTGTTCTAAATCACTATGGCCTGATAATTCAAAGGATAAATAAACAAAATAATATCACTGAGCATGGAGTTTTTGGTTCTGAATTTGTTAGCAGATGCTCAGCAAAGCAAGAAATCACCTCATATCTACTGTGTAAATGCTTATGGAAAATGATTTATCCTTCCAGGAAATAAATACCCTTGACATCTTCTCAATGAGCCATGTCCTCTTTTGATTACGGGCCAAATAGTTTGAGAGATCAGCTCACTAGTTAAATCACTGGGCTGAGATGGGAAAACGTGCATTTGAAAACAATATATTATATTAACAGTAGAAGACCAGGGAAAATGATGTTCTCAAAACATGCTTGAACCTTTAGATTCAACTTAATTGAGAGTTCACTGTTCCCTTCTCATGCCGTCTCAACCCTCCAACCCAAAGCTGATAATTTCCATTTCTGTTTATTCAGTGACCCACTGGGAACAAGTAACATTTGCCTGATGACTGGAAAATATTCATCATGGACCTAATGTGTGTGAGAAGCACCTCAGGGCACTAAGAAAGAGGCCTTCTACATAGTTCTTCATTTAGAATTTGGTTTAATTTAACATGTTTTGAAGATTTTTTATGGGCCAGGAGTTGTGGAGCATGATAACTTAGTTGTCGTTTCCCTTGTCCTTAAAAAGCGTTCAGTGAAATGGACACATGATAACATGATGCACGGAATCAACAGTCATGCCATTACTGTAAATAAGGCAGTGTAGGACAGGAGATCACAATATTTTCTCCTGAAGGTAATCCCTGCTCAGCTTCTGACATAGATGCCCAAGGCCAGCCATTTTTAGGAGGGGTGCAGTTGATAGCAGTGGTGCTACTTTGAGGCTACAGAAGAGAGACATTTAAGTCAGGCCTGGAAACAAAGTAGAATTAGGCAGGAAAGCTTAAAGAACATTTAGGCAAGAGAAGTAGCAGAGAAAATGACCCAATCATCCACTATAAAATGTCCTTGGGAAAGTCAATTTTTCTGGTTGGGACAACCAGATCTATTTTCCTAAACACCTCGACCTTTGACTTTGAAATCTGACTCTGTTGAAAAAAAGAATCAATAAGGTTCACTGCATTTTCTCTGTAGTACGGTTTAATTTTGTATTCAAAGAAAATGAATCCCAAAGGCTTTATTTTTAGCACACAGAGCAATTTCAACAGCTTTAAGAGTCCATTATTGCTGGAAATGCTTGTCACATTTCTTTTTATTAGAAAGAATTGCTAAAGCACAGTATAAAAACCACTATAAACTTTGGGGGAGGTGTACAGTTGATAATGCTAGAAACTAATACTTAATGATAGAAATTAATATTTATCCATCAGGTGTTTGTCAGGCATTATGTTAAAAGTTTACACACATAAGTTTATTAATCTTGTAAAACCTTAAGCAGTAAGTACTAGTTTCATGATTTTACAGAAGAAAAATGAATGCTAAGAGAGGATCAGTAACTTGCCCAAGGCCACACCATTAGCATGTGGCAAAGCCAGAACTAGTACTTGTTAACACTCTTAAGCTTATCTGTATACACCGTTGACTCTTGAACAACATGGGGATTAGGGGACCCCTGCATAGGTGAAAATCCATATATATATATATATATATATATATATATATATTTTTTTTTTTTTTTTTTGAGACAGAGTTTTGCCCTGTCACCCAGGCTGTAGTGCAATGGCATCATCTCAGCTCGCTACATCCTCCACCTCCTGGGTTCAAGCGATTCTCCTGCCTCAGCCTCCCGAGTAGCTGGGATTACAGGTGCCCACCACCATGCCTGGCTAATTTTTGTAGTTTTAGTAGAGACAGGGTTTCACCATGTTGGCCACGCTGGTCTCGAACTCCCGACCTCAAGTGATCTGCCCGCCTCAGCCTCCCAAACTGCTAGGACTACAGGCGTGAGCCACCATGCCTGGCCCCACATATAACTTTTGCCTCCCTCAAAATTTAACTACAAATAGCCTACTGTTGACCAGAAGCCTTCCTGATGATATAAATAGTTGACGAACACATAATTTGTATGTTTTATATTATACCGTATTTTTGTATTCTTACAATAAAGTAAGCTATAGAAAATAAAATGTTATTAAGAAAATTATAAGGAAGAAAACATGTTTACTATTCATTAAGTAGAAGTGAGTCACCGTAAAGGTCTTGATCTTTGTTTTCTTCATATTGAGTAGGCTGAGGAGAAAGAGAAAGAGGAGAGGTGGGTCTTGCTGTCTCGGTGGGGCAGAGGCGGAAGAGAAAGGGGAGGTGAAAGGAGAGGCAGGAAAGGCAGGCACACTCGATGTCACTTATCCAAAAAAATCTGTGCATGACTGGACCCAGTTCAAAGTTGTGTTTTTCAAGGGTCAACTGTATACACGTTTACTTGACATTTAGATAGTATCAAGCTGAAAGATGAGAGCAACGTGATCTTGAGAATGCCAACTGTGCAACCTGGGGAAATTTTATCTCCATTCCTATAGTAAAGCCTCAATTAACTAGTGTATGCACTTGGGGAATGGGCAAATCGAAGTTCTAGTTAACTAAGGATTATGAAGAAAACCTTCTCTAAAGAAGCCTCACAATGGACAAGACTGAATCCAGTCTTTGATCCCTGAGGAGTTATCAATATCTCAACGCAATATGGCTGATATTAATTGAGCAACAAGGGACCCAGCAAGCCGCTTTGGGCATTCTGAATACAAAAGCTGACTCTGCACTTCTAGCAATGTGACAAGTGTAGGCTTGAGATCTTCAACAAGCCAATCAAGAAATCTGACTTTTGATGGGACCAGATGCTAGAATTGCACTTCTTGTTGCTGAAGTTTTGTTGCTTTGAGTTTTTAAAGAGAAATGTGTTTCCTGCTCAGGAATTTCACTTCCTCTTTCTACATAGATTCCATCTCCTCTCTTTTTAAGGAGTTACAGAAATTAAAACAAGATCTTCCAAATAAAGACTTAAACTATTTTATTTCAACCCAAGAATACTTAAAAACACATGTTATATGTCATTACTTTCCTTAAAAACTTTTGGCTGGGTGTGGTGGCTCACATCTGTAATCTCAGCACTTTGGGAGTTCCAAGTGGGCGGATCACCTGAAAGTCAGGAGTTCAAGACCAGCCTGGCCAATATGGTGAAACCCCAACTCTACCAAAAATATAAAAAGTCAGCTGGCTGTGGTGGCGGGCACCTGTAATCCCAGCTACTCGGGAGGCTGAGGCAGGAGAATCGCTTGAACCCAGGAAGGGGAGGTTGCAGTGAGCCGAGGTGGCACCATTGCACTTGAGCCTGGGCAACAAGAGTGAAACTTTGTCTAAAATAACAACAACAACAACAACAACAACAACAACAACAACTTTCAATGTCTCTCTATTCTCAAGACCAGAGAATTAAGTTCCACATCCTTAGCATGACAGCCAAGGCCCTCCACATGGGGCTTCAATTTATACTTTTAGCTGTGCATTCATCAGCATCTTTGCACCCCGTGGAGGTACTATTTTATAAAAGGCATAAGCTTTGGGATTGAATTTCACCTTCATCGCTTACTGGATATAATCTTGGGCAAGTTCTAAGTTTCTGTTTTCTCATCTCTAAAATGGGAATAACCATAGTCAAATCTCCCCTCTTCTTTTCTTCTGTTACCCTTCTTTGCTATGGGCCAACCACATAGGATTTCAGCCCATGATGATGGAATCAGCCATGGAATGTGTTGCACACAGTGTGTCTCGGGCAGCCCAGTCCCCCAGGAACCACAGGGTCTTTATATTTAGAGAGCCCCATGGAAACTTGGCTTGGGATTGGTTAGAGACTTATGATCATCATGGGAAGTTGCCTTCGGCTTTCCAGTTGAAGAGTGGATAATTTGGGATAAGGGGAAATCATCTCGATCTTGATTTAAATGAACGTGAAGGGAGCCCTGGAGGAGGAGCCAGCCTGTGGCGTCAGAAGGGCAGATTCAGTTTCAGAAAAGTGAACAAAGTCATCTTAGTTCCAGAGCTGAAATCGGGTGATGAGATGGGGGCAACCACAGCCACACACCTAAGGTGATTTGCTGGGGTCAGGGATGCTGTGCAAATATTGTGATTTTCTTTGTGTCCTAGGGCCTAAGAAAGTTGGCAGGCATTTACTTAAATACCACTTGTAAACCTGAAAAGTTAAATTTATGAGAATACTTTTCTCCTCTTAATTATCCCAATGCTGCTTTATAGGTTTAGTAAAAAACCCTTTTGCCTTTCTGTTAAATTAATTTATTAAATGTGGTAGGTGGCATAATGGCCTCCCAAAGATGTCCCATGTCCAAATCTTTGGATCCTGTGAACATGCGATGTAACATGGCAAAAGGGATCTTGCAGACGTTGTATCCTAAGTTTACGGACCTTAAGATGGGGACTTTATCCTGGGTTATCTGAGGGGGCCCAGTCCAATTACCCTTGAAAACAGAAACTTCTCTAGCTGGAGGAAAGAGCTGTGAAAGAAGCAGAGGCAGAAGTGGAGGTTTGGAGACCGTAGAAGCATGAGAAGGGACTTCCTCCACTATTGCTGACTTTGAGGAAGGAAAGAGGGAACCACAAGCCGAGGAATATGGGCAGCCTCTTAAAGCTGAGAACCATTCCCACCAGACAAAGAAACTGGGATGTTAGTCCCACAATTGCACAATTCTGCTGGCAATCTGAATGACCCCAAAGCAGATTCTTCCTCAGGACCCCAGCAAGGAGCAAGGAACACAGACCTTCTGATATTTCGATTTTAGCTCAGTGAAACCACTGCCAAACTTCTGACCTACATAAACTGTGAAATAACAAAATGTGTGTTGTTTTAAGGTGCTAAATTTGCTGTAATTTGTTAAGGCAGCAATGGAAAACTAATACTCAAAGCACTTCTTTTTTTTTTTGTTGTTGTTGTTGTTGAGACGGAGTCTTGCTCTGTTGCCCAGGCTGGAGTGCAGTGGTGCAATCTCGGCTCACTGCAAACTCTGTCTTCCAGGTTTATGCCATTCTCCTGCCTCAGCCTCCCGAGTAGCTGGGACTACAGGCGTCTGCCACCACACCCGGCTAATTTTTTGTATTTTTAGTATAGACAGGGTTTCTCCATGTTATATAAAGTACTCCAAAAATCAACTTATTTTATCATGCCTATAGTTGATTCTTAATCTTCCTGGATTAAGGACACTTGTACATTAAGGGCATACTTTGCCACACAAAGCTACTTGAGACCATCCTCCCAGGTACATTTGAATTGCCTTCTGGCCAGCTGAGGCTGCACGGCAATCAGAGATTTTGATCTATTCATAAGACATGAAGTTATAAATCCTTAGAACACCTTCCCTGTGACCCAGGCGTCTAATCTGAACTCCTTTTATTTGCCGTGGGGCATCTGGGGCTTCCAAGTTCCTATTTTGTAAATAGGATTGGTTTTACAACTGAAGTCTCCAGAGTTCAAGATAAGCTCTTGCCTAATTAACCTTTATCTCTAGATTGGACCTGATCAAGCTCTGAACAGCCAGCCCAGTTACTTCACTACTTAGATTAGACTCAGCCAATCAATATGCTACTTCTTTCTGAGCTGTTTCCAGATTCTTCCTATCTTGTAGGACCACAACACTTATATTTAAATGACATTGAATTGTGGCCTGCATATCTGTCAAGGTTAGGGTACTCTGCAGTTGCAGGACTAACATCACATTGGTGACATAAATCAGCACTTTTATACATTAGCACAGCTTTCCAGCTTTCCACAATCATCACCATTTGTAATTTTTAAAACAACCGTGGAACACCAATGCTCCAGAGAGAATTTTGTGTTTCACTAGAAAATTGAAATAGCAGAAGAGTAATATATGTCTTATTTTCTTAATGTAGGAAGCATTTTACATTTTGAAAAATACCAGTACAAATATAAATGCATCTGCAGCACTCAAGTTTTTATTTCAAAGGAAAATAAACTTGGGGTCTTTCTATAAAATACTTGCACTTAGCAAGATTTATCCAGTTTCTTGTTGAAGCAGCACTAGTCAGTGCTGTAGAAAATACAAGTCAAAGAAAAAGTCACAGCACACAAATAATTTAAGACCTAGAGAAATACATAAGGGAAACATGCTCAAAACAACTAGAAAAGATGGAAAAACTTACTTTAGAAATTATTGTAGGAAATACATCTAGATGTGAATGGAGAGCAAAAGAAGTAAGAATTTGTGCCAAAACAGGGTTAGTTAAGGGAAGGAGGAACATCTTGAAGATTTATAAAGGTTTTAATGGATATAAAATGGCATAGGAACTTTTTTGGAAATAATACACCTAGTAATGATATTTTTTATTTTTTATTTTTTTTTTGAGACAGAGTCTCACTCTGTCACCCAGGCTGGAGTGCAGTGGCGTGATCTCAGCTCACTGCAACCTCCACCTCCCAGGTTCAAGTGATTCTTCTGCCTCAGCCTCCCGAGTAGTTGGGATTACAGGCAGCCACCACCACACATGGCTAATTTTTTTTTTTTTTTGTATTTTTAGTAGAGACAAGGTTTCACCATGTTGGCCAGGCTGGTTTCAAACTCCTGACCTCAAGTGATCTGCCCATGTCGGCCTCCCAAAGTGCTAGGATTACAGGCGTGAGCCACCATGCCTGTCCGGTAATGATATTTTGTGTTTTAGAATCCACTATTATTTTGTCAAGCAGATGTCTTGAAAAAAATGAAATGTTGTTTGGAACAGTTCAGATCCATCTAGTTCACAGCTTCATTCTTGTCAAAATGTCAATACCTCATAAACAGAATACATTATGAGTATGTGCTAATTTGGTTAATAAACACATGAGGTGCACAGGTGCACACAGTGGAAAACAAAAACAGACCTTGAAGAATAAGACAGGAGGAATAAAAAAAAAATTTGATAAGTATTGTGTGAAACTTTTCGTTTTAGTTAGGAACATACTTCCGGGAGCCTAAAGCTTGACAGAAAGCACATTTAGGCAAGCCAAAAAAAAAAAAAAATATCCTTAAAACTAAATGACATGGAATGGGATACCCAGAACAATAAGTGATCCCATGTTTCAAAAAGCTACTAACAATTTTTAGAAGTACAAAATCAGAAGTGCTTTTATATTTATATTCATATTTGGTTTAAAATGACAAAGCTTAATCCAAAATTTTAGGCAAAGTGGCCATTAGTCAATTTGATCATCAAGGGAATTAAATCTCAGGGAAATTTGTTTTATGTTTAATGGCTGTGTTACGACTCCAGACAGAAAGACGAGCATTTGTGAGCATCAGAAAAGGGGTGATGCTCTCAGAGGACGGAAGGGAAACCAGCCTTGTTAGAAACTAAGGTATTTGACTATGGAATTCGAAGACTGGGTGAGGGAAGGGTGTATGTGTGAATAAATTGATAAAGGACTTTTCTAAAAATAGGCAAATGTGATGATAGTAACAGAATACATTTTGATCTCTCAATTTAAAGTCACAGTAGTGTCTATAAGATATCACCCTAAGGACTTCAAGGGCATGGTTTATTTTAATTAATTAATTAACTAATTAATTTTTTTGAGACAGAGTGTTGCTCTGTCTCCCAGGCTGTGGTGCAATGGCATGATCTCGGCTCACTGCAACCTCTCTGCCTCTGGGATTCAAGCGATTCTCCTGCCTCAGCCTCCTGAGTAGCTGAGATTACAGACATGCACAACCACACCTAGCTAATTTTTGTATTTTTAGTAGAGGTGGGGTTTCTCCATGTTGGCCAGGCTTATCTCAAACTCCTGACCTCAGGTGATCTGCCCGCCTCGGCCTCCCAAAGTCCTGGGATCACAGATGTGAGCCACCGCGCCTGGCCAAGGGCATGGTTTAGAATATCCTGTTTGAAGAGTGTTTAATTGACACTGAATTGAAGAAGCATCTGTCCATGCTGCAAGACTGCAATATTGTACTGCACTCATCAGTACTGGCTCATAAGTTTTTAAAATGAGCCCCTTGACCTTCATTTTTTTCACTATTTAGGCTCAGAGGATTGAGGCTTTCCATTAGTGAGACAAGTTCCAAATCAAACAAGCACTCTTCTTGTGGACACTTAAAACCTACGTTTTAAAAATGTACAAGTAATACATGTTAAATAATGAAAAATGAGAAATTCTGGAGAGCCATGAAGAAGAAAATACAAATCATCAGTTATTGAACTTTCAGAGATGAATGTTGTTTTAGTTTTCATCCTTCCAATCTTTCCTATTTGTATATATTAACCGGCATATAGAGGAAAGGCATCTCATCTCAATGGCAGGATAAACAGAAAGCTGTTCAGTAAGTTTAGCTGGGTTCTGTCAACATTGTTTCTTGTCTCTTAATACCATCTTAGACAGATTCCATAACTTTCTGGTGAAAACTGATTCTTCAACGTTGTGTGTGTGATAAAATGTTACTCTCAAATCTGATTGAGAACCCTTCTTGTCTCTCAGTATAGATCCAGACTCAAGGCTTAGGGGACATGACATCCTTTTCCCCTTGTAAGACATTTCCGCTTATAGTCTTGGGGCAGTGGGATTGACTATTGGCTGCTTCTGCCTGCTTGTAGCAAGTACTATGGAAAGGTCTGGCTCTACTTGTAGGGGATCTTTCTAGAATACTGGAGACATAGCATCCCTTTGTCTTCAGCTTTGTCCTCAGCAACAGCTTTGGGCAACAGAAGTCTTGCTCATGGTCACTTACAGGGATATATTTATGTTTTGTTACAAAATTTGCACACATATACATGGTACTTTATTCTTTGCTGTTTTTTTACTTCAAAGAATATTATGTGACCAAGACAGTGTAGACACACCATTCCTATTCCTCTTGCTAAGTACCACTGAAAACACTGAACATGATGTATGAAACAATCAGGTGCTGAAAGGTGGAGAGAAGGCAGACCAGCTGGGCTCTTGGAGACCCAAAGATCAACATGACAGTGAGTTTGCTGGGCTTTCTTTTTACCTCATATATTCTGAACTAAAGCAGGGAAACTGGAAATACCAACAGGCACATACCAAAAAAACAAACAAACAAACAAAAAAAGCCCCAAGAAAAGCCCACTTTCTCTAAACAAAAGGCCAGGAAACAGGTAGCAGAACAGAAACCTTCCAGACAATAACTACCCTACCACAGTCAAACGTTGTAGAAAAGCCATAGCCGCACACGCCTCTGTCAAGAAAGAACAAGTAGAGGCCGGGCGCAGTGGCTCACGCCTGTAATCCCAGCACTTTGGGAGGCAGAGGTGGGCGGATCACGAGGTCAGGAGATCGAGACCATCCTGGCTAACACGGTGAAACCCCGTCTCTACTAAAAATACAAAAAAAAATTAGCCGGGTGTGGTGGCAGGTGCCTGTAGTCCCAGCTACTCAGGAGGCTGAGGCAGGAGAATGGTGTGAACCCGGGAGATGGAGCTTGCAGTGAGCGGAGACAGCGCCACCGCACTCCAGCCTGGGCGACAGAGCCACACTCTGTCTCAAAAAAAAAAAAAAAGACCAAGTAGAGAGAACAGAACAGATTTCCACTATGTCCAGCTGTAATGAGGCACCCCTTTTCTCTTCCCCTCTCTGGCATGGTGTCTGTGGAGGCGTATTGGCTAGCCTGAAATCCCACCCCTGCCTAGTAATAACCAGGCAGTCCTCCTCTCAGGGAGTCAAAAGTGGTTGAGTGGGGAACCTGGACATTCACTCCCATCTGGCATCAATGAGGTGGCACTCCACTTCCTCCGTTAGCTGGATGTGAGAGAAAACATGTTAAAGGAGAAGATTTAAATAATATCTAGAATCTAATGATGTAGCCCCAAATGCCCAAATACAATTGAAAATCCCTCACCATATAAAGAACCAGAAACAACTCAACTTGAATGAGAAAAAACAATCAACAGATGACCATAATGAAATGACACAAATGGTGGAATTAGCTGACACGTATTTTAAAGAAGCCATCATGAAAATGCTTCAATAAGCAATTACAAACATGCTTGAAACAAATAAAAAGCAGAAAGTCTCAGCCAAAAACATAGAAAGCCTCATCAAAGAAATAGAAGCTATCAAGAGGAGCCAAATGGAAATCTTTTAACTGAAAAAGACAATAACTGAAATAAAAATCTCAATGAATGGGCTCAATAGCAGAATGGAAGAATAGAGGAAATAGTGAATGTTAAGATAGAACAGTAGGAATTAAACAGTATGAACAACAGAGAAAAAAGTTAAAAATTGAATAAAACTAGAGTGACCTGTGAGTCTATATCAAAAAATATGACTTCAGCTTCATTGGAGTTCTAGACGAAAAGGAGAAAGAGAGAGAGATGGAAGTAGTATTAAAAGAAATAGTGGATGAAAGTTTCCCAAATTTGGAAAAGCAAATCCCAGCAAATTCCCCAAAATCAAAGCTCAGCAAATTCCCCCAAAATAAGTCCAAACAAATCCATGCTAAAGCACATCATAAACTTTTGAAAACCAGAGACAAACAAAAGGCCCCAAAGCAGGAACATCTACTTATAAAGGAAAAACAACTAGAAAGGCTGTGGATTTCTCATTAGAAACCAGAGGCCAGAAGAAAGTGGCACATCATTTTGCAAGTGCTAAAAGATAGGAACTGCAAACCCTGAATTCTATACTAAGCAATTAATTTTTCAAGAATGAAGAGGAAATAAAGACATCTTCAGATGAAGACAAACTAAGAGAATTTGTTTCTAGCAGACCTACCGTAAAGAATGGTTGAAAAAAGTTATTGAAACAGAAAGGAAATGATAAAAGAAGGGATCTTGGAACATCAGTAAGAAAGAACAAGAAAAACAAAAGTGAAAATATAGGTAATAGGCTTTCCTTCTCCTCCTCAGTTTTCTAAATTGACCATTGAAACAAAGTATAACGTTGTCTAATGTGGTTCTCAATCCAGTAAAGGAAATATTTAAGACAAGTATACCGTAAACACCACAGGGTAAAAGGATGTAAAAAGATGTAACATTTCTACACTTCACTTAAACTAGCAAAATGTCCACACCAGTAGTGTGTGATACATTTCATATATATAATGTAGTACCTAGAGTAACCACTAAAAATCTATACAAAGAGATACACTCAAAAAACTATAGACAAATAAAAATGAAATTCTCAAAAATATTCAAGGCAGGAAGGCAGAAAAAAGAAAAGGGAGAAATGAAAAACCAAGAGAACAAACAGAAAACAAAACGAAACAAAAAGAGGTGAAAGAATTGAACAGATACCTCACCAAAAAAGATATATGGATAGGAAACAGAAATATGAGAAGATGCTCCATATTTGTGTTTATAGGAAAACACAAATTAAAATGACAATGGGACACAGTTACATACCTATTAAAATGGCTAAAATTTAAAAAGACTGACTATACCAAGAGTTAGTGAGGAAGTGGAGGAAATAGAACTCTCAGACACTGCTGATGGGAATGTAAAATGGTATAACCACTTTGGAAAACAATTGGCAGTTTCTTAAGTTAAATAAAAACCTAATTTATAACCCAGTAATTCCAACTTTATGTATATTTATCCAAGAGAAATGAAAGCATAGTCCATACGAAGACA